>NC_000021.9:41584392-42184392 GCF_000001405.40 Homo sapiens
ACACCACACATACACACACACACCACATACTACACACACCACACATACACACACACCACATACCACACACACCACACATATACACACACACCACATACCACACACATACACACTCCACACACGTATACACAGACCCCACACATGCCACACACATGCCACACACCACACGCACACCCCACACACACACCACATACCACACACACCACACATATACACACACTACATACCACACACATACACCCTCCACACACATATACACACACCCTACGCCACACACACCACACATGCCACTCACACCACATAACACACACACACCCCCACACACACACCACATACCACACACACCACACATATACACACACACCATATACCACACACATACACCCCCCACACACATATACATACACCCCATGCCACACACACACCACACTTGCCACACACATGCCATACACCACACACACACATATCACACACCACACACATATACACACACACCACACATATACACACACACCACATACCACAAACGTACACCCCCACATATACACACACCCCACACTACACACACACCCACACACCACACATACCACACACATGCTGCACACCACACACACGCAGCCCCCCCCACACACCACACAGGCACACACATCCCACACACACACACACCACACACTCCAGACACCCCTCACACACATACACACACCGTACACATACCACACACAAACACCCATATCACACACACACACACACACTGCACACAAACCACACACCCTCACCATACACAAACACACATGTGCCACACACACCACACTCACACACAAACACCACACATACAAACCACACACATGCACGCCATACACACAACCCACAGGCACATACAGACACACCACACATGCACACACCACACAACACACACAAACACCATGTACACTACACGCACATATCCCAGACATACCACATATAAACACAGCACACACACCACACATGCACACCCCACATACACACATACCATACACACACCACATGCACACATGCTCCCCACACAGACACACATACAATACAACTCACACACAACATACACAACACAACACACACACACCCTCACATACACCATACACACATACCACACACACCCCGTGCATACACACATTACACTTGTGCACTACACCCACACACATACACATCCATACACACAAACGTATGACATGTACACATAACCACACGAACCTTACACCCACATCCCACACACATGCCACACACACCACACACACGCGTGTGAAACAGGCCACGCTTGACCAAGACTAAGACGTCATGCATAGTCAGATGCTCCATGATTTTATGCACCTCTAAGCAAAAATGGCAACTGCCAGCTAAGCTACTATACGTCCTCACTTGGAAAATGTAGCCCCAGGGCTGGGCGCAGTGGCTCATGCCAGTAATTCCAACACTTTGGGAGGCCAAGGCGGGCGGATCGCTTGACCCCAGGAGTTCCAGACCAGCCTAGGCAACATGGGGAAACCCCTTCTTTACCAAAAATACAAAAAATTAGCTGAGCATGATGGCATGCACCTGCAATCCCAGCTACTTGGAAGGCTGAGGTGGGAGAATCTCCTGAGCCTAGGAGGCAGAGGTTGCAGTGAGCCAGGATTATACCACTGCACTCCAGCCTGGGCAACAAAGTGAGACCCTGTCTCAAAAAAAAAAAAAAAAAAAAGAAGATGTATCCCAGTGTCACAGATGTAAAAATACAACCTTGGCTCAACGAAATATGGTATTTATTTATCTTTCATTTATGGGGGATGTCATTTTGGAGAGATGAGATTTATACACTGAAATAAATTTTAAAGCCCAGACAATCCATAACGATGAACTGCATGGTTTGGTGTGGGTGATACATGTCATAGGGATTCTGGAGGGAGAAATGTCAGCTGGTGCTAAGAAGGGTCGGGGAGGTTTTTAAACAAAGGTGATCTTAGCAGAGTCCTGAAGATGAAGTCCTGGATGAGAGGAAAGCAAGGAAATGGCATCGTGGAAAATATCCTGAAGGATGTTTCGTGGGGGTTGTCCTGGGCAGCACCATGCTACTGGGAGTGCCACTCACCTGGACAGGTCACCTGGCAGGTGGGCAGCTCTGCACACCACATACCACACACACCACATCCCATCCCATCCCATCCCACCCTCATCCCATCCCACCACTTTTGCTGTGTCCCAGAGGTTTTGACAGGTTGTGTCACTATTATTGTTCGGTTCAAAAAATGTTTTGATTTCTATCTTCATATCATTGTTGACCCAATGTTCATTCAGGAGCAGGTTATTTAATTTGCATGTATTTGCATGGTTTTGAGGGTTCCTTTTGGAGTTGATTTCCAATTTTATTCCACTGTGGTCTGAGAAATTGCTTGATATAATTTCAATTTTCTTAAATTTACTGAGACTTGTTTTGTGGCCTACCATATGGTTTATCTGGAGAATGTCCCATATGCTGATGAATAGAATGTATATGCTGCAGTGATAGAATGTTCTCTAAATATCTGATAGATCCATTTGTTGTAGGGTATAGTTTGAGTCCATTGTTTCTTTGTTGACTTTCTGTCTTGATGACCTGTCTAGTACTGTCAGTGGAGTATTCAAGTTCCCCACTATTACTGTGTTGCTGTCTATCTCATTTCTTAGGTCTAGTAGTAATTGTTTTATAAACTTGGAACCTCCAGCTTTAGGTGCCTATATATTTAGAATTGTGATATTTTCCTGTTGGACTAGTTCTTTTATCATTATGTAATGTCCCTCTTTGTCTTTTTTAACTGCTGTTGCCTTAAAGTGTGTTTTGTCTGATATAAGAATAGCTACTCCTGCTCATTTTGGGTGTCCATTTGCATGGAATATGTTTTTCCACCCCTTTACCTTAAGTTTATGTGAGTCCTTATGTGTTAGGTGAGTCTCCTGAAGACAGAAGAAACTTGGTTGGTGAATTCTTATCCATTCTGCCATTCTGTATCTGTTAAGTGGAGCATTTAGACTAGCATTTACATTCAGTGTTAGTTTTGAGATGTGAGGTACTGTTCAATTCATCATGCTATTTGTTGCCTGAATGCCTTGGTTTTTTTCCATTGGGTTAGTGTTACATAGGTCCTGTGAGATTTTTTTTAAGGAGGTTCTATTTTGGTGTATTTTGAGGATTTGTTTCAAGATTTAGAGCCCCTTTTAGCAGTTTTTGTAGTGCTGGCTTAGTGGTGAATTCTCTCAGCATTTGCTGGAGAAGACTGTATCTTTCCTTCATTTATGAAGCTTAGTTTTGCTGGATACAAAATTCTTGGCTGATAATTGTTTTGTTTAAGGAGGCTACAGATAGGACCCCAATCCCTTCTAGCTTGTAGGGTTTCTGCTGAGAAATCTGCTGTTAATCTGATAGGTTTTCCTTTATAAGTTATCTGATGCTTTTGCCTCACAGCTCGTAAGATTCTTCCCTTCATCTTGACTTTAAATAACCTGATGACTATAGGCCTAGGTGATGAACTTTTTACAATGTATTTTCCAGGTGTTATTTGAGCTTCTTGTATTTGAATGTCTAAATCCCTAGAAAGGTCAGGGAAGTTTTCCTCTATTATTCCCTCAAATAAGTTTTCCAAACTTTTAGATTTCTCTTCTTCCTTGGGAACATCAATTATTCTTAGGGTTGGGCATTTAACATAGTCCCAAACTTCTTGGAGTCTTTGTTCAATTTTTTTATTCTTTTTTATTTGTCTTTGACAAATTGGGTTAATTCAAAAGCCTTGTCTTCAAGCTCTAAGGTTCTTTCTTCTGCTTGTTCAATTCTATTGCTGAGACTTCCCACTGTATTTTGCATTTCTCTAAGTGTGTCCTTGATTTCCAGAAGTTGTGACTGTTTTTTATTTACACTATCTATTTGACTGAAGAATTTTCCTCTCATGTCCTGTATCATGTTTTCAATTTCTTTAAGTTAGACTTCACTTTTCCTTGGTGCCTCCTTGATTAGCTTATAATCGACCTTCTGAATTCTTTTTCCGGCAATTCAGAGATATCTTCTTGGTTTGAATCCATTGTTGGTGAGCTGGTATAACCTTCTGGAGGTGTTAAGTAAACTTGTTTTGTCATATTAAGGGAGGAGACCACCCCTCATATTGTCTTATGCCCAATTTCCGCCTCCAAAGAAAGAAGAAGTAAAAACTAAAAGGCAGAAATGAAATTCACAAGCAGACAGCCCAGCGCCACACCCTGGGCTTGGTAGTTAAAGATCGACCCCTGACCTAATGGGTTATGTTTTCTATAGATAACAGATATTGTATAGAAAAGCACTGTGAAAATCCCTGTCCTGTTCTGTTCCATTCTAATTATCGGTGCATGCAGCCCCCAGTCACGTACCCGCTGCTTGCTCAATTGATCACGGCCCTCTCACGCAGATCCCCTTAGAGTTGTGAGCCCTTAAAAGGGACAGGAATTGCTCACTCAGGGAGCTCGGTTGTTGGAGACATGAGTCTTGCCGAAGCTCCTGACCAAATAAGGCCCTTCCTTCTTTAGCTTGGTGTCTGAGGAGTTTTGTCTGCGGCTTGTCCTGCTACAATATTGCTAGAATTGTTTTTCTGGTTCCTTCTCATTTGGGTAGACTACATCAGAGGGAAGATCTGGGATTCAAGGCTGCTGTTCAGATTCTTTTGTCCCATGGGGTGCTCCCTTGAGGTGGTGTTCTCCCCCTTCCCCTAGGAATGGGGAGAGTCAAACTATAGTGATTGTTGTTGCTCTTCTAGATCTAGCCACACAGCGGAGCTACCAGGCTCCAGGCTGGTACTGGGGAGTGTCTGCAAAGAGCCCTGTGATGTGATCCATCCTCAGGTCTTGCAACTGTAGATACCAACACCTGCCCTGATGGAGTTAGCAGGGGGATGAAGTAGACTCTGTGAGGGTCCTTGGTTGTGTTTTGGTTTAGTGTGCTGGTGTGTTAGTTGCCCTCCAGCCAGAAGGTGGCACTCTCAAGAGTACGTCAGCTGCAGTCCTGTAGGGAGGAAACAAACTAGCCTGAGGTACACCTGGGTATCCCTAAGTATTCAGGTTTCTCAGGCAGTGGGCAGGGCCATAGAGTTCCCAAGAGATTATGACCTTTGTCTTCATCTACCAGGGTGGATAGAGAAAGACCACCAGGTAGAGGTAGGGATAGGCATGTCTGAGCTCAGCCTCTCCTTGGGCAAGACTTGCTGTGGCTGCTGTGGGGGATGGGGGTGTGGTTCCCAGGCCAATGGAGTTATATTCCCAGGGGGATTATGGCCTCCTCTGCCGAGTCATATAGGTCGCCAGGGAAGTGGGGGAAAGCCAGCAGTCGCAGGCCTCACCCTGCTCCCATGCAGCCCACAGTCCTAAAGGCTGGTCTCACTCCCTCCGTGCACTCCCAATAGCAATAAGTCTATTTCCATGCAGCCGGTGACCAGGGCTGAGAACTTGCCCCAGACCATGAGCCTCCCCGCTGAGAAAGCAAGTGGACTCACAGGTTTTCCATGTCCCATGGAGCTTGCAGCGTTGATCCCGTTCCTTCAAAGGGTCTGTGGATTCTCTCAGCTTTCCTGGTATGTTCTTGCGGTAGTTCTTAGAGCAAAAGTTTATGATGTGAGTGTCCACACACTGCTCTGTCTGTCCGAGTGAGAGCTGCAAGCTAGTCCTGCCTCCTATCTGCCATCTGAATCCCCTCTATTTTGCAGAGAGTCCCAAAACCTCAAAAGTAGAGAAGTCAACAGTGCAGCCATCAGTGTGGCTAAAGGCCCAAGAGCCCCTGGCAAACCACTGGTGTAGGTCCAAGAGTCTAACCAAAAGCTAAAGAACTTGGAGTCTGATGTTCGAGGGCAGGAAGCACCCAGCACGGGAGAAAGATGGAGGCCAGAAGACTCAGCAAGTCAAGTCCTTCCACATTCCTCTGCCTGTTTTTATCCTAGCTGCACTGGCAGCTGATGAGATAGTGCCCACCCAGATTGAGGGTGGGTCTACCTCTCCCATCCCACTGACTCAAATGCTAATCTCCTTTGGCGACACTCTCACAGACACACCCAGAAACAATACTTTGCATCCTTCAATCCAATCAAGTTGACACTCAATATTAACCATTACAGTAGCAGATATATAATTTTATATGCACGTGTATATAATTGGAAATCTTTAGAGGTTACTAGGGCAACAAAAATTTTTCAGAAAATTTATAAAAAGACAGAATAAATCATGTGCTTGGCCTTTTCTATAAAAATACCAATTCAGGGCCGGGTGCAATGGCTCACACCTGTAATCCCAGCACCTTGGGAGGCCGAGGCGGGCAGATCACGGGGTCAGGAGATTGAGACCATCCTGGATAACATGATGAAATCCCATCTCTACTAAAAATAGAAAAAATTAGCTGGGTGTGGTGGTGGGCGCCTGTAGTCCCAGCTACTTGGGAGGCTGAGGCAGGAGAATGGCGTGAACCCGGGGGGTGGAGCTTGCAGTGAGCCAAGATCACGCCACTTCACTCCAGCCTGGGTGACAGAACGAGACTCCGTCTCAGAGAAAAAAAAAAAAAAAGCACCAATTCAGGCTAAGTAAATAGATATTGAAGAAAGGTTATTCTTTATAGAAGAATTACAGCTATAAATGTAGAAAGAACAAGAGTTAGAAAATCGCTTTTTTGCAATGCCCAGTGGAATAGTAGTTCTAAGCCATGATTCTCATCGGCTGCTAAACTGAGGGTCGAAAAACTGATGGGGACAGGCCAGCACATCTGAGTCGGGGACAACCTGAACACCCCCATGAGGGAGGTACCCAACACCTCCTGGGATGTCTTCTTGTCCAAAGGATTGAACCTGCGTTTCAGCCCTTCTGTGGATCTCCCATTTTGCAGAAAATACCGACCATAGCGGAAAATTTTACACAACACCTTACAGACACAAACAGGCTAGTCCAGAAGGCAGGAAGCTCCTTAGGACAAATAACAGGATTTCTTCAATAAATAAATGTCAGGAAAGGATGGGGAGAGAATTGCTATAAATTAAAAAGAACTGAGGAGATACACCATCCACTTGCTTCCTATGAGCCTCGAGCCTTGTTTGGATTACAGGTTTGCACCACCACACCCGGCTAATTTTTTAAGTTTTTGTAGAGACAGGGTCTCAGCATGTTGCCCAGGCTGGTCTCTAACTCCTGGGCTTAAGTGATCTTCCCACCTCAGCCTCCCGAAGTGCTGGAATTAGAGGCCTGAGCCAAAGCACCTGTCCCTGTCTTTTTTTTTTTTTTTTCAAAATGGAGCTTGCCTGTTGCCCAGGCTGGAGTGCAGTGGCGTGATCTCGGCTCACTGCAACCTCTACCTCTCAGGTTCAAGTGATTCTCCTGCCTCAGCCTCCCAAGTATCTGGTACTACAGGCGCGTGCCACCACACCTGGCTAATTTTTTGTATTTTTAGTAGAGATGGGGCTTCACCGTGTTAGCCAGGATGGTCTCGATCTCCTGATCCTGTGATCTGCCCGTCTCAGCCTTCCAAAGTGCTGGGATTACAGGTGTAAGCCACCACGCCCAGCCCCCCTGTCTTATTTTATATAAGCAAAACGGGTGGAACATAGATTAGGTATTAGAGAACTGCTGTTCACAGTTACCTGCTGTTAGAGTTTCACACGTGTATAAGTCTTGACAGTATGTACATTAGGTAAGTGTAATAGGTACATGTTTCTCTACACATAGATTTTTATAATGTGCTTATACCTCATCAGTTTGCCCATGTTATAAAATACCTTGCCCTTCTTCTCACATGCACACACAGTTCTACCTCTTTCTTTTTAATGCTCATGTATTATTTCACTATACAGATATGCCAAAATAATATCATTCCTCTATTAACGATCTTCATCTTGTTTCCTTTTGCTGTTGTTCTTGCTATTACAAAGAACATCATCAAAAACACTCTTGTTCATATATTTGTGTGCAAGCATTTCTGTTGGGCTGATTCCTAGGAGAAAATATGTACATACTTTTCTTTTTCTTTTTTTTTTTTAAGATGGAGTCTTGCTCTTGTTGCCCAGTTGGAGTGCAATGGCATAATTTTGGCTCACTGCAACCTCTGCCTCCTGGGTTCAAGAGATTCTCCTGCCTCACCCTCCCAATTAGCTGGGGTTACAGGCACCTGCCACCACACCCAGCTGATTTTTGTATTTTTAGTAGAGACTGTGTTTCACCATGTTGGCTAGGCTGGTCTCGAACTCCTGACCTCAGGTGATCCACCTGCCTTGGCCTCCCAAAGTGCTGGGATCACAGGCGTGAGCCATCGCACCCGGCCTGTACATACTTTTCAAAAGAAGAAGAAATAGGGTCTCTGAATGCTGACCTGCCCGAGGTTGCACGATGAGTAAATAGTATGCAAAGCCAGGCCTATGTGGCACCGAAAGCCGACCATATCTTCCATCTCCCTCATTGCATCCGCACTGGAGACTCTTCCAGACAATGCTATCCATTGACCTCAAAGGCCTTGGGAGGGGCTGCAGCATCCCACTTCACTGACAGCAAATATCCAAAAACTGCAATCGCTGAATCTGGGGATTATGAGCCTCTCCTGTGGTTGAGTGATATTTTTTTAAGTTGTCATCCAGTACATTGATGGAGCCCATAAACCCTCACTCAGCATCTGAACCAGGTCCCCGGCAGTCACAAGGTGGCAGCTGCATGAGAGACAGTGGATGGCAGCAGAATTCCTCTCCAGGGATTGCACTTGGTAACACACACCGGCCACACCCAGGGGCTTCACTGTCGATTCCATCGAATCCAGGACTCTGGAGATGAGAGGACAACGATGTCACTTGAGTAGGTGGCCCCCAGAGAGGCTCGCCTGTCCTGTCCACTTCTAAGGGGCAGTGGGGCTGACCTGAAATAAGAAGCCTTCTTTTTGGTATCTCCCCTGACCTGTTTTGTCTATCTCAGGTGAAGGAGGTGTTGCCTAGCAACTGGAGAAGGGCAATGATGTCCTTGGAATATTCTGTTCCCGTCATTGCGATACTTAACCTGGTTGATCATTAGCACAAAGACTAAGGAGGTGGCAACCTCCTTCCAGAAAAACGAGTTCTGTAAAGTCACCATGGGACCGAGAGGGGACTTCTAGTGTGGCTTTGGGAAGGGGTCTAGCTGGCACCAGATTTTTCGGTTCTCAGAAAGAACCTTTCCGCTGAAGTCGGTAGCATTCCTTGGTCAAGTGGACAATAGGTGTTAAGAAACTCTTTGAAATATGAGCCATGCCATTTACTTTCTATCTAATCTGTAAAACTGCAATGCAAATGTGATATTTGTTGGCATGTCTCTCTGGACTTTTATAGCCTTTTTACTTTGTAAGTATATTAAGCAACAGCAAATAATATCTGTAGGTCCTATGATATAGCATTAATGGGCTTTCTATGTCCTTTTCCATAGAATGTGTTAATCATTTACATTTTAACTAAGGGTTACTGCTGACACCGCGGTAGAAAGACTTCTCAAAGGGCCATTTCTATTACTGGGTAAATAATCCTAGATAAGCCTTTGCTCACCCTGAGACTCAAGTAGCTTGGAAACTTGAAGGTATGCCCTTGGGAAAGTTCGCTTGGCCGCCCTCCTCCCAGAGTAAACCAGCAAAAATAAGAGTGCTTGCTCACACAAAAGAGACTCAGGGTGCTTTCCAAGGGCTCCAAAGCTCATGGTTCTAGGTTTGAGATAGAGCAAGGGTTGTCTTTGCTCAGTGCTACAGGACAAGCCTCAAGGATTTCATCCACCCTGCAAGTCACAATCTCTAAAAAGTGAAGGAAAAGAAGTTACACATATTACTGCTCCCTAGGGAACCACGGTAGAGATGTTGGTGTGATTTCTTTAAATCCTTTTTCTGTAGTGTGTGTGCTGCTGAGTGCTGGGGTAGGGGAAGGAAACTTCCTTATTCTTTTGATAAATTTGTGGCCGTGTTGTTGGTACAACTTGGCATCCTCCTTTTTCATATATGAGCCTTGTTTGTGATATAGACATCTTTGCAGAACAAATTGCAAGGGCGGCAATGATAGGGGAGTGAAAGTAATACTATCCTCACCCATTGCCAAGTTCATGGCTGACACCCCATCACAAAAGACGGATTAACAAGAGAAAAGCATAACAAAGGTATTTAACCGAAGTTTTACATAACACATGAGTCTTCGGATATAGAGAGCCCAAAATACAGGGAAAACTGTATTTTTATGCTTAGATTTAATGAAGAAGGGATAGTCATGTAAAAGTGTAATTGGACCAAGAGAAGGTATGATTTAATCATAATGAACGACAGGGAACTTAGCAAGGCCTGTTTCTTCAGACTCATCTCCAGGGTCTCTGGGTCTTCATTCCTTTCCTCTGGATGTGGGGCAGGACACCTGTCACATGAGAGTCTTCAGGAGAGAAGGAAGGGAGGTCACGGACAGAACTTCCTACTTCTGTGGTTTTCCAGCTTCCTCCAGCTTAAAATACTCAGCATCCCAAAGTGCTGTATTTAGGGGTATCCTGCTCCGGGCCCTGACACAATTGTCCTCCTACTGTGAATCCTGGAGATCATTTGCACAATGCTTCACTATATATTTGCTATATCGAAAACCAAACACTGCATGTTCTCACTCTTAAGTGGGAGTTGAACAATGAGAACACGTGGACACAGGAAGGGGATCATCACACACCGAGGCCTGTCGGGGGGTGGGGGTAAAGCAGAGGGAGAGCATTAGGACAAATACCTAATGCATGCGGGCTTAAAACCTAGATGACAGGATGTTAGGTGCAACAAAGCACCATGGAACACATATACCTATGTAACAAACTTGCGCATTCAGCACATGTATTCCAGAGCTTAAAGTAAAATAAAAAATATGTCAGGTGAGGTGGCTCACGCCTGTAATCCCAGCACTTTGGGAGGCCTAGGTGGGCGGATCACCTGAGGTCAGGAGTTCGAGACTAGCCTGACCAACATAGAGAAACCCTGTCTCTACTAAAAATACAAAATGAGCCAGGCGTGGTGGCATATGCCTGTAATCCCAGCTACCTGGGAGGCTGAGGCAGGAGAATCACTTGAATCCAGGAGGCGGAGGTTGCGGTGAGCTGAGATCGTGCCATTGCACTCCAGCCTGGGCAACAAGAGCGAAACTCCATCTCAAAAATAAATAAATAAAATTAATAATACTACTAATAATTTGCTGTATCAAAGCAAGGAGGAACTCTAAAAATAATGAAAATAACAAACCGGAATTTAAATTCAGGCAACAGCATGTACTACCTCACCAACACTGCAAAGCTCAACTGTTGAAAAAGGTTTTGTCATAAAAAATGATGAGTTCATGTTCCTTTGTAGGGACATGGATGAAATTGGAAATCATCATTCTCAGTAAACTATCGCAAGAACAAAAAACCAAACACCGCATATTCTCACTCATAGGTGGGAATTGAACAATGAGATCACATGGACACAGGAAGGGGAATATCACACTCTGGGGACTGTTGTGGGGTGGGGGGAGGGGGGAGGGATAGCATTGGGAGATATACCTAATGCTAGATGACAAGTTAGTGGGTGCAGCACACCAGCATGGCACATGTATACATATGTAACTAACCTGCACAATATGCACATGTACCCTAAAACTTATAGTATAATAAAAAAAAGAGAAAAAAAAAAAAAGAAAAAGGTTTTGTCTCGAGGTTCCCCACGGCTCACGTCTGCTCCCCTGACGTTTCAGGCTGGTGTTTCTGATCCTTTTCCTGATATTCTAAGATGTCTGACAGGTGTGGACTTTGACTGCTTAGGTCCAATGACCCCAACACTGGGTATAGACGGGATTCCCTGAAGCGGCTTGTCTGTCCTCCTTTTCTCCGGCGGGCTCCAGCTCCCTTCTGGGTGAAATCCTGGCATCTCCATCGTGCTGTCTCTCTGGAGCTATCAACAAACAGCTCTTGATTAATAGCTGTGGCCACAATAACCTTATTTCCACAGAGACAAGGACAGAGCTGCCGGCTCCACACCAACACTGTCAGCCGGGTGTGTGCTTTGGTATCAGGTCTCACCCACCGAGTTGCTGGGGTTGAGTTGTGTCTCCAAAAAGATGTGTTCAAGTTCCAACCCCTGGCGCTGTGCATATGACTTTATTGGAAACAGGATCTTCGCATATATATTCAAGGTAAACTGCAGTGAGACTGGATTAAGGCAGGCCCTGGTTCAGGATGACTGCCGTCCTTATAGGAAGAAGGAAATCTGGACAGAAACACACAGGGAGAGGCCGTTTGAAGATGGAGGCAGAAGCTAGGGTGGTGTGGCCACAAGCCAAGGGGCACCGAGAAGCTGGAAGCAGCAGGAAGGACCCTCCCTCCAGTTTCAGAGCGAGCATGACCCTGCGGACACTTACATCTCAAGCTTGTGGCCCCCACACCAGGAATAAATGTCTGTTGTTTTCAGCTGCTCAGTGCATGGTGTTATATTTGTTACAACAGCCTCGGGAAATTCACACTGGGGTGCTAAAGAGGGAATCTGGGAGCAGCCACTCTGTGACTGCATGCCCTTAACCTAGGCAGTGGGAACCTGACTCCTATTCTCACACTTCTAATAAAGACATACCCAAGGCTGGGTAATTGATAAAGAAAAGAAGTTTAATGGACTCACAGTTCAACATGGCTGGTGAGGCCTCATAATCATGGTAGAAGGTAAAGGAGGAGCAAAAAGGCACGTCTTACATGGTGGCAGGCAAGAGTGCGTGTTCAGGGGAACTGCCCTTTATAAAACCATCAGATCTCATGAGACTTATTCACCATCACAAGAACAGCACGGGAAAAACCCACCTCCATGAGTCAATGACCTCCCATCAGGTCCCTCCTACAACACATGGGGATTACTACAATTAGAGGTGAGATTTGGGATTTGGGTTGGAACCCAGACCCCTGCCTTTTGGGTCTCCTGGGTCTTGGAGGGACAGAGGAGAGTGAAATTCATTGGTCAAGAGTGAACTCCTCAGGGTGCTCCTTCTGGGAACTCCAGCAGGGTGGGCCTGGGAGGGGTCTCCCATCTTCCTTCCTCCCAACTCGGTCAACAGCAGTGCAGTTACTCACCCTCCTACCTTCAACAACTTCTCTCCACTCATCAGAGCAAGCCTGTGGAGCAAGCAGGGACTAGGGTCCCTGCATCTCTGGGCACTGACCCCTGCAGACCCCAGACAAAGTCTCCATGGCTCAACACCAGCAGAACAAGTCCAAGAAAGAGCAGCTTCATCAGGGAGTGGGAACAGCCTGGGCAACTGGCCTGGGAGTGGGCAACATCAGGGAGTGGGCAACTAGCCTGGGAGTGGCTACTCCCCAATTAACCTGGGAGTGGGCAACATCAGGGAGTGGGAACAACAGGGAGTGGGCAACTGGCCTAGCCTGCAGGACACCCTGTGGATGTGCGTGTGTGTGGACACATGTGTGTGCCTGTGTACGTGTGTGTTAGCCTGGCCTGCTGGGTAACATGTGCGTGTGTGTGGACATTTGTGTGTGTGCATGTGTCTTAGCTTGGCCTGCTGGGCCAAGTCCTGTGTACTAAGGCACCTCCTTCCCAGGCCCCAGCTGCCCCGCCTTCATGTCCCACTAGGAACCCACAAGGACAGGATCCTAGACCGTGATGCACTCTGGGATAGGATTCAAACTCACCCCTCGACTCAGGGTCAGGGTGGAGACCCACTGTTGCCATGCCTAGGCCGCAGGAACATGACACACAATGCTGGTTCTGCCCCAGGATGACAGCCTGGGACGTTCCTGGAGTTTGTGCTTTCTGGGTTGGAGGTGGGCGTGGTCGTTGTCTTGGTGTCCCATGCAGCCCTGGGGTATGACAGGAGGAAGGAGAAGATGAAGAGATGACCCTCACCAGGGGTGCCCTCTGGGTACCAAGGTCATCTCCAACCCCAACATGTTTTCTTACCTTCGCCAGTCTAGACTTGCCCTCCATGGGTGTCAGTGGGCACCTACAGTGCAGAGACAGAGGTCAGAGGTTCCCCAGAGCCTAACAGATGGCCAAGGGCATCTCCTTGTCCTGCAGTTACTGTCTGTCAGAGGCTGAATAATGGCTGCCAAAAGATAGTCACATCTGGATACCTGGAACTGTGAATGTGATGTGACATGGCAAAAAAAAAAAAGACTTTGCAGATGTGATTGAGTTAAAGATTTTAAGGTGGGGAAATTATCCCGGATTAGCCAGGTGGGCCCTAAATGGCATTGCAAGAGACCATGTGAGAGGAAGGCAGAGGAAGACTTCACTGCAGAAGAGGAGACAGCGTGGCCATGGAGGCAGAGATGAGGGCAGTGCAGCCACAAGCCCTGGAGAACACTGGTAGCCACCACAAGCTGGGAGGTGTAGGGAAGGACCTTCCCCAGAGCATCCAGAGGGACCGGCCCTGCCCACACCCTGGTTTCAGCCCAGTGAAACTGACTGTGGACGTCTGGCCTCTAGAACTGTGAGGGAATCCGTTTCTACTGTTTTAAACCACCCGTTTTGTGGTCCTTTGTCACCGCTGCTGTAGGGAACTCCTACACCCTCTCCCATCTGGTGGCTGCGAGCCAGCAGAGCTTAGACCTGCACATGAGGCTCTCCGAGTGCACAGCCTGGGGGAGAGCCCCACCGACAGAACCGCCGCTGCCATGTCAACCTCTTGGCTTTCTGGCTCCAAATTCTGTCTCTCGGCTCTTACTTGTTGAACCAGAGCAAGAAACACAGAGAAAACTGACTTCTAAAACATCTGCATCCGTGTGAGGCAGGCAGACCCTTGTACTTGTAACTAACAGAAGAACAGATCCCCAGATGGGGAAAGGACTGATTTATCTGAGACGCTCGGGTGGTCGCCAATGCTAACACCGGTGCACTTCCTCCTGGCATTGTGCAATGTGTTTGTCTTGCGCTTGTGGTTTGTGATGCCTGTGTGCAGGGAGGAGCCCAGACAGGGCACATGGTCATGAGAGTGCCTCGAGAGGTGGCTTGGTCATTGTTTGGCATTTTGTCACCTGTAAACCCAGGCCAAGAGTCAACGTTGGCTGGGTGGCAATGGGGTTGTTATCAAGAATACTGACATGGTTTGGCTCTGTGTCCCCACCCAAATCTCACCTTGTAGCTCCCAAAATTCCCACATGTTGTGGGAGGGGCCCGGTGAAAGATGATTGAATCATGGGGGCGGGTCTTTCCTGTGCGGTTCTTATGATAGTGAATGGGTCTCATGAGATCTGATGGGTTTAAAAATGGGAGTTTCTCTGCACAAGCACTCTCTTTGCCTGCTGCCATCTACATAAGATGTGACTTGCTCCTCCTTGCCTTCCACCATGATTGTGAGGACTCCCCAGACATGTGGACTGTAAGTCCAATAAACCTCTTTCTTTTATAAATTGCCCAGTCTGGGGTATGTCTTTATCAGCAGCGAGAAAACTGACAAATACAAATACCAAGAGTAGCAGCATATCTCCAGAGGGTAGCAGTGTCCAGAATGTGCAAATGGAGTTAGCCTCAGGCCATATCGCCACCTCCACAGCCCAGCATCAGGGAACCACATCTTGGCACCTGCCATTTCCGCAGTGAGAACATCCTTCATCCAGGTTGTTATGTCACCAGCGTCTCCTTCCTTCATAATTGCACCCAATACCACCTTCTTCAGGAAGCCCACTTAGAGCAAACCCCTGCACTTTGAGAAAGGCCAAGATCATGGCTAGTGATCAGATTGAGCCTATGGCATCAAGAGGATGGGGGGTTAGCACCAGGCTCTGCCCTCGTCAGTCCCTTTACCTTCTCTGTGCTACTAGATGTGAGCAGGAAGACCAACAGGATGCACGTCCTGGAGTCAGATGTAATTCACAGAAGGCCTTGAGCACAGGGCTGGCAAACAAGCAGTGCACAGTGGGCATCAGTCATCACCGCTGTGTCCAGCTAACTCCACCCTGAATACTCAGGGCTGGCTGGGTAGCCTCTGGGATGACCCTCGGTGATCGCCTCTCGAAATTTGCTTCCTTGTGTGACTCCTTCTTCATGAGTGGGGCTGGACCTGGTGACTTGCTTCTGATGGACAGAATGCATCAAGAGTAATGGAACATCTCTGCTCTAGGTGTCAAAAACCTCTGACTTCCTTCTTGCGGGACTCTCTCTGTATGGCCTTCTCAGCTTGCTCACTTTGGTAAAGCAACAAGCTGTGTTAGATCCACATGTCGAGGAACTACACAGACAGTCTCTGGCTAACAGCCAGCAAGGAACTGAGACCCTCAGGCTCATAGAACTGGATCCTGCCAGCAACCACTAAGGAGCCTGCAGAGGGCCCCTGCTTGCTTAAAACTTCAGAAGACTGAGGCCACCACCCACTCCCTGGCTTCAACCTGGAGAGAGGCCCTGAAGAAGATTCAGCCGAAGCCGGACACTGTGGCTCATGTCTGTCATCCAAGCACTTTGGGAGGCCAGGGCGGGGAGATTGCTTGGGTCTGGTGCAACATGGCGAATCGCCATCTCTACAAAAAAATACAAAAATTAGCCAGGCGTGGTGGTGCACACCTGTAGTCCCAGCTACTCGGGAGGCTGAGGTCCCAGCCGAATCCCAGCTACTCGGGAGGCGGATCCCTTGTTCAAAAAGCATGAAGACTTTACAGATGGCGACAGCCTCTCGTTGAGCCCAGGAAGAGTCATCTGAGCCGGGGAGGTGGAGGTTGCATTGGGCCAAGACTGAGCTGAGGATGGAGACAGCAGGGCTGGGCTGCTTATCCCTGAAATACAACTGGGCCTGTTCAGAAATAGCTGCTTCACCAAGACCCTCCAAGTGTTCCCCATGGGGCCTTCCCACCATCCAGCAGCTGGAGGGGGAGGTCCTGGCCCGCAGGTGTCCCTGGGAGCCTGCTCCAGCACATGGCAGTGTCCGTCTGGCTGGTGAGTGCAGGGTGCCACAAGTGGTGAGTTATTACGCATCCTACCCTGGTTAAGCAAAACAGCCACAAAAAACATCACCAGCTCTGCCAGCCTGCGATGACCCCCACCCCATGTTAGACATACCCAGTTTGAGAACATCCTGTGTGTGAAGACCCAGTCTGACTTCTGCTCTACACCTGGTCCCTTTAAACCTATTGTCACATGGGAGAAGACACCCTCCAGGGTACATGTTCAAGCTGGTTAGGGGGCAGAGGGCTGGGCCTTGGGCCGTGCATGGTGGGCATGTGACCCCTGTGGTTTCCCTGCACGGCTGAGTGAGCACTCAGGGGCTGTGGCGCTGGCTGCAGGGTCACGGGCTTGGCACCTTGTTCCACTGGTCTAACCCCAGACAAGCCCACAGGAGACAGCTTGGAGTGGCTGAATATTTGAGAAAAAGAAAATCTGGCTTCTATCCCAGCTCTGCCACTAATTATTCACATCAGTATTTGGGAAAGTCCCAGGACCTCACCAGGCAGAACTCCTGCAGCAGTAAAATGAAGACAGTTAGCTAGCTGGCACCTCACAAATCTTTCCTGGAACAGAGCCCCACCTGAGGCAGAGGAAAGCCAAGTTGCATCCTGAGTTGTCTCCTCGGAATTGAAACTGTCTTCGAAGACGTCGTGTTATCTCTGAAGGCTGTGGAATACAGTCATCCTGTTCCATAAACTGTCCATGTTTGCTTTAAAATAAAAAGAAAAGCTTGGCCCCATGACCTTGACGCTGAGAAGACATCCAGTTTGGTGGCTTGTGGTGGGGTTTCCCCAGGCTGGCCCCACACTGCCCCAGGCTCTTTCAGCCCAGCCCTTCTGTCCCTCCCCTTGGGACAAGGGGTTGAAGGGGAGGGTCAAGGGCTCAACAAATGTCCCATCCTCCACTCTAGTCTGTAACTTAGGGGTCAAGAGGATGACTCCCCGGTACAAGTCCCAGCTCTGTCGCCACTGGCTGTGTGACCTCGGGCAAGTCACTTAACCTCTCTGTGCCTCTTTTTCCTCCCACAGAAAACAGAGACAATAATGACATCCACTCAGAGAGTTGTGAAGCTTAAATGAGCTGCTATGCAACACTCTTAGAACCAAGCTGGCAGGTGAGAACGTTCAGTAAGTGTGATGTGCGTTTTGGTTCCTTCTTCCTCCAAAATCTCTTTCCCTCCTTCCTCCCCTGTGATCACCGCTGCCTTTAAACTCAAAGAGTCATTTCTCTTCCATTTTTATTTTACCTTTCCCCAATTTTCTTCTCTCCTTACTTTCTCTCCCTCTTTTTTGTTCTATTTGTGATGTGAAAATGATCCCCGGGGCTGGCGCTCTATATGGAAAGCCTCAAGGTCACACGCCCTTGACTACTGGGCCCCAAGTCCAGGAACATGGCCTTCCCAGTCATCAGGAGCTCACCTCGAACACTGCGTGCAGCGTGGGGGCACGTCGGTGAGAGAGAGGGGGTGAGAGGGAGGGGTGGGCACGTCGGTGAGAGGGAGGGGGTGAGAGGGAGGGGTGACCTCCTCCGGGAAGCTTCCTTTCTAGGGAGATGCAGGGAATTGGGGGTGGGCAATACTCAGAGATCATCAAAATATACCACTAAGTAATGTATATGTTCGTATGTCGTGCGGCTCCTGTGTGCCATGGAGGCTTGGCACACATTGTCTCTAAGTGGGCTGCACTACATACGACAATATACATTAAAACAATATTTTAGCCCTGAAAATCCTTATTTCTGTGTGTAGAATATCACTCTCCTGGGGGGGCCTGGAGCGCCCCCTTCCTTCACCCATCTCCCAGCAGCCCCTTAGCTCCCCAGCCCCAATAGAGACTAAGTGGTGGTGGTAGGGGGGCGGGTGTTCACTCTGTGCTGTCAAGTGAGGGGTGCAGGACCCAAACCCGTACACTTTGCCTCATGCTTTAAAACAGCGCATACTGCCTGCAGCCAACACTGAAAAGACACCAGCCTGTTACAAGAGATTTTCTCTGGATGTTGGAATTACAGGGTCGATTAGGCTTTTCTCTGTCTTTTGAAGTTTCAGGACATTTCAGGAGGAATATGTATATATAGGTTTTGTATAAAGAACCAGAGCCAGTGAGTTCATACCCACAGCGCTGACACCGCCATGGCAGCTGGGACGCCGTAACGGGGGTGAGCCTGGGGTCTCTTGGCTGTCTTGGAGCACCACAGGCTGGAGGCATGGAGGGGGACAATATGCAGAGCCTGGGACCAAAGGGTAGAAACGGTGGACTTTACCACAGGGGCCAAGGGGCCAATAGGGGTGATGCAGGGAGGGCGGGCCATCCCCTTGGGCACAGCGTGGCTACATGGGCAGTGGCACTCAAGAGCCAAGGAAGGAAGACCAGGAGAAAAGGAGGGAATAGTGGGCAGCCCCCAGGGGAGCACTGCCAGCCTGCATGGGGTGACGTCAGAGACCCAGTTGTGGGGCCCCCTCGAGGCCTGCCCTGCCGTGACGACCTTTGAGCATAGTCTGCTCTGCAGTTCCCTTAAGGACTCAGCAAAGAGGCTGCAGCAACCTCCCCAATGTGAGAGGCTCCCACTCGGCTCTAAACTAGAGTCTTTCCCCCGGCCCCATCCCACCCCTCCAAGAACCTCCTTCTCCCCGCAGAGCCAAAACTCCCCAAGATGCCATCCATGCTCCTTGTTTCATGCGCCCCCCAGTGCAAAAACTGGAGCAACAGTCCAGGTTTTGGAATTTGCCCTGTTTGAGTCTTTTTCTCTTTTTTTCTTTTTCTGTTTTTTGTTTTTTGTTTTTTGTTTTTTTGGGTCAGAGTCGCTCCCTGTCACCCAGGCTGGAGTGCAGTGGTGCAATCTTGGCTCACTGCAAACTCCGCCTCCCGGGTTCAAGCAATTCTTCAGCCTCAGCCTCCCAAGTAGCTGGGATTACAGGTGCGTGCCACCACGCCCAGCTAATTTTTATATTTTTAGTAGAGACAGGGTTTCACCTTGCTGGTCAGGCTGGTCTTGAACTCCTGACATCAGGTGATCCACCCGCCTCAGCCTCCCAAAGTGTTGGGATTATAGGTGTGAGCCACCGCACCCAGCCTGAGTCTTTTCTTTCTTTCTTTCTTTCTCTTTCTTTCTTTCTTTTCTTTCTTTCTTTCTTTCTTTCTTTCTTTCTTTCTTTCTTTCTTTCTTTCTTTCTTTCTTTCTTTCTGTTTCTTTCTTTCTCTTTCTTTCTTTCTTTGTCTTTCTTTCTTTCTTTGTCTTTCTTTCTCTCTCTCTTCTTTCTTCTTTCTTTCTTTTTTTTTCTCATTTCTTCTTTTTCATGTTGGACAGATAATGTGCCCAGCAGCAAGGCTTGAGGGAGGCATGTCCCACCCAGGAGGATGAAAGCCCAGTCATCCTGCTGATGTGTCACAGGGAATCTGAGCATTTCCATCCCCAGCTCCCTGCTTTCCGGTCTGCAGTCCCCTCCCTGGGAGCTAGGGCAACCTTCCTTCTTTCTCGTCTCCTCCCACCCGACCAGGGTCCTGGCTTCTGAGTGAGGGAAGCTCTAGAATCCCTTTAGGCCAGTGCGGGACGAGCCATATGATTGATTCAAGGGGACCCAGTTCAACGCGAACATGCGGGTCCCTTGTTCAAAAAGCATCAAGACTTTGTCAACGGCAGCAGCCTCGCGTTGAGCCCAGTGCCCAGTGCCGGCTCCCAGCCCAGGAGGTTGACCTCAGGCCAGGAGCTGACCCTAAAGGAACAGGGAAGAGAGGGATTCAGCTGCCTTGGGGACTGGGGTGTCCCAAACGAGTGAAGACCAGCTGTGCCTGCCAGTTCAGAGCAGGCACAGCATAATCGCCCCGGGAGTGGAGGCCGCAGCAGGATTTGGACCGGGTCTGGAGGTTGTTTTCCTCCATCTGCAAATGAGGAATGTGAGGCCAAGGATAAAGTTAAGTTGGTGCAAAAGTCATTGTGGTTTTTGCATTAACGTAATAAAAGCTACAGCCATCAATTGTTGACAGCCAGGCCTCATGTTTTCTTTGTAACCCACAACCCTATTGAGGGCTGCTCCCGTTATCCCATTTTACAGATGAGGAAACTGAGTGGCTACGAGTTTCCACTCCCAGAAAGAGACGGAGCTGGGTTAGAACCTGGCTCCAGGCTGACTCTGAAGCTGGTGGTACCGCCTTCCACTGCGGTGACCTTCCAGACTCCCATTCACAATCTCTTCCCCTCGTCAGCCCAGCCCCTTTCCTAGGCTACAGGCAAGCTCGGGCTGCTCACGCAAGGCCTGCGGGCAAAGACTGGAGGTGCCAGGCTCCAAGTGGGCAGTGGGGCTGGGATGGAGCTGTGTGCAGGGCGCATGTCCAAAGCCCCTGTACAGTGGCTGGGGGCCAGCCTCAGGCCCAGCCGGCCGTGGGTGAGCAGAGCAGGCTGCCCTTGCACACAGAGCCCTGTAACCTGATGGAGCAGACTGCTCTTGCACAAAGGGCCCTGCAACCTGAGCCTGTTGACTTTGGGGAGGAGCCCAAGGGAGCCGAGGCCTCTGGGCGCACACACTGCCGGCAGGGGTTAAAAGCAAGCTGGCCCGGATTTGAAGCGTGTGGAAGCCTGACCTGAGATACGGGGAGAAGACACCAGCAGCCCCGGGCTTTGTTCTTGGGATGTTTTGGATTGGGATTTCTCAGTCTCCAGTTAAGGAAGTGTGGGGCTCTGTACGCTTGAGGTTTCACAGCTATTCCCTGAGAGGGTGTCCGTTCTCCTCCTCGCCTTCCCCTGGAACATCTCTGGTTTTTGCAAATGGCCCCATGTGCTGAGGGGTGAGGCGGGCACTGGCTCTCTCCCTGTGTGCAGGCGTCTTCCCCACTGTCGCAGGCTGAATGGTGGCCCCAAAAAGACACATCCAAGTCCTAAGCCCCGGTATCTTGGAGGTGACCTTATTTGGGAGCAGGGCCTTTACAGATGGAATCAAGGTGAGGTGAGGTCAGACCTGAGTAGGGTGGGCGCTAAGTCCAAAGACTCCGGAGAAGCGACAGACACAGAGACAGGAGAAAGGCACGTGAAGGTGGAGGCAGAGACTGCAGTGAGGCAGCCCACGAGCCAGGGATTACAGGCGTGAGCCACCGCGCCCCGCTGAGAACTGCTTTTTAAACAGCCAACTGGGGCCAGACGTGGTGGATCATGCCTGTAATCCCAGCACTTTGGGAGGCCAAGACCGGCAGATCACCTAAGGTCAGGAGTTTGAGACCAGCCTGGCCAAGATGGTGAAACCCCGTCTCTACTAAAAATACAAAAATTAGCCAGGCGTGGTGGTGGGCACCTGTAATCCCAGCTGCTAGGGAGGCTGAGGCAGGAGAATCGCTTGAACCCCAGAGGCGGTTGTTGCAGCCAGCTGAGACTGTGCCGTTGCACTCCAGCCTAGGTGACAAAGCAAGACTCAGTCTCAAAAAATAAATAAATAAAGATAAAGTAAAATTAAAAAGCCTACTGGCCCTTTCTGTTCCCAGGAGTCCTTCCCTTTTACCCTGCCAGTACTGTACTTGCTGCCAACATCCTGTGGAACGTGGTGACATTAGCAAAAGAAGAGAGATGGGGCACACCCTGCACTAGTCGGCTCACCAGGCCTGCAGGAGACCCAGGTCCTTCCTCATCTGCACCCCTGTAGTTCCTCCCAACACACCGAGATGGGTTGTGGAGGGACCATGGGTCCAGCAAGGCTGAAGAGCGGCCTTGGCAAGTACCTTTGTTCTTCCAGGACACAGGAAAACAGGCTAGAATAGGACTGTGTAAGAGACCCTTTTTGCAAACAGCAACATTGACAAAGGTAGGGCAGTCCTGCCTGTCCTATTTTGCCTTTTCTCAAACATAAGGATTCCCTGTTGTCATGGATCAAATAGTGTTCCCCTAAATTTCGTGTCCACCCAGAACCTCATAATGTGACCGTTTTGGAAATGGGGTCTACGCAGATGCAGTTGTTTAAAGTCCTGGAGAGGAGATCATCCTGGAATACCCACATGGGCCTTGAATCCAAAGACTGGTGTTCTCATAAGAAGAGAGGACACAGCGAGACAGACAGCCATGTGAGGAGGCAGGCAGAGACGGGAAGGCTGCAACCACACACCAAGAATGCTGGGGACTGCCAGCTACCACCACCAGCGGGGAGAGAGGCTAGGGGTGGTCTCTCCCTCGGAGCTCTGAGAAGGCACCAACCCTGCCAACACCCTGATTTTAGGATTTTGGCCTCTAGAATGATGAGATACTAGTTGTTAATTGTTGTTTGAAGCTATAACGTGTTTGATATTCTGCCATGGCAGTCCTAGGGGCCTAACACACTTTGGCATTCTGTCTGGCAGGAGATCCCAGTCACCCCCTACTTTTAAAGCCCTGTGATCATAGGGTGTCAGAGGAGCAGCGTGTCTTGGAGAACTGCTAGTCCAGAGTCCCTGTCCTGTGTTCCATGACACCCAATGTCCCTTAAGAGGGAAAGAGGTTGGCTCATGCCTGTAATCCCAGCACTTTGGGAGGCCAAGACAAGCAGATCACAAGGTCAGGAGACCGAGACTATCCCGGCTAACATGGTGAAATCCCATCTGTACTAAAAATACAAAAAAAAAAAAAAAAATAGCTGAGCATGGTGGCAGGCGCCTGTAGTCCCAGCTACTTGGGAGGCTGAGTCAGGAGAATGGCGTGAACCCAGGAGGTGGAGCTTGCAGTGAGCCGAGATCATGTCACTGCACTCCAGCCTGGTGACAGAGCGAGACTCCGTCTCAAAAAAAAAAAAAAAAATGGGAAGAGGTGCCCCGTGAGAAAACATTCCAGGTTCAGTAAGGTGGGGACCACCTCGTATCAGCTCTCTGCTGTAGGGAAATTTATACCAGCACATCACAGGGTCTGAGACGTCCTTGAGGAAGTGAAAACACCAAAGCCAGAGGTTTTCAGGACAGAGTTCCAACATAGGATCTTTTCTTTAACGCCCACTAATGTACCAAAGACAAAGAGCCATGAGCGTATCTAGGGAGAACCGAGCGTGTCCGTCCGTGCTCGCACTGCTATAAAGAAATACCTGAGACTGGATAGTTTATAAAGAAAAGAGGTTTCATGGGCTCACGGTTCCACAGGCTGTACGGGAAGCATGGCAGCCTCTGCTCAGCTTCTGCGGAGGCCTCAGGAAACTGACAATCATGGCAGAAGGCAAAGGGGACCCTGTACGTCACATGACAGGGAAGGAGAAAGAGAGAGCAGGGGCAGGTGCCACACCCTTTTAAACAACCAGATCTCAGGAGAACTCTGTCACGAGAGCAGCACTTGGGGATGTTGCTAACCCTTTCATGGGAAACCACCCTCTCGATCCAATCACCTCCCACCAGGCCCCACCTCCAACACTGGGATTACAATTCAACATGAGATTTGGGCAGGACACAGATCCAAACCATATCACTGAGCTAGTCCAACATGCTCAATGACTGATGTTGAAACCAGCCAGGCAGAAGCAACTCACTCTAAGTCCCACCGTGGGTTCTAGAACTCTGGTCTCTCGATGCTGGTCCACACTGTAATATACTGGGAAAAAAAGGAACACTGGGATGAATATCTGGAAGATCTGAGTTAAAGTCATTTATTCCTTTTTTCAGCACAAAGGTGAGCTTCATGCAATGGTATAGGATTTAAATATGGGGAGAAGGATATGATGGTAAATTTCATGGCCGTTTCTATCCAGAACTATTTTTCTGGGCACCTGTTATTCCTTGGTGGAGTGGTTGTCTTTCTAGGTCAGGAAGAGAGAACGTGGCCCAGCCAGGCCCAGAGCATGGCTGTGCTGCCAGATCCTGGGCCACGAGCCTCTTGTGGCACCTTGTATGTGAGACGTGGCTGGTCTGATGGAAATGTGCCTTCGGTGTGAGGTGCACACTGGCTTCTAAAGGCTTAGTGCAGAACAAAGGCCGTCAAATGTCTCATTAATAGTTTCTATATTGTTACATGTTGAGATCATGATATTTTGGATATATACGGTTAAATAAAATACATCATTCAAGTTAATTTTACTCGTTTCTTTTTACTTTTTTTTTTAGATGGAGTCTCACTCTGTCTCTCAGGCTGGAGTGCAGTGGTGCAATCTCAGCTCACTGCAACAACCTCTACCTCCCAGGTTCAAATGATTTTCCCACCTCTGCCTCCCAAGTAGCTGGTATTACAGGCGCGCACCACCACGCCCAGCTAATTTTTGTATTTTTAGGCAAGACTGGATTTCACCATGTTGGCCAGGCTGATCTCGAACTCCTGACCTCAAATGATCCACCGGCCTCGGCCTCCCAAAGTGCTGGGATTATAGGTGTGAGACACCGCACCTGGCCTCTTTTTACTTTTTTTAAAGGTGGCTCCTAGGAAGTGCAGCACTGCCGCCGTAGCTGCTGTCTGTGGCCCCAACATGTTTTTGTCAGGCAGTGCTGTTGCCTGGGTTCAGGTTTCCTAACAGGCTTGACAAGGTAGGAAGGAGGGGACTCACCTTGGCACCCTTCAAGGACCCCACACAGAAGAAAGATTTCACCTTGCCCGGCCTGGAAGACTTAAGGTGCACGTTCCCAAAGAGGCTTCTTCATGGTGTTCACATTTGGGTACCAGGCCTAGAATGGGGCCACTCTAAGAGAGGCAGTTAATTAATGTGTCTCCAGTTAAGATGGCCTGGAAGGGAGGGGGCAGGCAAGAAACAAAATTCCCATTCCTCTTCTCTCTCCACTCAGATACAGCATGTGAAACAGGTGTGGTCCATATCAGATGCAGTACACTGGGCAGGGTCTAACAGGATAAGAGTTTCACGCAGGACACGACAGCATTCATGGCCCACAAAAGCTTTGGGTTGACGACCGTTGGGGAACAAATCTCGTTAATCTTCCAGTCTCCTGCAACTGGTAGAAGCAGATCTGTGTGCTGCACTTGGTGGGCGGAAGGCTGTCGAGCCATTGAAGGAGAAGGACTGTCTTCAGGCTGTTGAGGCCCCTGTCTGGCCTCGTGCAGCATGGAGGGTGTAGTAACGGGTCCCCAAATGCCTGCCGATAGGAGGCAGTTTGTCAGGTGTTTCATATGCTAGAACAAGCTCTGCTTATTGCCTGTGCAATCGCACTTACTGCCCTAAAGACCTGGGAATAAGTTGAAGAGCCTCTTGCGATTGCAATCTAACCTTCTTTTATGGAGTAAGACATTTTCTTGAGCTGTTAAAGATTTAGGTGTACAGCCCTGTCCAGCCAACGCCGGCTGCTAGGAAGCAGGGCAGTGAGAGCAGAAAGGGGAGACATAGCACTTTCAGCCAGCAGGGGACAGTGTGGTACACGTCTACGTGTCCAGTCCCCTAGGTCCTCGGTCCCCTAGCAGATAGAAGGTCCAGACCAACCGCCACAGTTGTGTATTGAGAAAGTCTGGGGGGTGCTTGGGGAGTTTGATTGTTACTTTCTTAGAGGCGATTGTCAATGGTAGAAGGAACACAAGGACTTCAGGTGATTTAAATCCTCTGCTTTCTAAAAAGGATTGATTCCCTGTTTCATGGTCCAAATTACAGGAATGCGCTGAGAACTCCTCATGGGAGGATGTTAACAGTCTTGTGCAATATAAAGGGTCATTAGAAAGTAAAAAAGGAGGCCGGGCGCGGTGGCTCACGCCTTTAATCCCAGCACTTTGGGAGGCCGAGGCGGCTGGATCAGGAGGTCAGGAGTTCGAGACCAGTCTGGCCAACAAAGTAAACCTGGTCTCTATTAAACATACAAAAAAATTGGCTGAGTGTGCTGGTGTGCGCCTGTAATCCCAGCTACTTGGGAGGCTGAGGCTGAAGAATCACTTGAACCCGGGAGGGGGAGGTTGCGGTGAGCCGAGATCGCGCCATTGCACTGCAGCCTGGGCAACAAGAGCGAAACTCCGTCTCAAAAAGAAAAAAAGAAAGAAAAAGAAAAGAAAGTAAAAAAGGAGAGATAACAGGATGGGGGCAGTAAGCCAGGAGCAAAGAGAAAAAATGAGAATGGGGTTCATGAGTTAAGGAGGGAATTAAGGTGCATGCAATAAATTATAAATTATACAAAAGTAAGTTGTTGTAGGTGAGCCACCTCAAGAAGAAAGGTCTTAAGTGTAATTCCAGGTCGTGAGAGCTGGACAGTCCCTGTTAGCTTTGCCAGGATGGATGTCTGCTGGGACATCTCAGAAACTTCTCCGAGGCCTGTCTGTTTACTTTTGTTTATATTTGTCTAATTATCTTTGTTTAGTGAGTATTACAAAAGCATGACTTACAAGACAATGTCTTCCCTCCTCTCCCAGGGAATCCGCCCTTGCAGCGTTTGTGGGTAGCCAAGGCTCAGCTGACCACTGCAGACAGCCTCCACCTCCCATACAGAACATACTCCTGAGCAAACAGGTGCAACCACTGAAGCCCACACCACATCCAGAGAGTTGTTTAAAAAGAGAAGACTCAGAATTCTCACTCACCTTTTAGATGCCATTCTCTCAGATACAGCAGCTTCATCCCTTTCTTTCCTTCTGGGCTTCCCCTTCTGAACAGCCTCCTGTGCTGGTGTTGAAGCCCAAGGAGCGACCTCTCGAGGGTGCTCAATGGGTGTCCTTCTGCCTCAGGATTCCACTTGTGCCTTAAGTGTATACGACGGTGTGTTTTATTGCACTGTGTTTTATATCACCTTAATTTTTCAATCACATCTGGAGGCACTCTGCGTCCTGTGCAAAGGGGGTTGGGAGTCTCAGTGTAAGGCGGAAGGTGCAATGGCCACAGGCAAGATGGAGGCCCTGGGCATGGCACCTTCTCTCCAGCTTTGGCAACAAGTGCCAGTTCCTCAAGACTGTGAGGTGCAGCCCAGCAGCTGGGGCTCCATCACATCAGTTACACATGGCAGCTGGGGCTCCACCACATACATGTTATGCATGGCAGTGGGGGCTCTGCCACCACATATTATGCGTGGACTGGTCTGGTTCTCTGCATTGTGAAGATGCACCGACATGCACTCATGACCGCTCACATCAACCGGAAGGTAAGTGTCTCTCTGTGATTCCTGTTTGCTAGAAACCAGCATATCCTGAGTGCAGGACAAACACCTGGGCTCAGAACTGAAGCTTCCAGAGGAGGGAGCTCTCTCCCCCGTCTTGACTGGTGTAGCCACACCTGCCACATCTGCCTAAGAAGGAGGTCATGCAGTCTGCTGTGGACATCCAGAAACACAGATCCTGAAGACAAGGCAACGCCCCTTCTCAGGGAATAAAGGGGGCAGGCGGTAGAACTCCCGACGCCCACCTCTCATCCCATTTAGACATGTGCTCAGTATCCTTAGGTATTCCTGAGGGTGACATGAACTGTTCTCTGCCTTTGTCTGGGGCATTGCAACAATAAAAGAGGCATTTTCTTTTCTTTTCTTAGCAAAACTGGCCCCTGCCAAATGCCTTGAGTTCAGTTGTTCAAATCCCTGCCTTCCTGAAGTGCTGAAGGGGCTGAGTGTGAGCAAAGCAAGGATTGGAGGTCGAGCTCTCTAGGGCTGCGGACATTTGGGAGAATATTTGGGTGGGAAGAATGAACAGCGTCACTCAGAACTAACGGCAGGGGGCAGTGTGGCTCCACAGTCCATCACAGGGCACCCCCCCGCCCCACCGACCCCGACAGTGCCCACAGCCCCTGCCATCCAACCAGGGCTGGGCCTCAGCCTGGGGGACAGCTTCTGTGTAGTTTGGTTCAGAATGTGTCCTCATAAGAAAGGCGGCACCTCCCAGATTCCTTCCCTGCCCTCTGCCGGGAAGTCTTACTGCCAAAACACCCAGGAATGTGTGTCTGCCTCCAGCAACTTTAGCTGCAGGGGCTGGACCTGGCTTTGATGCTGCGGCAGCTGATGGGATCCTGGAGCACAGTGTGGGAAGCTGGCTCCTTAGGCCTGGGAACAAGCCCAGGCAACCGGGCTGGGACTCGCTCTGCCTGGCTGCCTCTCCTACAGCGTGCGTGAACGGGAGGCCAGGATGGCCACAGGCCCCAGGAAACGCAGATCTCATGGGAAGAGGTTGCAGTTTCAGCTTCTGGCTGTGGATGCTCCGGGCAATTTCATGCATTTCCATGAGTTCAGAGAATGGAAGCTCCCCTGGCCCCTCCCTACCACTCTTTGTAAATCAGCTCGCTCCTTCTGTTCATTCATCCGCTCATTCATCCATTCCGCACACGTGCCTTATTGAATCCCTGCTATGACCAGGCACAGGGTTAGATACTCCATGGAGACCAGACCAGTCTTAGCCTCTGCACTGATGAACTCAACCCAGAAGACACACGAAAAGATAAGCCACGGTGTGACGGGCGGACGACAGAGCCTGCGCCGAGACACGGGCACTTCAGCTTGATATGTGGAGAGTGTCGGCTGCAAACCTCCCTGGTCTCTGCCGCCAGACGCATGCCAAGATGGCCTGATTACACTGGGGAAATTTCGAATGGGCCATTGAAATGCGTGGTGTGATTGTTGCCATGGATTTTACGGTCTGGTGGCCTGTTCCGTGCTGGTCAGGCTGACGTCTGTGCTTGGCACAGCATGGTGAGAGACAGGCAGGTGTGGTTGATGCCTCTGGGAGGGAGCACATAATCCAGGAAAGGGGGCAGTAAACCAGGCGATGGGAACTGCAACGGAGCAGAGGCCACGGGAGAAGCCCCAGCGGGGAGCACACCTGAGAGGGACAGTGGGAGGAGCGAGGCCTGAAACCGGAGGAGGAGCAGCAGAGCCCCCACAGAGGACAGCGGAAAGGAGACCTGAGTGGGGAAGAGCTCGGCTCCTTCCAGTCCCCCAGGGACCCAGGTTGGGGCAGAGGGGCCATCGGGCCTGTAACCTTGCAGTGCCATCATGGCCCTGGGTAGAGTTTGGGTCTTATTCTAGGAAGCGTGGGGGCTTGGAATGTCCTGGATGCCACCTGTTTCCTGTGTGGCAGGCAGAGTGAAGACCCCACCATTCCACCAAGATGCCTCCACCCTAGCCCTATTCGCCGTGAGTGCATCATATCACATGCAGAGGGGAGTTGGGGTTGCAGGTGGAACTGGATTGGTGAACACCACCCTTAACCTAAGGAGGAGATCCTGGGGGATCCCGCAGGCCCAGAGTCCTCACAGTGTTCTTAAAAGGGAACTAGCAGCCAGAAGTGTGGCAGTGAGGACCTGATCCAACGTCATTGGCTTTGAAGAGGGAGGAAGGGCCCATGGGCCTAGAAATGAGGACAGCCCCTGGAAGCTGAGAAAGGCGAGGAACAGATTCTGCCCTGGATCCTCCAGGAGGAGCCGGCCCTAGGTCTTAGCCCAGTGAGACCCGTCACAGACTCCCGACCTCCAGCAATGCATTAAATATGCTGTTCATGCTGCTGAGTTTGTGGTCGTTTGCAGGAAGCTGATACACCCTGGCACAAACTCCTTCTCCTCATCTACACTTTAGCACAGAGCCGTTAAATAAATGCATGTGCCTATGAACAGGTGCATTCCAACAGCCCTCAGGCCCTGCGTGTGTGGGTGACGGTGGAGTGACAGGAATGCAAGACACAGAGTGGTCTGTGCAGCCTCCTCCCCCGCACTCAGTGCAGGGTGGGCAAGGGGGATGCTGGCGGGTCCACCGTGTCCAACAGGGAGCAGGCGGCATCTCTAGCCAGGCTCGGGGCCACAGTGGGGGAGTGGGGTTTCAGAGTGAGGCAGATCTGGATCTAAATCACCTTTACAGAATGGCTTTTGCCACATAAGGTCACATATTCACAAGTCCCAGAGATTAGAACAGGCACATTTTGGGGGCCATGATTCTGCTCATCCATATAGAGAACCCCCTTATTATTTTTCACAGGTAAATAGTATTTTATAGTGGGGGAGTTCTGTAAAGGTTTAGCTACTCCTCTATTAAGAATATTTGGCTTCTGGCCAGGGGCTCACATCTGTAATCCCAGCACTTTGGAAGGCTGAAGCCAGAAGATTATTTGAGGCCAGGAGTTTGAGACCAGACTGGGCAACATAGCAAGACACTGTACTTAAAAGATATTTTAAAGAATTTTTTTTAATTAGCCAAATGTGTTGGTGCGCACCTGTAGTCCCAGCTACTTGGGAGGCTAAGGTGAGAAGATTGCTTGAGTCAGTGAGTTCGAGGCTTCAGTGAGCTGTGACTCCTGCCATGGCACTCCAGCTCCAGCCTGGGCAACAGGGAAAGACCCTGTCTCAAAGAAAAGAAAAAGGAATATTTGGCTTCTTTCCAGTCTTTCACCATTATTTAAAATGCCACAAGAAATCATCTCATGCACAATATCATTTTGCACATGTGCAAACAGAGCTGGAGGGCAGATTCCCAGAAGCATAAGCGTCTGGTCAAAAGGTGGATATGCATTCATAGCTTTGCTGGAAATTGCCACTTTGCCTCCAATTTGTACTCTGCCAGCAATATGTGAAAGTATCTGTTTCCCCACTGCCTGCCTAAGGGAGTGTATGTCTCACTTTTGTGTTGTTGCCAATCCAGAAGAAGCATATTGCGTAGACTTTCATTTGAGACTCCATCTTTCTGTGTGGTTTGGCAGAAGACTGGGGGAACATTCTTATACTGGCTCTAAATGGAATGCAAGGATACTGCATTAACTTATGACTCAGTAAAGTAATTTATTTTGGGGAGCTAAAATAATCAGTTTGCTGCTTTCTCATGATTTTTAACTTGAAGCAACATGAAACTGGGAAAATAAAAATGGATAGCAAGACTTTTAGACAATGTCTGTTCAGTGATGTTTCAAACATATTTTTGGCAGGAACTAGAAATCAGTCCATGTAGCCCAAGAATGATGCCAATTCCATATTCTGTGTTGCTGATTATAAAGGAAGCAAAATGTTCCAGTAAGCAGATGCAAAAGCAGCCATCAGCTCTCAGATACAGGAGCAGATGAGCTGGAGACGTCCTCACGCGAGCACCGGCCGCTCTTCCCCATGCTGTGGGCAGCTTGCCTGTGGGAAAGGCCAAAGATTCCTTAAAAAGAGATTCAAATCTGCTCAAGTGCCAGGATAAGCATTTAATCAGGAGCCCAGCATCCTGCTCCCCAATGAGTGGGGAAGATTTTCTAGGCCTGGAAAGTTTTTAAGAGGTAATGTGCTATTCTTAGTCATAACAAATGAAAGACAACCCACATGTCCAGCCAGGCAGGATGGCCAATGGGCTGTTCAGTTGCCAGCTGCCTTCCCAGCCCTCCGGGACAGAGTCTCCTGTGATTCTGGCAGCATCCCCAGGACAGAGCCCTCAGGACCAAGGTAGAAAGCGCTTGGGCAGGGCAGTGGTCTCCCAGTCAGCAGGCAGACCTCCTGGGACCACGGGGTCAGATGTGGGGCCTGAATGACTCCTGAGTCACAGCCCTGTCCCCTCTGACATCTCCCACTCCAATGCCATGGTCTGGCCACGTGCCTTGGCTTCCCTTCCTACACTTCAGTGGTCTAAGAGGATAATTCCAAGAGCCCCTAATCTAGCTCTGGTCTGCCCCTCGTCTGAAGACTAGATTCCTCCACTCACTGCCTAATACACCTGGGCTCCATCCTGTGAATGAAGTAAGTTGTTCAGAGCTACAGTCAAAGCTGCGAGCGGGAATTCTCACAGCTCCTGGGATCTCTCACCAGTTCCAACAAACTTCCCACCTCTCCAAGTCAGACTAAGCCTGAGATGTGTAACCTTCAGCTTAGTCTGCCTTAAACCAGCATTTCCCAAGCTTACATTTAGAGATCCTCTTTTTAAAAAAATCCTGTGGACTCCTAAGTTTTTGTTAAAGTATTTTTATTTTACTGCTACTTGTATGTGTGGCAACACTAGAGGACTTACAAATATATTACGTTGATAGCTCTTTTAGTTTTTTGTTGTTTTGTTGTTTCTTTTCTTTTCTTTTCTTTTTAGAGACAGTCTTGCTTGTTGCCCAGGCTGGAGTGCAGTGGTGTGATCACAGCTCATTACAACCTCAATCACCTGGGCTCAAGTAAGCCTCCCATCTCAGCCTCCTGAGTAGCTGGGACCACAGGTGTGTGGCACATTACCCAGCCATGATAGGTCTTATGTAAATAAAAATCAAAGAGATTTATCAATGAAATTAGAATACAACACCAATACATTTCAAATTAACAATGTAAGCTTAATTTGATGGATTATGCTATTTTGTTAAAACTGAGTCACCAATGCTGGGTTCACATTTTTAAAATACCCATATTTGTGTTCTATATTTTACTTATAGATTTAGTCCTTTTGATTTTGAGAATAATGACCCTCTTTTGAGTGATGGTTGTTATTATTTCTCTTTTTTAACAAAGAGCTCAGTTTATCCTCTAATCTATTACTTTGATGATCCCGAGAATATGAGTCCACTCAAAAATATAATAAAAATTAACTTGTAGTAAGAAAATCTACACTGTATTTTTTTTCACTAGCCTTATTGTTAATGAGTTGCCGTGGTTTCTAGGAAGAGAGGCAGAATTTACATATGTCGCCTGTCCCTGTAGGAGAGTGGTTCCCCCTGCTGCAGTGCAGGGCAAGACTGTGGGGTCTGCTTTCCCCAAGCGTCATGTCAGGGTGACCAGGGCTTGTTTGATGTGGTAGGCTACACAGCCTTCATTGATTCATTTGGACCAGATGCCAACATGATCATGGCTACCCAGTGTGTGTTTTCCAGTGTTGATCCAGTGAAAGCAGAGTAATGAGGTTGCACGGTGTCCGACCACTGAAGAAGTTCACCCAACGGGTCCAATCATGTATGTAACACACACTCAAGCACATGCGCAGACACACACACACACACACACACACACAGTGTAAACACAGAATGAAAGCACTCAAGACAGCACCATGAGCCGGGCGCGGTGGCCCACGCCTGTAATCCCAGCATTTTGGGAGGCCAAGGCGGGTGGATCACCTGAGGTCGGGAGTTCAAGATCAGCCTGGCCAACATGGCAAAACCTCGTCTCTATTAAAAATACAAAAATTAGCCTGGCATGGTGGTGGTACACATCTGTAATCCCAACTATTCAAGAGGCTGAGGCAGGAGAATCGCTTGAACCAAGACGGTGGAGGTTGCAGTGAGACGAGATTGCACCACTGTACTCAGCATGGGGAACAGAGTGACTGTCTCAAAAAAAAAAAAAAAAAAAAAGACAACACCATGAGATTAACCTGTTTCCAAAAAAGTGTTAAAAACTTTGCCAATAAAGACCTAAAAGTATGACTCATTTGCTGATGCATATAGGACTAAGGAGCGTGCTCAGGACACGGATGGAGGGCTGAGGGCTGTGTTAGGGCCTCTACGAATGTTCATATCCCTCCTTAATTTGTATGTTGAATCCCTAACCCCCAATGTGATGGTACTTGCAGATAGGGCCTTTGGGGGTGGTTAGGTTTAGATGAGGTCAAGAGAGTAGGACCCTCATAATGGGATTAGTGCCCTTATAAGAAGAGAAAGGTCGATCGATCAATCTGTCTCTGTGTATCTATCTATCTATCTATCTGTCTCCGCAAATGCCCCAGAAAAGGCCTTGTGAGAACCTGTGAGAAGGCGGCCGTCTGAAAACCTGGAAGACAGTCCTCTCCAGAACCCAACCACGCTGGCACCCTGATCTCAGACTTCCAGCCTCCAAAACAAAGAGAAAATAAGTGTCTGTAGTTTCAGCCACCTGGACATGGTATTTTGTTAGAGCAGCCTGAGATGGCTAAGACAGAGTATAAACTGGCGCAGTCTTTGGGAGAGCAGGTTAGCAATGTCTAATAAAATTAAAACTCTTCAGATCCATTGATCAGCTTCTGAAATGTTTCCATCATTACACAAAGACATGAAAGCATGTGTACTGTGTATTTATTTGTGTGTGTGTGTGTGTGTGTGTGTGTGTGTGTACTCTCTATTTATTACAGTATGCTTTAGAAGAGCCAAATTTGAAAACAACCTGAACTTCTATCAGCAAAGTTTTTATCACATAAGCTATGGCACATCTACCAGTGGAATACAGTATATGACTTGAAAGAACAAGTCAAGTATTGTACTTATGTGGAAAGACGTTTGAGATATATTGCTATGCACGTTGCAAAATGCTAAATATAACAGCATCCATGGTTGTTTTTAAAAATTAACATCTGCTTTAAAATGTGGAAGAACATACAGCAAATTGTTAAATGATCAGTTTGGGAGGAGGTTTAGGATTATGAAAGATTTTCACTTTCTACTCCATAGAGATCGTGATATGGTTTGGCTGTGTCCCCACCCAAATCTCATCTTGAATTGTAACTCCCACTTCCCACATGTCATGGGAGGAACCCAGATAGGGGGTGATTGAATCATGGGGGCGGGCCTCTCCTGCCCTGTTCTCATGATAGTAAATGAGTCTCATGAGATCTGATGCTTTTAAAAAGGGGAGTTTGCCTGCACAACCTCTCTTACCTTGTCTGCCGCCATATGAGACGTGCCTTTCGCCTTCCACCATGATTGTGAGGCCTCCCCAGCCACGTAAAACCGTAAGTCCAATAAACCTCTTTCTTTTGTAAATTGCCCAGTCTTGGGTATGTCTTTATCAGCAGCGTGAAAATGGACGAATACAGATGGTGAGAAAGCACGATAATTTTTAAATTCTCTATCAGTGTGCACAGGGTGCCAGGCACTATTCTGGGGGCTGGTGATACAGCAGTGATGGAGCCCTACAGGTCCTCACTGCTGTGAGCAGATCTTTCACTGGAGGAGACAGGCAATTAGCACATGGAGGTGTAATGAAGAAAGACAACTGGGTATGGCACTGGAGACTAAAGCGGAGATGAAGGTTTCCGTTCGAGCTGCTTCCTCCACCCTTTCCCACTTGTCTCCAGAGGGAAGGAGGAGAGAGGGCAGATTCCTCCCCGGTGGCAGAACGGGAGGCATCAATTCCAGGCAGGAAGACTGAGGAGCAGGTATCCTGGTTCAGAGAGGTGTCTGTCCAACCCCTATGCTGAGACATGCTCTGTGGTTTGTGGTCTTTGGGGTGGCCACAGGACAGCCATCTCTAAGGGGGCATTTGAGCAGAAACTGAAGGAAGGGCAGGACATAGAAATGTCGGTGTCCAAAAGAAAGTTCCAGGCAGAGAGAACAGGAAATGATGAGTGAATGAATGAACCAGTGAATGGAGGTCATCGCTGGCCAAGGAGCCACACACATGGGTGAGCAAACACCTTGTTCTTCCACCACAAGCCCTGTCTCTCCTGCTATAGCTGTTTAGTAAAGGGGAGGTGACTTCCCTCCCCACCCTGCCCGGTGTCATGGGTCTCAAGTTCATTTCCACCAGGACAGCACTTGGCACCCCCAAGGCCCTCAGCCTGCTGTCCCGTCTGAGCCTCTGCCACTTGCACAAAGGGCAAGGGTGGTGTATGCCCCTCCAGCTCCAGGGTCCTGCTCCTGAGGTGTGTGGGGTGCCAGTTGGGGGCTGCAAGCCTGACTGCCTCCAGCTCAGAGGAAAACCTTTCTCTAACCCACCCAGCTGGCCCCGGAAGTGCCTGGCCACTCTTGATGCATGGCCAACCAAGAAGATGGGGGGCGGGTCCCAGGGGTGCTGGTTTGAGGGAAGTCCGAGGCTTGGATGGCACCTGCCCAGGTACCTCTCCCCGGCTGCGGCCACCCTGAGCCTTGCAGCTGTCAGTCACTGGCTTTGCCAAGGGTTAGAGTCTTTCTCCTTCCCTTTAGTCTTGGTGATGTCTGCAGGGCCCAGCTGAGGAGATGGCAGTGGGCAGGGGCAGCATTTGGGGCCAGTGGTCTATCTACTCAAATATTCACGTGCATGTTTAGCAACAAATCAATAAAGAAGTGGTAAGCCCAAGGGACGTTTCAGTGTGTGAGGAACAAGGTCAATTCCTCTTCTTGTCCCCGTTCTTTTAATCTGCTTCCAGATTCCATTAGGAAATCGATGATGAGGTCTTATAAAAAGAATTTAAAACATATTGCGCAAATTAATAACCTCTGTTACTTTGTGAGGAATCCTTTAAAAAGCAACCTTTGGCTGGGCGCTCACCCCTGCAATCCCAGCACTTTGGGAGGCCAAGGCTGGCAGATCACTTGATGTCAGGAGCTCAAGACCAGCCTGGCCAACGTAGTGAAACCCCGTCTTTACTAAAAATACAAAAAATTAGCCTGGCATGGTGGCGCACATGTGTAATCCCAGCTATTTGGGAGGCTCAGGCATGAAAATTGCTCGAACCCGGGAGATGGAGGTTGCAGTGAGCAGAGATCGCACCACTGCACTCCAGCCTGGGTGACAGAATGAGGCTCTGTTTCGGGAAAAAAAAAAAAATTTACTAAGACTGTATTGTGTGCTGGATATTTTACTTAGATTAACTCTGTGTCTTTCAATGCCAGATAAGGCAGCTGTTCTTATTTAATAACAGGAGCCAATGACTGGGGGAGCTGGGGTTCAAAGCCTGGTCTTACCCAGATGTACACCAACACCCGCCTCTCCCCGTTGGACCCCGCCCAAAAGCAGCTGCCTGAACGCAGCTTGTTCAGAATGGTATTGGAAATCCACAACCCAGACCCGTCATCCTGGGGAACCCCAGGACAAGCACATTCCCTCCCCCAACCAGCTTCACCCCGAAGGCAGAGAAGCCGGGACAGCCAGCTCCTGCCGCTCTCTGAACCCATTTTTCTACGAGCTGAGGCCCGTTCTCACAAGCACACCAGGAACTCGGGAGAGAGGAATTCTCTCTGGACAATCCGGGTCTTCTGGGCAAGCAAGTCTTCCCCCTTATGGAGACAAAGACGGCCACTGGGTCTGGACCCCTCCACTTATAATAGGGCCAGGAGGGCTTCGGTCTATATGATTATTATTACTATTATTACTTCTCTTTCTTCTTTCCTAACTCAGTTACTTAGCCAGTTGCAACAAGGTAAGAGGGAAGGAAAATGTGCCCTGCCTGGTTGATTCATGGATAGGATTTGTGACCTTCTGCTCGGGGAGAGCCTGTGTATACACCATGTGAGTGTCCTGTCCTAAAAAATCGTCACAAGCTTGGGGGCTTAAAACAAAAACGATTCATCTTCCCACAGTTCTGGAGGCTAGGATCCCGAAACCAAGATTTCCTGATGGAATCTGGAAGCAGATTGAAAGAACGGGGACAAGCAGAGACCGCTGGGCCCTGCTCCCTCGGAAGGCTCCAGGGTCGGGGGTCATTCCTCATCTCCCCAGTCTCTGATGGCAGCTGGCGTTCCTCGGCTTGGGGGCACATTGCTTCATTTCTGACTCTGCTGTTGCGTGGCTGTCTCCCCTCTGTGTGTTTTGTGCCTGTTCTCCTCTTTCTGTAAAGACACCAGTCATATAGGATTTAGGGCTCACCCTAATACACTATGATCTCATTTTAATTAAATTAATTGTACCTGCAAAGACCCTATTTCCAATAAAGGTCACATTCTGAGGTTCCAGGTGGACACGAATTTTGGGGGACACTATTCAGCCAGTACATACACTGTGGAGGAGAGGCAAGAGACACCCGAGGCTTGGACACGGTCATCTCATTCAGCAGACAGCACTGAGCGCCCACTGGGTGAGAAGCAGGGAGCTACCGCCCAATCCTGCTCAGCCAGGATGGGCAGGAGATGGGTCCAAAGCTCTCAGAGTGTGGCTGTAACAGGAGAAAGCGGCAGTGGAGGGGTGGAACGGCACCGGTGACCGTGAACAAAACCTCTCCCATCTCTCACCTCTGCGGCACTGGCCTCCCCAGCCTCCCCTGCCAGCGTGAGCTCACCCACGAAGCTCATTTCTGAGCAGCCCTTCCTGGCCTCTGATCTGACTCAGGACTGCGGAAAATCCCTCGTGGCTCAGGGCATGGGCGGCTCAGCCCAGGGTGGCCCTCGTGGGGGCTGAGTCAGCAGAGCAGGCCGCCGCTGAGGTGGTGACACTCACACGTGTGTCACCGTTCATGGAACACGCACACCGATGCAGGCAGACCCAGAGCCGGGCATTTGAGGCCAACTTGAACAGGAAGGAAACACGGTCACAACACTTCCCTCACTAGAGGTGGTTCCTGGGCGGACTGTGGATTCAGATCAGCTCCAATATTTAGCAGTTTTAAAGCTATAATTTCCTGGAAAACGTACTCAATTTCTCTAAGCCTTGTGCTTCTCATCTGCAGAATGGGTACATTCATCCCTAATCCATAGAGCTGCTGTGAGAATTCCATGAGATACTGAATAGATACCACGTATTTCGGACCTGACTCATGACAAGACCAATAACGGGGCCATTGTCTCATCTGTTCTTCTCCCCATAGTCTTTGCAGAGTGAACGCTGAGAATGAGAACTCCTAACGTTTTTCCTTTCTGTCCACACAACTTCACGATTTACCAAAAGCATTTTGTGTAATTTCTCTTCTTCATCTTTCTCATGAAATGAAAACAACAGTTTTCTGCAGCTGACCCTTTCACCAGAGCTTCCAAGCTCCCCAGAGCAAGAACCCACATACCAAGCTATGGCAGTCCTGGACCTTGGAAATCATACGGCCACATCTGCAGAAGGAGAAATCCTTGCAGACGGCAGAGGAGCTGGTGCAATGGCCCAGAGGGAGCAGAACAATTATTTTTTGAAGAATCTTGTCTAACTAAATTATCAGCACTCTCTGTATCCTCAACCTTTAATGACCCTCAGTTCTGTTGAGGTCAGACAATGTGAAACTGAACTAGAAAGTCCATTTTTAAAATCTATGCTGCTATAAATGTGATAAAACCCAGCTACCACAGCAAGGAAAAGAATCTCACTGTTTTCTGGGGTTCCTAGCTCGTCGGAGATGAGTGGGTGACTTCTCGGCTTTTTCCTTGATCTGATGAAAAACCTACCCAAACCCTTCCTTGCTTCTGCACGAGGGGCTGGGAAACTACAGCCCTGGCCCTGCCGCCTATTTTTGTAAATAAAGTTTTATTGGAACGCAGCTACACTCCTTCACTTACACACTGCCTAAGGCTGCTTTTACAAGACAACTGCAAATGTGAGTCGTTTCCACAGAGGCCTCATGGCCCTCAAAGCCAAAATTATTTACTGTATCATCTGGCCCTTCGCAGGAAAAAAAAATTGTTAATTTCTGTTCTACTCTGAGTATCCACTAGTTATCTATTTCTCTCTTTTTAAAAATAATCTTTGTTTTTATAACTGTTTTAGGTTTTGTATTAGTCCTTTTTCATGCTGCTGATAAAGTCACACCCAAGACTGGGAAGAAAAAGAGGTTTAACTGGACTTATAGTTCCGCATGGCTGGGGAGGCATCAGAATCATGGCAGGAGGCAAAAGGCACTTCTTACATGGTGGTGGCAAGAGAAAATGAGGAAGAAGCAAAAGCGGAAACCCCTGATAAACCCATCAGATCTCGTGAGACTTATTCACTATCATGAGAATAGTGTGGGAAAGACCGGCCCCCATGATTCAATTACCTCCTCCTGAGTCCCTCCCACAACAAGTGGGAATTCTGGGAGATACAATTCAAGTTGAGATTTGGGTGGGGACAGAGCCAAACCATATCAGGTTTATAGGAAAATTATGTAGATAGTGCAGAGAGTCTCCCCATATTCCTTCTCCCTCACATACATTCCCCTATATTCAGCATCTTGCATTAATTAGTGTGCTCCATTGGATACAACCGATGAAGCAATATTGATAGATTATTAACTACAGTTCATAGTTCACGCTAGGTTTCACTCTTTGTGTAGTACATTTCCATAGGTTTTAACAAATTGTTTTATTTCATTCAACATTTTATTGTTACTTTTTAATTATGAAAGTAAGCACATGCCTATTATAACAAGTTTGAACAATACAAACTGTATAAAGGAAGTGATGGAAGGTTCCCCACTGTACTTTCTGGGTCAATCCTAACACAGCTGACCACGTGCCCTTCCTGAGCTGTTCCCATGCACACAGCCCTGACACTCGTGGGAGTCTGGGTTTTTTCTAAACGTGGAACTATGCTAGGCTTGTTGCTTGAAACTCGCTTTTCCCACTTAACTGTCTCAGTTTTCTTTCTTTGTTTGTTTGCTTGCTTGCTTGTTTTGAGGCAGAGTTTTTCTCTTATTGCCCACGCTGGAGTGCAATGGTGAGATCTTGGCTCTCCATAACCAGATGCTGTATTGAAGGTATGTGCCCATGTTTAGACACTCAACACAGCCTGTCCATTCATCCTGAAGCACTTCTGGTAGCATTTATGTGAATAGAGTTCTAGAACTTGGACTGTCCAATCAGAAGATGTGAACATTTTTAGCCTGGTGAGAAATGAAACAACTTGGTAGCATTCACACACCCATCCTCCTGCACACAGAGTGGGGACAGGGGGTGCAGTGTAGATCCCAAGGCACCGGGAGCATGAGAAGGAGAGTGTACAGGGGTTAGGGAAACCCCAGGAGGCTTCCTGGAGGAGGTGGGTTATGAGAAGGTGAGCTGGATGCACAGGGTCTGAAGGAGTAGGGGAGGGGGTCATCCAGACAAGAATCACCTGAGCAAAGCCTGGGCCCTTTACGGATCCCAAGGTCAAGGTCACAGGCTGCTCCTTACAAATCGCATCATGCATATTTCTGCTGAGGAGGAAAAGATCTGGTAGCCAAGGCTGAAAATCGGGTCTAGTGTGCACCCTCAGTGGGCTGGGAGGAGGAAGCACTGGGCAAGAGGCACCATTGCAGGCATTCGGGAGATCAGACACAGGTTTGCTTTCCCGGGTGCAGCCTTGGTGGGGTCCCCAAGCTGCCCCAGTCAGGAGCAGACAGGGCCTCACAGTCCTGTCCCCGGAAGCAGGAAAAAAGGGAGGGAGAAAGAAAGAGAGGGAAGGAGGATGGGCAGGGGAGAGAGAAGAACGAAGGGAGAAAGGGGAGAATGCATCGGCCTTCACACACTCCCTAGCAAGACCCAGAGAGTTTATGGCAACATATCATCATAGCCCCAGACTGAGACAGTCCAGAAGAGCATTCACAATGGAATCCCACAGCAGAGTACCACACCACCCAGCCATGAAGAAGAACAAAGTCCTGCTGCACAGAGCACCGGGCGGGGATGGGCACACAGAGAGCCTGGGGCCAACAAGGTCCTCATTGCTCTGTGTTCCTTCCCAATCCCAGTCCCCTCCGCCCCACTCCTCTCTTTTCTACCCAGAGAACTTTTGCTGTAATAACTCTTTTGCTTTCCTTTATAATTTACCACCTAAGCATGTTTTCCGAAATAGAGGATTGCTTTTTTTCTCCAGCAGGTGTTTCTTTTTCTTAAGGCAACATGGAGGCAGGGCTTGTCAGTGCTGGCCACAGGGGTCTGCTTTGTGATCGCTATTGAGTTGTGTTTTGGTTTGTTTGTTTGTTTTGTGCACGTTCTTCTATGTGTGTCGTTATTTAACAATAAAGAAGTTTCTCCACCTTTAAAAGTCTGAAAATTGTTGCTTTAGTCCACTGGCTACATTATACATAAAGTAGATCAGTGTACACCTGTATGTACTCTACTACATGCTTAGAGAGAGGGGGACCTAGGTTTACTCCTCTGCACTTACATGATGTCCCCATGTATGCAGTGCAGCAGGTCCCCAAATAACGTCATTTTATCCAATGTCATTGTATTACAATGTTGATGAGACAAAAGAAATCACTCCCCATCCAGGGGCCACTGTTTGTGTGGAGTCTGCACAGTCCCCCAGTGTCCACGCTAGTGTTCTCCTCTTGCAGCCCAAACTGTGCACATTAGGTGAATTCGCAGGTCTAAATTGTCCCCATCTGAGGGAACGTGGGTGTGGGTGCGCCCCTTGATGGAAGGGTGTCCTGTCCGTGCTGGCTCCCACCTTCCACTCAGAGTTGCCAGGAGAAGCTCCAGACACTCCACCCTGAACTGAAATAATTGGGTACATAGTTATCTTACTTGTTTTTTGTTTGTTTTTCTAAATGTTTTAAATTGTCACATAATAATTGTACATATTTGTGGGGTACGTGGTAATGTTTCCATCCATATGATGTATAAGAGAGTGAGTGGACTAAAGCAATGGTTTCAGACTGTTAAAGATGGGGAAACTTCTCTGAGATGGAGTCTCGCTCTGTCACCCAGGCTGGAGTGCAATGGCTCAATCTCAGCTGGCTACAATCTCTGCCTCCAGGGTTCCAGTGATTCTCCTGCCTCAGCCTCCCGAGTAGCTGGGACTACAAGCGCCCGCCACCACACTCAGCTAATTTTTGTATTTTTAGTAGAGACGGGGTTTCACTCTGTTGGCCAGGCTAGTCTCAAACTCCTGACCTCAAGTGATCAGTCTGCTGCAGCCTCCCAAAGTGCTAGGATTACAGGCATGAGCCACCACGCCCAGCCTAAAGATGGGGAAACTTCTTTATTGTTAAATATGACACAAGTAGAAGAACATGTGCAAACCATTTGATGGTAACCAGATCAGGGCAATGCACCCAGCCCTCATCTCAAGCATTTGTCATGTGTTTGTGTGGTAACATTCATATCCTCCCTGTAGCTATTTGAAACTCTATGATATATTATAATTAACCATAGTCATCCCACAGTTGTATAGAGCATGATGACTTATTCCTCCTATCTAGCTGTAATTTTATGTCCTTTAACAAGTCTCTCTCTTTCCCCCTCTTCCCCCTATCCTTCCCAGCCTCCAACATCCCCTGTTCTACTTTTTTGTTTTTGTTTTTTTGAGACAGAGTTTCACTCTTGCTACCCAGGCTGGAGTGCAATGGTGCAATCTCCACTCACCACAACCTCTGCCTCCCGGGTTCAAGTGATTCTCCTACCTCAGCTTCCCAAATAGCTGGGATTACAGGCATGCACCACCAAGCCCGGCTAATATTTGTATTTTTAGTAGAGACGGGGTTTCTCCATGTTGGTCAGGCTGGTCTCGAACTCCCAACCTCAGGTGATCCACTCGCCTCGGCCTCCCAAAGTGCTGGGATTACAGGCATGAGGCACCACACCTGGCCCCTTGTTCTATTTTTTATGTCTATGAGATCCACTTTTTTTAGCTTCTGTGTGTGAGTGACAGCGTGCAGGGTTTAGCTTTCTGTTCCTGGCTTGTTTCACTCAGCATCATGCTCTCCAGTTCCGTTTGTCTGGAGTGAGTGTGGATGTGGATCTGATCCTGCAATGGAAGGGCATTACCGTGAATGACAGGATCTCATTCTTACATATGGCTGAATAGTATTCCATGGTGTATATACGCCCCGTTTTTCTTTATCCATTCATCTGTTGTTGGACACAAGCCAGGATTCCATATCTCAGCTATTGTGAATATTGCTCCAATAAACACTGGGAGTGCAGATGTCAGCAGAATAAAACTAGGCCCCCACTTCTCACTGCATACAAAAGCCACCTGAAAATGGATCAAAGACCTCAAAGGCAAGACCCAAAACTATAAAACTCCTAGAAAAAACAAAACAGGGAAATGCTTTAGGACATTGGTCTGGGAAAAGATTTTACAAATAAGACCTCAAAAGCACAGGCAACAAAAGCAAAAATAAACAAATGGGATTATGTCAAACTAAAAAGCTTCTGCAGAGCGAAGGAAACAATCTACAAAATGAAAATACAATCTACAGAATAGGAGAAAATATTTGTAAAGTATTCATCTGATGAAAGATTAGTATCCAGAATATACAAGGAACTCAAACACCTCAAGAGCAAAACAACAACAAAACCAATTCAATTTAAAAATGGGCAAATGATGTGACAGACATTTCCGAGAATAAGACATACAAATGGCCAACACATACATGAAAAAAGGTAAAGAAGGCAGATTTCTGCCTTTCTGTCACGGGTGGTGACTAGCTAGGGCTGGTGTCGCAGGTGGTAAAGGTATTTGCCAAGAGAGTAGTAGGTAAAGAAAGGCAGATTTATTAGAGAAGGTATGAGAATATGTTGCAAGGTTGCAAGGTTGCAATGGGCTGTCTACAAAAAGGCAGGGGCTGGAGGGAAGTTTTATAGGGTCATGCTGGAGGGGCCAACAAAAGGAGGTCATGCTGCTGGGGCCACCAGGAACTAGGTCATTGTCATCCTGTCATCCGGTTGTTTGTGATTGGCCATCTCTCAGAATAATTGTTCGTTGTTATTCCCCACCTGGGGCCCTTCCCCACCTGGGGTCCCTCCTGATTGTTGCTTACTTATCTTATCAGGACTCCACACTTTCCCTGATGAGTGTCCTTGGTGCCTTTGTCAAATATCGGATCACTATAGATACATGGATTAATTTCTGTCGATAATTTGTTTCATTGGTCTATGTGTTTGTTTCTATGCCAGTGCCATGCTGTTTTGGTTACTATAGGCTTGCAATATATTTCGAAGTCAGGCAGTGTGATGCCTCCAGCTTTGTTCTTTTTGCTCAGGATTTCTTTGGCTATTTGGGGTCTTTTGGGGTTCCATACAAATTTTAAGATTTTTTTTTCTATTCCTGTGAACTATTTTGACAGAGATTGTACCAAATCTGCAGATTGCTTTCAATAGTGTTACCAGTTTTTAATTTTTCTTAAATGTATGAAAAGCTCATATTTGTTTCGATGTTTAATATTAGAAGTGTTTTGATCTTTATTTCAAAATTTGGGCCAGGTGTGATGGCTTATGCCTATAATCCCAGCACTTTCGGAGGCCAAGGGAGGAGGATTGCTTGAGACCAGGAGTTGAGACCAGACCTCATCTCTACAAAAATTTAAAAATTAGCTGGGTGCTGTGGCATGTGTCTGTGGTCCCAGCTACTTGGGGAGGCTGAGGTGGGAGGATCACTTGAGCCTGGAAGGTGGAGGATAGAGTGAGCCATGATTGTGCCACTGCACTCCAGCCTGGGCAGCAGAGGGAGATACTGTTTCAAAAAAACAAAAAGCAAAAAAATAAATAAATAAATAAAAATAAGACCAACAATAAAAATTTGGCGATGTTTTCGCGACCAAAAATATGCCTTAAGAACTTAACTCTTGTTTACGTCAACTAACCTGTGGTGAACTGGTTGCATTATATGTCATTTTGCCGAAAGTCACAGTTTCCAAGAACCTATCAAGCAAGTTAAGTGAAGACTTACTGTACATACCTATAAGAAAAAGCAACAACAAAATGGGGAGACGCCCCGACACATGGGGGTACGCCTATGTGGAAGGTTGCAGAATCGCTGCTCTCAAAGTTCCGTGTCAGGCCGCCTACCCTGATGCTGTTTCCTTGTCCACGTGAGTCAGTTCTGCAGAGGCCTGGCCTGGCAAGCGCAGCCGTGACTTCTCGCTAATCTTCCTGAGAAGCCGCTCCACCATCCATTCATCCTTAAGAACCCCGGGTGACTCATGACGCTCTGCACAGGACAGTTGAGAATTTATGGGGCAATATGTTTGCCTTCACAAGCCGTCTAAGCAATGATGAGCAATTCAGGCAGCTATGATTAAAAAGAAAAAAAAAAATGTTTTCCATCATCCAGTTCTCCTGAAGAAGCCAAAAACACCGAGGGCTTGAAGTTGTGTTGACAGAATCTTAGCCAACTCCTTCCTAGGGATTTAAACTGTTGCACCATCAATCATTTGCAGAATTCATGGCGATTATCATTTACAACCACAGTTTGAGAGTCAAAATGATCAACCTCAGTCAATACCTACACATGAATTGATGGTCTCAGTCATTTGCCCTAAAGCTGGAATTCTATTTTATTTTTTGACCTCTCCCTCTCCCGAAAAGACAAATCCCAAGTACACATATCAAGGTGTGGTTCAATCCGAGGTCCGTCTCCCCTTGGGGTGCCAAATGCGTCTGGGGGTTCTCCCTCCCTGGGCCGGCTCCACACGGTCGTGGAGCCTACCTTGCCCTGCCCCTCACCCTGTCCCCTGTGCTTCCCTCTCCCTGGAAGCGAGGCCTGGGCTGTCCCAGGGAAGGATCCAGCAGGAGAGGGTGGCAGGGCCGGCCTGGGCTGGGCTGCAGCTGCTGTCGTGGTTGCCATCCTCGGCATGCGTTCGCTGAGGCTGCCGCGGTAAAGCACCACAAACCGGGGACTTAAAGTCACAGAAATTGATCCTCCCAGAGTTCTGGAGGCCGAAAGTTTGCCATCAAGGTGACTGCAGGGCTGGTTTCATAGGAAGGCTCTGGGAGAATCGGTCCCTGCCTTTCTCCAGCTTCAGTGGCTCCAGCAATCCCTGGCTCTCCTTGGCTCATGGCCACGTCACTCTCTGCCTGCATCTTCACGTGGCCTCCTCCTCTCTGTCTCGATGTGACATTTTCTGTCTCCAATAAGGACACTCATTGGATTTAGGGCCCACTACAGCCCAGTATGACCTCTTCTTAATTTCACTACAACTGCAAAGAGCTGATTTCTAAATAAGTGCACATTCACAGGTACTGGAGATTGTGAGCTTGTCTTTTTGAATATTTCTTTTTAGGGGACACAATTCAACCACTACATCCTCCCACAGAGGAGAGCTGAGGCAGGTCTGGCATGGGGGCCCAGGCAGGACTGGAGGAGGGCAACAGCCAGTGGGGGCACTTGGAGAGGCCTTGCCCCCACACAGCAGGAGTGTGGGATGATGTTTAGGATCCTGGCAGTCCATGAGCTCTTGGAGGGAGGGTGGATTATGTCCTTTCCTGAGAGTGGGTAAGCGTGGAGGTGGCACCTCCCTGGCAGCAGTGAGCAGGGGCAGATGGGAAGATGTGTGGGAAAGGGTTGCTTTGCCGCTGTGCCTGCGGGGATACCAGGAGAGGAGTGGGGGGCAGTGGATGTTCCTGAGCTGGCCCTGCGGAAGAGGAGATGGGGTTACCGGAAGAATGTGTCTACCAGAGCTGCTGCATGAGGGCACAGGTGACCCTCTGGAAGAGACAAGGGACACCGGGTGTCCTGCCCTGAGGTTTGGGGGTGGGGCATGATTCCACCTGTAACCACAGCGAACAAGAGAAATAGGCCCAGCTATGCAGCTGATGGCAGCTGGCACAGTGCCTGGCCTGAGGGAGGAGCTCCTTCAAGCAGTGGCTTGACTCATGACCTGGGAAGAGGCAGGGGGTGGGGGAGGCATCAAAATAGCGTTTCTGAGCTGCAGGGGGGCTTTGGTTTGTCCTGTGTCAGGAGTGCCAGAGGTGCTCTCTGGAGGATTGAGGCAGAGGCAGATGAGCGCCAGCCCGCATGGAGGCAACGTGTCTGGGGACACCCAGCGGACAGGGCAGCAGCCCTGATGCTTGGAGTCCTTGAGCAAACATCTCGATCCTGTGATGAGTGCACGACACCCAGTCTCTGTGTGGTTGATGGGGCTGGGTGGAGGCCAGGGTGGGTCTCACCTCCGGCTCACAATTGTTTGCCACTGACTTGTGAACACACCAGCAGTCAGGAGCCCCTTCAGGTGCTTTGGATTGAAGCTTAGACAATTCGCTCTCTTTAAGAAAAATAATATAAAGTCATTAAATCAAAGTAAGATACAAATATGAGTTCCTATTTAGAATGTGAATAAATCACCAGAAAGTGTTAGCGCCATGGAGATTCAGGTCTCTTCCTCTGTCCTTCTGCAATCTCTTTTAAATAGATTGAATTCTGGCATCCTCTCCTCACCTACAACCCTCTATAGCTCCCAGAAGCTCTGGGTGCTCCCTGGGTTGGAGTAGATTGGGCCCCTGGAACTTCAGCTCATTCGCTTCCAGGTACAGCCCCTGCCACCTGCAAAGGGGAGGGTTATTTCAGGCCAGGTGTGGGTATCAAGGGCTGAGCTCCACTGTGGGCTCAGGCAGATCCTCTGTGCCAAGAGGTTTGGAGGCTCCTCCACCTGGGCACCAGGCCCAGCTGGAAGGCAGTGACCAACTTCCTCTTGCACCTGTCAGCCTTCACTTGCTCCCCTCAGACCTAACGCCAGAGAGGAGGACTCCCTCCAGCAGCAAACATGCAATTACGTCCCCTCCTTCTGACCTAGCTCAAGAACTCCACTGGCAGCTCATTAAGTCAGGGGCAGCTTGAAAGTCGCTGCTCTGAATGCCACAGTTTTATGTCACTTGTAAGAAGGGTTGGGGGCGGGTAATCACAGCCCTCTGCACCAGACGAAAGGTGCGCAGGGAAAGGGTAGGTGTAATTGGGGGCCCCTGCAGCTCCTCTCCACAGAGCAGAGTCACGCCCCAGGTTAGACTCTCCCCAGAACTGCTAGCCTGGCCGGGGCCTGCCAGTTGACTTGGGGAAAAGGCAGAGGTGGAGGCCTGGGAAACTGGGAGGCTGTGGGCCGCCATCCTCAGCTCCCCACCGCTCCTGAGCACCCCTTTCTCCGTCTGTCACTCTCCTCTCCTGCTCTGTGCCTGTACATCCAAGCCTGGGTCCTGTGTGGGCTGCTGGGGAAGAGGAAAGAGGGGCTCCTCCTTCTAAACACCCCACACGTAAGCGTGGCTGCTTTCAGTATTTCATTGAATTGCCTGCTACAGTGGGGATTTGGGCAGGATCCCAAATATCTTCCTTGTGTCCCAGAATCCTGTTCATTTTTCTATCTGTGCATCCATCCACCCATGCGCCATCCATTATCCATTTGTCCATCCATCCATCCACTCACATTGATCCACCATCCATCACTCTTTCATCATCTGTCCATCCATCCACTCATCTGTTCATACACCCTCTATCTATTTATCATCCCTCCATCCTTTCATCGTCCATTCACCATCCATCATTCATCTGTCACCCATCGGTCCATTATTCATCCATCATTAGCCCAACTGTCCATCCATCCATTCATCATCCACCCACCATCCATCACTCTCCATTATCTGTCCATCTGTTTATTCATCTCTCCATCTATTCATCCTCCATCCATCCCTCTATCCATCTACCACCCATTCATTCATCATCCGTCCATCTCATGGAAAAGTCTTATGCACCTGCTAACATGCATGCCAGGAGCTGCGCTTGTCCCTGAAGCTACAGAGGCTTTTGAGACCAGGGTCTTGCCCCTCATGGTGCCACTGCTCTACTGGGGAAGCAGACAGAGCAGATTGAATGGGCCCAGCGACAGTCATGGGGCACAAGCGGTGCCATGATCCTGGAGCAGCCACTGAGCTGCCCCTCCTCCTTCCTTCTCCCGGCCTGTCTCTTAGCAGCCCTGCACTCAGAGTTGGGTGCACCCCCAACCCCACTGTCCCCTCCCCTGCTCCGCAGCCTGGGACCGGTTCCTGGGAACCTGCAGGTGGAGGACTCATGGCCCCAGGCAGGGTGATTACCCGCCTCACCCCTGCCAGTCTCCACAAGACTTCCCCTGAGGCCCAGCTCAAGAATGCACTGCATTTTTCTCATCTCAATAAAGGTACAAAGGGTACTTCTGGAGCCAGGAAGCCAAGAAATCACACCCTTTCAGGTGCATTCTTGGCTGCTGTGTTGAGGATTCTTTTTAGGGGGTTGGTAATGCTGCTTTATTGGATAATTTACCTCTTTGACTCAGGCCTGAGGAACGCCAGTCCGCCCCCTCCATCCTAACCTGCAGAACCCTCAGCCTGTGACTCTGGTAACAAGGAGGACCTCAGTTAATCAAGGCAGGGAGGGATGTGGAAGAGCAGGTTGGGAAGAGGGAGGCCCACCCAGCAAGGGGGGCAGTGAGATAAGGAACTGAGACCCTGTGAAGCCAAGTGGCTTGAAGCAAAGTGGCTTGAAGCCCCACATGGTGATGGCAGAGAGAGTGCTCTCGGGGCTGCAGCAACTATTGATTTCATCACTTTCCTTTGCAATGTTGGCTTGTGGACACACCAGCCAGGTGGCCTAAGGATAAACCTTGGCCTTCAAATCTTGAAATTCACCCTTTCCCAGTTCCAGCTTTGACACATTGAGTGACTTAGGGGGAGTCACTTGGCTTGCCCCAGTCTGGGCGTCCTTGTTTTGAAAATGAGTCGGTTACAGCTGTGAGCTCATAGTGTGTCGTGAGAACCGGTGACTTACTAATGCTTATGAATTCACGGTTGGGCTCTCTGAGAGCTCGGGCAGGGCACACCATACAAGGCACCAGGCCCTCGGGGCGGTGAGGAGGGAAGATCAGGGGAGGGAATGTTTCCCCTGTGTGCCCAGCCCCGTGCCCCTCTAGGGCCTGCTCCCAGTGCCCTGTGACCTTGGGCAATAAATGTTGCTATTAATGGTACATCTGTCTTGCCTGCTGGAACGTCAAGCAGTTTCACAGCATCAATCAAAGGCTTTGAGCTTCTGGGAGAAGGCGCCAAGGAGCTCCAAGGTGTTATTAGAAGTAATTGGGTCTGCAATTGGGGAAACCTTCAAAGCTGCCAGACTTAGTTTACTTTACCCACTTTCTCTCTTTCACCTTTCTCCTCCCCCCACTACCTTGCTATTGCCCTCCTTTCCCTCTGCCTCCTCCAACAATTCTTTCTCATCCTGTCTCACCCGCAAGTTGCTCTCACACTTTCCCTGCCAGCGTAAGAACCACCCCCAGCCCCCACAGCCAATAGTCTGATTCTACAGTGATGGACCCTCACACAACCAGGACTGGCAGGAACCCCGGAGAGCATGGAATCCAAACCTCAAACCAGAGAGGTGAAGGTTGTCCATCCATCCATCCATCTATCCATCCATTCATCCATTCATCCACCCATTCATTCATCCATTTATCATCCATCCATCTATCCATCTACCCACTCCATCATCCATCTTTTTGTCTATTTATCCATCATCCCTCTATATATCCATTCATACATCCATCCTCTCCATTTATCATCCACTGATCAATCCACCATCCATCCATCCATTTATCCATTCATTCATCTACCCACTCATCCATCTATCCTTCCACCCACTCTACCATCCATCTTTTCATCTATCTATTCTTCCATCATCCTTCTATACATCCACCTGTCCATCATCCATCCACCAGCCAGCCACTCCATTCATCATCCATCCATCCATCCATTCATCTACCCACTCCATCCACCATCCATTCATCTTCTCATCCACCCATCCATCATCCATCCATTCATCCACCCACTCCATCCATCCACTCATCCACCTGCTCCATCCATCCATCCACTCACCCATCCATCTATTCATTAATCCATTCATTCATGTATCTATCTACCCACTCATCCATTCATCCTTCCACCCACCATCCAGTGCTGACTCTGCCAGGCCTATGTTTCTTCTAAACATACCCAGATAAAGAATTTAGGCCTGCCTCTAAAGTCTAGTCAAGATGCAAAAAACAGGACTCCCCTGGTAGGACAAATGTGGGACAATGCCCTGGCTTCTTACAGGGAGCCCCTTATCCTGCCCTACACAGCCCTGTGGGGCCTTTCTTCATTCTCATTGCCCTGACTCACACTCCATGTTGTTCCTCGCAGGGGTTGGGGTGAAGGGGCAGGGGGTTGACTCCAATGCTCCCCTCCCTGTTCTTCTGACCTCATGACTCCTGAATGCTCTCTGCTGGGGAGATCATGTGCAGACAGGTAAATATGGGTCCTGGAGAAAGAATCAAAGGTGGGGGCAGTTTCATGAGAGGGAGTTCCAGCAAAGGGAGAGTAAGCAGAGAGGACCGCCAGCTCTGCTGGTCCCTCCTCTGCCCACAGTGGGTTCTGAGGACCCTCTGTCATCTTTGACACACATCAAAGTCCTGGGGAAGGCAACAAGTTCCCAGGGAGCAGGACCGCCCAGAGTGGCCCAGGCACTATCTGCATCAGAATCTGGAATCACAGAGGAGCTTGTTAAAAGCATGCATATGTCTGGGCCCGGCCCCTTCGAATTAGGATCTAGGCCAGGCCCAGGAATCTGCATGTTAACAAATTCCCAATGTTCTTTGTACACAGTGTTTGAGAACAGTGGCTCCAGAAGCTCAGTGTGTGGTTGAGGGTGGGATGTTCCCAAACACCCTGAAGCTGATAGTGCCACAGCCTTGCCTATGTGGCTGAGATCCAGGCACAACAGAAGGGCTCTTGCTACCGTTGGGTGGCCCTGTGGAGGTTCCTCTTCTTGTTCTCAATCCTGAACCCAGGGGATGCAGGAGAAGCCTTGGATTTGCAAGGGCAGGGGAGACAGCCAGGCTGGCTTCTTCCTCCACTCAGGACAAGAGCCAGGGTTTGGAGCCAAGCCAGCCCCACACAGAAAAATTCAGAGTGTTTCGAGCCCATCTTCAGCTCCAGCCCCCTGCTCTGTGCCCTCTCCCCTTTCATCTGCCTCCCTGCCCTCAGTTCCCTCACTGTCCACCTCGATCCTCACCAAGGGGATCTGTGGAGTGGGACGCTTTGCTTTATGGGTCTTCTATGATGTGCTGGGCAGCCTGCCAGGTGTTTTCTATAACAACCCACTTACGAAGTGGGCTGGCCTTCGTCCCTTCTTCCCTTCCTTTTTCTGCTCTGCCTTCGTGTCTTTCCTTCTCTCTTCTTTCCCTCCTCTCTTCCTCCCTCTCTCCCTCTTTTCTTATTTTTTATTTTTTATTTTTTTCTGAAATGGACTCTTGGTCTGTCGCCCAGGCTGGAGTTCAGTGGCACGATCTCGGCTCACTGCAACCTCCACCTCCTGGGTTCATGCGATTCTCTTGTCTCAGCCTCCTGAGTAGCTGGGATTATAGGCGGGTGCCACCACACCGGGCTAATTTTTGTATTTTTAGTAGAGATGGGTTTCACCATGTTGGCCGGGCTGCTGTCAAACTCCTGACCTCAAGTGATCCACTCACCTCAGCCTCCAAAAGTGCTGGGATTATAGGTGTGAGCCACTGCACCCAGCCTTCTCTCCCTCTTTTGTTTCTCCTTACTTCCCTCTTCTCTTCCCTCCCTCTCTCCCTCTTTCTTTCCTTCCTTCCTAATATATTTTTTGCTGAGTACCTATAATGTGCCATGCATACTCTAGACCCTGCGAAAGGACTCACCTCAAGGAATTCACATTCTCGACAAGGGGAGACAGACACAAAGAAATAAGCAGGTAAATCTGGGAAGCCTCCTATGGTAGTAAGTCCTTTGGAAAAGATGAAGCTGGGGAGAGAGATTGAGAGGGTCAGAATTTTAAATTGGGTATTCAGGTGAGATTTGAGCAGAGGCCTAAAGAGGTGTGGGAACACCCCAAGCAGGTAGCTGGGAGAAAAGAAGGTTAGGCTGGGAGACCAGTAAGTGCAAAAGTCCTAAAGCAGGACTGTGCTTGTGGCGTTTGACAACAGCAAAAGGCATGTGACCTGAGGTCAGAGAAGAAGCAGAAATGACAAACTACCCCCACACTGCACAGCTGAAAACAACCCATTTTATTTCTTCATGAGTCTGCAATCTGGGCTGGGCTCGTCTGGGCGGCTCTTCTGCTGGTCTTGCTGGTGGCCCTCCATGTGGCTGCTGTTAGCTGGGATGTCAGCTGGGCTGGCCAGAATGGGGGTGCTGGGATGACTGGATTTCTCTCTCTATGTCTCTCCATGTGGTCCCAGGGCCTCTCTCCCTTCTGTGGCCTTTCTGTGTGTTCTCTCCATGAAACTTTTGGCAGGATAGCTGGCCTTCTTATGTGGTGGTTCAGAGCTCCCAAGAGTGCAAAAGTGGAGGCTGCCAAGTCTTCTCAAGGCTTAGGCCCATAAGTGGCACAGCACCACTTCTGCCACATTTAATTAATTAAAGTGAGTCCCAGGGTCCACCACATTTAGGGGGAGAGGACTGTGTAAGGGCATGAATGTTCAAGATGTGTGTTCTGCAGTGGGCAGGTCTATGCAAACCTACCTCCAAAGTCTGAGGAAGCTGAGAGGCTGAAGAAAGAGGCTGAAAAATCCAGTTTCTTAGAAAGAAATATTTATTTATTCATTAATTTTTTTAGAGACAGGGTCTTGCTCTGTCACCCAGGCTGGAGTGTAGTGGCTCAATCATAGCTCACTGCCGAGTTAAACTCCTGGGCTCAAGTGATCCTCTAGCCTCCGCCTCCCTAGGAGCTGGGACTATAGGTGTGAGCCACCGTGGTAATCCAGAAAGAAACATTTAACAGGAACGTGTGAACAGAAGCCATGTCTATATCTCTGTCAGCAGCAAGACTAGATGGTGGATCCCCATTACTCCTCAGACTTACACAGTGCCAGAAGGAAGGTGTAGGACAATTGTAGGGAAATTTCACATATGCAAGAATGCTATGTGAATTTGCCTAAGGACAGGAGTTATGGTCAAGGTTGTTTTGACCTAAGGGTGAGATTTAAGTGGGTGCTCTTACACAACAAACAGCAGATAACTTAGAAATCATAGAGGCCTTCCGGAACTGGGGTCTATTCAAAGTCAGCATGGTGGGTTGGCATCCAAGCTGGAGTTGCTTTCGCCTCCACGTGTGGTTCCCGGGGGCCGGGAGCACAGATCACGGAGGGCAAGGCCCAGCAGCAGAGCCTTGCCTGGAGACCCGGTAGAAATGCCAGTTATCAGGCCCACCCCAGGCCTGCTGCCTCCGAACCACGCTGGCAGGGATTCTGGGGTTCCTCACGCTGCCAGCTCTCTGGCTCTCTACTGTTGAGAACAGTGAATATAGGGCTCTGTAGACTGTTGAAAGGACTTTGGCTCTTGCTTTGCATGAAGTTGGAAGCCACTGGAGAAATGGCTTAGAGCAGAGGTGTGCTCAGAGAATCCCTGTGAATGGGGCAGGGCACTCAAGACCAGGTGGGGGCTGTGGCCAGGACACAGGTGAGAGCCTGATGGAGACGTGGCCCAGGGTGGCGTGGAGGGGAGAGAGAGAGGTGCCTAGGTGGGGACAGTTGAAGTGGAGCCACTAGGAATTCCCAACACATTTGATATAGACTGTGAGGGGGGCCAAGGGTGCTGAGGCAGGATCATGCCTGCAATGTTCAGGAAACCGAGAACACTAACAGGCTAGAAGCAGTGCAGTGGAGAGACGGAGCAAGTGAAATGAGTGTTGCTTCCAGCTGTGAAGTTCCAGGGTGTTTGTCACCCCCTGGTCCCTCTCAGGCCTCAGCTGGACCAACCAGAAGAGTGGCATTTCCACTGCAGAGCTAAGGAGAAAGATTGCTGCAGGTGCGGGAGGCAGCCAGGAGCTCAGCTGGGATGAGTTCAATGTGGATGCTCTTAAGACACGAACAGCTACGCAAGTCGAGAGGTCTGGGGGAGCCATACAGCCATGGAGGTGGAGCGCTCTCCATCCTAGAGATGGGTCTATTTTGTAGTCAGCATCTAGGTACCTAAAGTCTTGGGACTAGATGGATTTTCTTTTCTTTTCTTTTCTTTTTTTTTTTTTTTTGAGACGGAGTTTTGCTCTTGTCCCCCAAGCTGGAGTGCAATGGTGCGATCTTGGCTCACTGCAACCTCTGCCTCCTGGGTTCAAGCGATTCTCCTGCCTCAGCCTCTCGAGTAGCTGGGATTACAGGTGCCCACCACCATAGCTGGCTAATTTTGTGTATTTTTAGTAGAGATGGAGTTTTACCATGTTGGCCAGGCTGGTCTCAAACTCCTGACCTCAGGTGATCCACCCACCTCAGCCTCCCAAAGTGCTAGGATTACAGGTGTGAGCTACTGCTCCTAGTCGACTGGATGGATTTTCTAGGATGTGAGGGTGGAGAAAAGAAGACGTGAGGGAGGCAGCAGAGATTGAAAAGGTGTGGGGGTAGAATGATGCCCTTGCTGAGGTTGAATTTTTTACAAGTTAAAAGTATGACTCTTATGTAACAGGAGCATCTGTCAATGGTTTATGGAACTCAGTATGGAAGCCAGCATGGTGGCAGAGCTGGTTCAAAAAGTAGAAAAAGAATGAAAGACTACAGTCTCTGACAGAAGGCATGCTGGAAGGATGTTGCCAGATCACAGGGCCCTAGGGTGCAATAAAACAGTCCCTGTTGGGTGATGATCTATTGTTCAGTAAGCTATCAGCATCTCGACAAGACAAATTCAACTGTATTGCCAGCAGATAGAGTCAGTTGCATCACTGTCCATTTTCTTCAAGTTAATATGAACCCTGGCAGAGATGTCAAATGTCCCATCAATGGAAAATAGTCAAAGCAAGAGGCCGTGCCCCTGAGATAACTAGCGGTCTCTGACATGCCACCACCGGTTCCTGAGAGCTTGTTAACAAGACAGTGTCTGACCTGAGATAAGGAGGTGACCATCGTTTCAAAACAGTTGAGAACTAACTCCTGCATGTTGGTTGTTGCTGTCACTAACTATAGAAGAGAAATCCACGTGGGATCATCTAAACCTGGCAGAGGTTGCATGGCCAGAATGTGCTGGGTCACACTCAAACTCTGGTCTCTCTGACACCAAGGACCACAGATGCTGAGTCCAGCCAGCACTTTCCAATGACCTCAGTCCCTCTCAGGACAGGCCCATCCAAGGAGGATTTGCCTCAAGGGGAAAGCAATGACTAGCCCAAAAAGAATGACCTGGCAGGGAAGTGCCTGGGCTGGGGGAGGCACTTCCAATACCCTCCCTAAAATGCAATTTTTATCCACTTTTCTTTGCACAATATTTATTATTTCCAAAGAGTGTCTAAAGACCGACTACAGAGGAGAGATTCCAGCCCCCTTCATGCTGCAGATTGTTAGAGCTAGGGCTGCACGTTCCCTGGGACAGGGACAAGCCCATGTTAGGAGGCTGCTTCTCACGGGGAGTGCCCTGAGTGTGGTGGATGCTAACATTTTGGGTAATAGAACAAGACACAGGCTTTCACTGAATCTGTCTTTTCAGCAAAGGTAAAGAAAAAAAAGGCAGAAAGGAAAGAAATCATCCTATGGGTACTGTGGGAGAGGGCCAGGAAGAGCCAGAGAAATCCACAAAGTTCAAAACGGCCAGACCCTATCAGGTTCCCCAGGGAGCCAGCAGCTTATCACAGCTTAGTCACAGGGTTGTGAGAAAACCCATGCCTCACTGGAAACCCCCCAAAGAACAATGACCCCCTTGATCCAAATCACGTCGTGGCCCCCGGAGTGCTCAGATCCTATCATCAGGAACACAATATCCCCATTTCAGGGCCTCCGTCAGAAGGCTGGCCGGCACATCCGTGAGTCACAGAACGGAAAGGAAGGCAGCGCGCATGTTCATGGAAAGAAATCCTGTTTGTCTCTCTCCTTTCTTCTGATACAAATGCAGACAGTTTCCCAGTTGTCAAAATTGAACATGATACGAGGAAAATAGCTTGGTAAAAAACATGCATTAGTCATTCAGCAGTAAAATTTTCCAAGTTTTACTCATCTCATCATCTTGACCACTAAATGGACTTTCAACAGTGGATTTCTCTGAGAGTGGCACAAGTGTGTTAAGGAATTGTCACAGGCATGGCGCCTGCTCTGAGCTCTGGGGGCTTAGACCCCTCAAAAGCTCACAGCCCCTGGAATTCACTAAGCTGCAGAGCACAGGGGCTACTAAATATTTCTCCAACTGGACAGACTTTCACGTGGGGATAGACAGGATTGAATTACCCAGATTCAGAGAAAAAGGGTCTATTATCTCATAGAACAGTCTGAAGTTCAACCAGGAAGCCATATTTTCCACTTAAAACCACAGGGCAGTTATCCAATCTCTGTGCAATTTCATCAGAGGAGAGGTGAGACTGTCGGGGGGCGGCAGGGCTGACTGGGAGGCTGTGGAGAGGGTGTGTTTAGGATGGGCGACCTTTCCTGTGGGCTAAGGTAGGAAAGCAGAAAACAGTTAGTGTGAGATTCTTGGTGTCCTCAAGAGCAGCCTGTGTAACAGAAAAGACCGTTCTTAGTTCCTTCACTTTTGATTAACATCGAAGGTATTGTTTCACATTTCTAATGTCTAGTTTTCCTTGGGTTTTTAATAGCACTTTCAGGAAGACTTAATTCAATTAATGTTTGGCCAGGGGAGGTGGCTCACGCCTCTAATTCCAGCACTTTGGGAGGTTAAGGTGGGAGAATCACTTTAATTCAGAAGTTCCAGACCAGCCTGGGGAGCACAGTGAACTCCTGTTTCTACAAAAATAAATAAATAAATAATAAACAAAATTAGCTAGGCATGATATAACTAGCCTGTGGTCCTAGCTACTCAGGAGGCTGAGGCAGGAGGATCACTTGAGCCCAGGAGTTCAAGACCAGCCTGGGCAACAGAATGAAACCCCATTTCTACAAAAAAAAAAAAAAAAAAAATTAGCCAGGTGTGGTGGTGCTAGGCTGTGGTCGTGGCTCCTCAGGAAGCTAAGGTGGGAGTATCGCTTGAGCCTAGGAGGTCAAGGCAGCAGTAAGCAGTGACTGTGCCACTGTACTCCAGCTGGGCAACAGAAGGGAGACACTGTCAAATATATACATATATACTACAATGGCTATTACTACAAATAGCTTAGAATAACTACAGTGAGGGCCGCCGCAGAGACTGGAGCTCTCACACCCTGTGGTTAGGAATGTAAAATGGTATAGGCACTTTGGAAAACTGACAGATTCTTGGCAATTAAATACACAATACCACATGACCCCATCGTTCTACTCAGAGCTATTTATTCAAGAGAAGTGAAAGCCTGTGCCCAAGTGAAGACTTTTGCATAAATGTTCATAGCAGCTTTATTTGTAATAGCCAAAACTAGAAACAACCCAAATGTCCATCAACAGGCGAGACGGATAAACACATCGTGGTATATCCGCGCATGGAAGGAGGCATATACTTTCTGTCTTGTTGTTGGGGTGGTTTCAGGACATGCCCATGTGTCGACACATGTCAAATTGTACACTCTGAGTATGTATAGTTTATTATATGGCAATTATACCTCAATTACCTTGTTTAAAGCCTTAAAAATGCTTTCCAGATTAGTAGTAATTGGGGTCAGGGCTCAGGGGAAGGTCAAAAGAAAACTTTTTAGAGTGATAAAAATGTTCTATTTCTTGATTGTGGTGATGGTTACACTACAGCTACCAATTGCTAAATTACAATGGGTGGATTTTATTGGATATAAATTGTAACTCAATAAAGCTGGGGAAAAATAAATTTGCACTGAAATATCTTTGCATATTAGGACAAGGGCAGAATACTGTGGTAACATGTAATTTTTATTTCTAATAAAGCAGACATTGTAGTTGCAGAGAAAAAAATTAAATTTAAATTTAAATTTTCATTTCTCTTGGACAAATATCTAGGAGTAGAACAACGAGGTCATGCGGTAGTTGTATGTTTAATTTTCAAGAAACCCTCAAGAAACGCTTTCTCAAAAGGGAAAAATAACATGTTTACATTGAAGCAAAAAACTAATATCTTCTTTTTTGTATTGATTATCTGAATATTAAAAAACAATTACAAGCTGAATAATTATTCTTTTTTTTTTTTTTTTTTTTTTGAGATAGAGTCCCCAGGCTGAAGTGCAGTGGCATGGTCTCGGCTCACTGCAACCTCTGTCTTTTGGGCTCAAACAATTCTCCTATCTCAGCCTCTCCAGTAGCTGGGACTACAGGCACGTACCAGCATGCCCGGCTAATTTTGGTATTTTTTTGTAGAGACAGGGATTCTGCCATGTTGCCCAAGATGATCTTGAACTCTTGGGCTCAAGTGATTCTCCCACTTTGGCCTCCTAAAGTGCTGCGATTACAGGCAGGTGCCACTGTACCCAGCCTGAATAATTATTCTTGATACCTAGTCACATTCTTTAATCAGTTTTTTAGCCTTATTTGATTCTATCACCATTAGTGGCATTTTTTCAGAAGAATGCATTATTTTCAGAGCTATCTTATTTTAATCTCTCATAAAATTGCCTAGAAACTTCTTTAAGAAGACATTTTTGTGGCTAATGAATTTGAATTTGCCGACCAGCTAAGTGGAATCTTCTCCGTAGACCCTGAGGTTGTCAGATGAATGAGCATCTGTGGATGAGCTAACTCTGCTCAGGACAAGACAGTTTCAATTTTTTCTAATGGAAAGGTCAATATTTCACCGAGATATTGTCACAGATCCTGTGTTCTGACTTCAATCCAAAGGATCTTTCTTTCCTAAGTGTCTTTATAGGGCAAATTGGGTCAAATAGGCTTTTTTCATGCATGATTCTTTTAAATATTTTGTCAAATTTAGGTGTTAAAAGTCATAGGCCTTTTCAATTTTACTCCATTCTGATACATACTATACATATATCCAATTAAAATAAGAGCTCTACAAAATTTGTTCCACACATTGAGACACTTCAGGAATAAATTTTAGAATTCCAAAGTCACTCTCCTACACGGGGTAGACATCATGCATTTTACTCAGTTCCTCTCTTACTTTTGTGGTGACAAATTTAAATAGTCTTTCTGTTTGCAATCTTGTTTTTAATAATTGTAATAATTTGCTAAAAGTTTCAAAAGTTTTTAGTTATGTATTTGTTGAATGGTTTGATTAAAGATTTCCCACTGATTTGGAACTAAATGCAAGGTAAGTCTAGAAGACCCAATTACGCACACACAAACACACACAAATCTATTGTAAGTCATTTAGGTGGATTTATAAACTACTTTCTCTGGGGCTGTGCACTTCTAAAATCTAATGATGGAGCAAAAAGGAAGAAAGTATATATTGTCCTGATTAAGGCCTTCTTGCCACTTCTATTAGCATTGTTGTGGCAATGTTGCATTTTAGTACATGTAAAAAATTTGTAAGTTTTAATATCGGCAACTTTCTCTTGAATTAGAGGCGTATTAAAGTTTAAGACTCACGCATAAATTATTTGTTCACTAAAAACAGTTCCAACTTGATTTCTGCTCTATGCTTTTTTTTTTGAGACTGAGTCTCGCTCTGTTGCCCAGGCTGGAGTGCAGTGGTGTGATCTCAGCTCACTGCAAGCTCCGCCTCCTGAATTCAAGTGATTGTTGCGCCTCAGCCTCCCGAGTCGCTGGGATTATAGGCGTCTGCCACCACGCCTGGCTGTTTTTGAATTTTTAGTAGAGACGGGGTTTTGCCGTGTTGGCCAGGCTGGTCTCAAACTCCTGACCTCAGGTGATCCGCCCGCCTTGGCCTCCCAAAGTGCTGGGATTATAGGCGTGAGCCACCGCACCTGGCCTGCTCTATACTTTTTAAATTTGATAATAGCACATTTCTACATGATGCTGTACGACACCAACATTTGTATTTGTAGTATCACCATAAGAACAATGACACCAGCAATATTGAATAGTTAACTGCAAGTTACATCTTGCATTTTTAAAAGGAGCCAATGATACATCTTCAACAGAACGAATGTTCAAAAGCTTTACTTTTTTTTTTTTTTTTTGATGAAGTTTCATTCTTGTTGCCCAGGCTGGAGTAAAATGGCACAATCCCTGCTCACTGCAACCTCTGCCTCCTAGGTTCAAGCGGTTCTCCTGCCTCAGTCTCCTGAGTAGCTGAGATTACAGGCATGCGCCACCACGCCAGGCTAATTTTTTGTAGAGATGGGGTTTCTCCATGTTGGTCAGGCTGGTCTCAAACTCCTGACCCCAGGTGATCTTCCCACCTCGGCCTGCCAAAGTGCTGGGATTACAGGCGTGAGCCACTGCACCTGGCCTCAAAAGCTTTATTTTTATTTAATGATTTAATAAAAATTAAGTTATTCCAATTAACTGAGTGGGCTTTTCTGTTGGAAGCATCTGATAATACACATATTATATCCACATCACTTAACGGTCTGTGAAATCCTGCTCATGGAGGTAACACATAACAGCTATCACGTCATCGAGTAAATCATAAGAAAACTCGAAGTTGACAAAGAAGGAAATTAATGAGCACTGACATTTGATCTACATGAAAAGTCCCAGAGTGACATGGCTGCAGGCGTCAGTCACTGTCTTTGGCTGCCTGAAAAGAGTTACCAGCTTTTGAGGCCAATGCTGCTGTTTCTTCTGCTTTTCATGTGCTTGGTGATGTCACTGCATTTACCGCAAATGGTAAACGTTCACAAACATTTTGCGTAAGTAGACATCATAATCAACTTTCCGGAGAAACAGAAATCCAATAACTTAATTTTATATTTTGCATGCACTTTCATTTTATTTTTTAGTTCACCATGGCCCAAAGGGTTTATGACAAGTGTAAAAATGTGTTGCCAAATGGTGAGATAAATAGAGTTATGCCATAAAATATAGATAGAACCAATCTTGAATGTAATAAGTTTCATATTTCAATATCTAGTTTTCCTTGGGTTTTGAAGTTTACCTTACAAATCAACTCATTTTATTTGTCAAGCCAGACAATTTTAATATTATTTTCAAGGAGACTCAATTCAGTTAATGTTTGGCCAGGTGTGGTGGTTCACGCCTGTAATTCCAGCACTTTAAGAGCCCGAGGCAGGAAGATGACATGAGTCCAGGTGTTCAAGAACAGCCTGTGCAACACAGTGAAACCCCATCTCTGAAAAAAAATAAACAAAATTAGCCAGGCGTGGTGGTACATCCTGAGGTCCCAGCTATTTGGGAGGCTGAGGTGGGAGGATTGCTTGAGCCCAGGAGGTCAAGGCAGTGGTGAGCCGTGATCACGCTACTACATTCCAGCCTGGACAACAGAGTGAGACCCTGTCTCAAAAAAACAAGATTAATGTTTGAACAAATGGATTTGAACTACTAAACGCCCTAAAGGTATCGATCATATTTACAAACCTAATAAATGAGGTTCCCTTAAACACGTTAAACTGCATTGCAAATTCATTACTGTCTTCTAAAATTATTGTAAATGGTTCCAAGAAGCAATAACACCTCCAGTACTAAAGTCACTCCACTAAATCCAACAAGTAGAGTTTGAACAGGTGAATGTCCACGCCCTGGACTGTCCCAACATTGTGCAAAAGCTCAGTAAAATGCTCTTATATTTTCCACCCAAAATCACAGGCTAAAAACAATTGCTCAGTGACATGATTTAAACCCAAATCACAAGGCTAATTCAATGTGTTTTTCCTCTAATGTGCCAATTTCTCTTAATATTTCAGACACTTTAAATACCAAACATGCCCAGTATTTTTATTCTAGACTTAATTCTCCCCATACTGATATTTGTGGTTGACTTACTCCATCATTCTGATGTTTAGTTCTAAGCCTTCCTCATGTTAAAAGACTCTTGCCAGCTAAGAAAAAAAAATGCTGCCTTCCCAGGCAGATGGGGGTTCCCGTCCCCTCCTGAAGTTGCTAGTAAGTGGGTACTTTTAACTTGGACACAGGTCTCTCTCTCCCTGATACACCCGCAGCTGTGTTGAGCCCTTTTTAGGGTCAAAATGGCAACCGGTGACCAGGACCCCAGACCCTCTGTATTTTCCTCATGCCCCAGTTCCACCTGGATGGAGCCTGCCCTCCCACTCCTGAGACTAAGGTGTGGCACCACACGTGAATGCACAGGGAACAGGCAGTGTCCACACAGCTCCTTCAGGAGCAGGCGCCTGTCCTCTTTTCCTTTCCTGACTTCTTCCAGCTGGAGCTGTACCCATGCCTGGGGCCACAGGACGGAGGCCACAAGCCCACCAGAGAGGGCCACAGCGCGGGTGGAGTTAGAGTGGCTTCCCTCTGGACCTCGAACATTCTGACAGCTTTGTCTGGCTGCACATTTACAACACTAAAGTTGTGTGGACTGCAAGACCAATGGGCTGGAAACCCAAAGCAAATGCATTCCAAGGGAGGGTGATGTCTCCGTGGATGTGTGAAGCTGAAGATAAGGCACAGCAGCAGGGTGGCAGGAAGAGCAGAGAAGTGTTCATGGCTCAAGATGGCCAGTGACCAGCTGGGCCCCGGGGGAGGCAGAGGGAAGCAAAGCGCAGACCCGTGTCCCGTGTCCGGAGGCAGCTGCTGCACCCAGACGTCCCTGTCCCTCCTGGGACCAAAAGTGTCTCCTAGCTGTGAGTGGGAGCTCAACATAACTCCACAAGATGAAACCTGCATTGGGGCACCAGAATGACTCATGTATGGGACTTGCCGTTATTATGTCATCTTTTATCTAATTCAGCCAAAATCCTGACTTCTTTCCAAAAATGTCTTGGTTTTTTCAAAAGTCCCAAGTTAAGCCAGGCGTGGTGGCTTACGCCTGTAATCCCTACACTTTAGGAGGCCAAGGCAGTAGGATTATTTGAGCCTAGAAGTTCAACACCAGCCTGGGCAACAAAGTGAGACCCTGTCTCTACCAAAAAAAAAAAAAAAAATAGCCAGGCATGGTGGCACCTGTCTGCAGTCCCAGCTTCTTGGAAGGCTGGGGTGGGAGGATTGCATTGAGCCCAGGAGGCCGAGGCTGCAGTGAACCATGATCACACCACTGCACTCCAGCCTGGGCAACAGAGCAAGACTTCATCAAAAAAAAAAAAAAAAAAGTACCAAATTAAAGGACCACATTCAGAAATTGTTGAAGTAAGATGATTTCAAAATAAAATAAAACATTGTAAACAGTTGAAAACCACCAACAAATGGACACTGATTGAATCGATTAGGGTAAACCTATAAAATAGAACATTTTGTAGACATTCAAAATGTTGCGGAAGAATGTTTAATGAGGGAAAGTGTTCATAGTATGTAAAAAAAGGCTTTATTATAGCATAATCCCAATTCTATATAAACATTTATTTACAGTTTTTAAAAGCTAAATTTTAAACAACAAAAACAGATTCAGCATTAAAAGATGAATCATAAAATTAAAAACATATATTAAAAACAGTTTGAGTCCAACTTCGCCTGACTGATTTCTCATGGTTCCCTCGGTGGCAGCCCCAGGCCGAGTCCGTCAGCCTAGGTTAGACTCTGGCGGGGCAGAAGGAGAGCTTTGCTTCGGTGTGCTGGGGAGCGAGCTCACTTGGCATAAGCATTTTTTTTTTTTTTTTTTGAGACGGAGTTTCGCTCTTGTTGCCCAGGCTGGATTGCAATGATGTGATCTCGGCTCACTGCAACCTCCACCTCCTGGGTTCGAGCGACTCTCCTGCCTCAGCCACCTGAGTAGCTGGAATTACAGGCGCCCGCCACCACGCCCAGCTAATTTTTTTGTGTTTTTAGTAGAGACAGGTTTTCACCGTATTGGCCAGGCTGGTCTCAAACTCCTGTCTTCAAGTGATCCGCCCGCCTTGGCCTCCCAAAGTGCTGGGATTACAAGTGTGAACCACCACACTCGGCCGGCATAAGCATTTTAAGCCTCCTGGTGATAGAACTTAGAAGATGCTTACTAATTGCACCATCTAGCACTTAGAGGATAAAAGATATTTGATGTGGAGTCTGAAAATCTGGGTTCCAGCCCCCATTCACTGTCCACTGACCCTGAACAAGAGACAGCCTGCCCTGGACTTCCAGGTTGATGGAATGAGCTACGGTACTATTCCTCCCCACTCACAGGGCTACTGGGAGGGTAAAACTGGACTCGAGGTTGATGGAATGAGCTAAGGGACTGTTCCTCCGCGACTGTTCCTCCGCACTCACAGGGCTACTGGAAGGGTAAAATGCTCAAGGTGAGTGAAGTAGCTTGCAGGTGGCAAAGGGCATGTGAAAGTTCTTTGGGACCAGGTTTTCACATTGAGGGACATTTTGGACCTCTGTTATCTCCTCTCCTCTGTCTTCACCTGCTCTCTAAAACCTGGTTACCTCATGGAAGCCAAGCAGGAATAGCTCGAGACTGCATATAAGCTGCATTGACTGACTTAATCCTGCACCCAGCCTGGTTCCATCTTCACTTCCAGAGAGGTGGTGTCTGCTGGCTCTGTTCCACGCATCTGTGCCTCCTCCAAGGGCCAGAAGGTCACACAGGGAGCCTGGGAGAGAGGTTGTTTGTAGGGCAACACCTTTCTTTGGTTTGGTTGTTTAGTTAAACAACACACATCACCATGGTGCGGGCAAAACACAAACACGCTATTCCTCTATTCTATTCTCGTCCATTCCCAAGGCCTACAGCCGCCCACGAGCAGCCACCAAGGCACGCACCCCCAGGCTCCCGAGCTCAGAAGGGCCTGTGCGTCCGTCAAATCTCTGCTGCGGACGTCTTGAAATCCTTAATACTTTCTGAACGAGGAGCTCCGCGTTTTCATTTCGCACTGGGCCCTGCAGAGTCTGTCCTGCCTGCCCACTCCTTCAGCCAAGGTTCCGGCACATCGCAGACTTTGTCTGGGGCTCTGCAGGGCTGAGGCTCATCAACAGGAGAGAACTTTGGAGCAGCAGAAGGAGATAGTAGAGGAACAGCCAAGCAGGTGGAGGATTAGGTCTGGGACACGGAGAGGGTGTCCCCTCTTCATCCCCAGGTTCTTCCTTCCAAATTGCAGGAAGGGACGGGTTGCACATACTTGCTGCATGCACTGCGTTGCAAAAGGCCGAGGAGAATGAGGGGGAAACTGCTCCCTGGGATTCTGAACCCCGCCCCCCCTCCCAGTGGATGGCCAGCTGTATTTCTGAAATGCAACCAGGGGTGAAAAGAGATTGTTCCATGTTTGTCCTCAAATACTTCACAGCAATGTCACATTAATTTTTTTTCCCTTCCTGAGTTCCGTCTGGTTTGCAGCCAAGGAAAGGAGGCAGAGAGGGCGTGGGCAGCCCACGGGTCCAGCGAAGCATCGCTGTGTCCGAGAGGCCCTGCCAGCTCGGGGCTCTGGGAAAGAGTATGGACATGCCCTCCCCATGGGCACCATCCCTTCCTCTGCCAGGGAGAACTTCCTCCTGGCTGCTGCTCCTGGCAATGGCTTATTTCCTCAACACAGTCATTAAAAATCACTCTTAGTAGTTCAAATTTAGAAACAGGAACTGGCATATATCTTATTAATTTCTAAAATAGTAAGTACAAAACCAAAGAGAAACGGAATTTTTACAACACTTTCTCCTTATTTCCTAACAAGCCCAAATGCAAAACACAAATTTATGAATGGCAAAGGCTTCAAATCAAACCTGATGATCTTTGACCTAGGGCACTGCCCATAATTTGCAGATGAAACAAGAGAGGACAGATCGGAGAGGTGGAGTAACTTACCAAAGATCACACAGCCAGGGTGAGGATCCAGTTCTTCTAGATCTTGGGCCAGGAGAAAAGGAGAGGGAGCCTGACTCAAGCTACAGTCATTGAGGTCAGAGAACCAAGGGTCACACCAGACATCACGAAGATCCAACTAGTGGCCGGAGAGAGTCACTGGGGGTGATAACCAGGCCTGTCTCCCAGCCAGCGAGGGAGTCAGGGCCTCCCAACAGAGCTAAGCGGTGCCAAGGGACCAGGTCGAGGACAAAAGGTTTATTTGATGTGAGGCATTAGCACCTACTAGCACCTTACTGTAGGGAGTTTTGTTGCATTTTTTAATTCAAAATATTTTAAAAATAATTTTATTGAGCCGTAATTCATATGCCATAGAATTCACCCAGGTAAACCGTACGATCCAATGGTGTTTAGTATAGTCACAAAGTTACACAATCATTGCCACAGTCAATTTTATCTTTATTATTATTATTAGTTTTTCTTTCCAACTTTTGTTTTCGGTTCAGGGGGTACCTGTGCAGACTCGTTCCCTGAGTAAATTGTGCATCGTGGGAGTTTGGTGTACAGATTATTTCATCACCCAGGAACCAGCATGAGACGCAGTAGGTAGCGTTTTGATCCTCACCCTCCTTCCACCGTCCACCCTCAAGTAGACTCCAGCACCTACTGTTCCTTTCTTTGTGTCCATATGTGCACAGGGTTTAGTTCTCACTTCTAAGTAAGAACATGTGGTATTTGGTTTTCTGTTCCTGCATTAATTCACTTAGGATCATGGCCTCCAGCTCCATCCATGTTGCTGCAAAGGGCATGATCGCGTTCTGTTTATGGCTGCACAGTATTCCATGGCATATATGGACCACATTTTCTTCATGCAGTCCACTGTTGATGGGCATCTAGCTTGATTCCCTGCCTTTGTTACTGAGAATAGTGCTGGGATGAACATACAAGTGCATGTGTCTTTATGATAGAAGGATTTATATTTCTAAAGGATTTATATTTCTTTTCTTTTCTTTTTTCTTTTTTTTTTTTTTGAGATGGAGTTTCGCTCATGTTGCCCAGGCTGGAGTGCAATGGCATGATCTCAGCTCACTGCAACCTCCACCTCCCAGGTTCAAGTGATTATCCTGCCTCAGCCTCCTGGGTAGCTGGGATTACAGGCGTCCGCCATCAAGCCCAGCTAATTTTTTGTATTTTTAGTAGAGACGGGATTTCACCATGTTGGTCAGGCTGGTCTTCAACTCCTGACCTCAGGTGATCCACCTGCCTTGGCCTCCCAAAGTGCTGGGATTACAGGCATGAGTCACGGCACCCGGCCAGAAGGATTTCTATTTCTTTGGGTACATACCACAGTCAATTTTAGAACACGTTCATCACTTCAAAAAGATGCCCTGCACCCTCTAGGCATCACCTCCTCAGCCCCACCATTCCTTCCCCCAGCCCCTGGCACCACTAAGCTCCTTTCTGTCTCTATGAATTAGCCTATTCTGGGCGCATAGATAGAATCGTTCAGTATGTGGCCTTTTGTGTCTGGCTTCTTTCATCCAGCATGATATCTTCAAGGTTCGTGTGTGTTGTGGCATGTGTCAGAGCTTCCTGCCTTCTTATGGCTAATGTTCCATTGTGCAGATATTCCATTGCGCGAATATGTCCTATGGGTAGATGCTCTGTTTCTACCAAGGCCCAGCAGGCTGCCCAGGGAAGGGGCCCTGTGAATGGAGTGCAATTCTCTGCTGCACCTGTGCTGGCCTTGCTCCAGGTCTCTAGCCGTCGGCCCTGCAACACCCTCGTTGGTCGTGCTGGAGGCCCCCCCTGACATCTTCCTCTTCCTCAACTACCTCTAGGGACGAGGAACCTGCCAAGTCCTATGGTCCTGGCAATAGGGTTGCTTGTGCCAGAGCCTCAACCTGCCACACATTTCCTTTCTTTGAGCTCTGCTCAAAGCTAGCAGCCTTCCACTTCGCCTGATTGGTGGGTCAGAGAGGTATTCCAAGGTGCAGCACATGCTGCCTTCAAAATCCAAAAAGGCTGCCAAGCACTGTGCTTCCTTCTTAATGGTAGGAGGTGCAAGGTGCAATAGCTTGTACTTTACTTTGGAAGGAATGTTCTGGCAGGTCCCAAACCATTCTAAAAAATTAACCAATGCAGCTGGCCCCTGAAGCAATACAGAGTTTATCTACTCCCCTTTGGAATGCACATGTCTTGCCAAGGAATTCAGAATACAGGACTTGTCCCTTCCTGCTCCTTAGGTCTAATCAACATGGGGTTCATATAATGGGCCACTGTGGTGTTCTGCAGACTGTCCGGGTGGTCTGGGTCACCACCAGCTATATTGCAACAGAGCAGAATTAATGGAGTCCTGGGGAGAGATGGTGCATGTGTATTGTTGTCTATCTCATGTAAATAAAAACTGCCTCTGATCCTTCTCTCTGGTGGGTATTGAAGCCAGATGGTTACAAATGTCATACCAGAGGCTAGAGTGATCTCTGGCATAGACCCCACACCCAGCCCAACAGCTGTGATTGGAAGGGTCTACTGTCGCGGACATGACCCACCCAGCTTCGGCAAAGGCTGGGCTGGTGAATTGGATGGTGTATTAGTCCGTTTCCATGCTGCTGATAAACACATACCCGAAACTGGGCAACTTACAAAAGAAAGAGGTTTAATGGACTTACGGTTCCACGTGGCTTGGGAGGCCTCACAATCATGGCAGAAAGCAAAGGCACTTCTTACATGGTGGCGGCAACAGAGGGAATGACAGCCAAGGGAAAGGGGTTTCCCCTTATCAAACCATCAGATCTCATGAGACTTATTCACTACCACGAGAACAGTATAGGAGAAACCACCCCCGTGATTCGATTATCTCCCACCAGATCCCTCCCACCACATATGGGAATTAAGGGGGTAAAATTCAAGATGAGATTTGGGCAGGGACACAGAGCCAAACCATATCAGATGGGAATATGATGACAACCACCATCCCTGTGTTAAATTAAGTTTATACATTGCAAACAATGCTATTCACTGTCTCATATAAAAATGAAATGTAGGCCGGGCGCAATGGCTCACGCCTGTAATCCCAGCACTTTGGGACCCGAGGCAGGTGGATCAAGAGGTCAGGAGATCGAGACCATCTTGGCTAACATGGTAAAACCCCATCTCCACTAAAAATACAAAAAAAATTAACCAGGTGTGGTGGCGGTTGCCTGTAGTCCCAGCTACTGGGGAGGCAGAGGCAGGAGAATGGTGTCAACCTGGGAGGCGGAGCTTGCAGTGAGCCATGATCACGTCACTGCACTCCAGCCTGGGCGACAGAGCGAGACTCAGTCTCAAATAAATAAATATAAATAAATAAATAAATAAAAAATAAAAATGAAATGTAGCTCATTCACACTGCCAAATCTCTCTCATATTCTCCTTAATATTTGATGATGGCATGATTCCGGTTATTACCTTGACTCATTTTGAAATGATAAATAATATACTTAACTCTCACTTCTTCTTTCCTCAGTTTTGCACAGTAGCTTGATTCTCCTCCGTGTAAGTTGATCAGCGTTTCCCTCGTGCAATTTACTTCATCTTTTCTCACCTCCAGTTGCACCATTTCTTCCCAGTTTCTTACTGTGGTAACAATACTACCACAAAATTGACCATCTTAACATTGTTAAATGTAGTGTTTAGCAATACTAAATACATTCATAATGTCATGTAACAGTCACCCCATCTACCTCCAGAATTCCTCTTTATCTTTTAAAGCTGAAATCGTATATCATTAAATAATTGCTCCCCATTTCCTCCTCCCCTCTGCCCCTGATCATCACCATTCTACTTCCTGCCTCTATGAATTTGATACCCTAGGTACCTCAGGTAAGTGAAATCGTGCATTATTTGTTTTTCTGTTACTGCCTTATTTCACATAGCATAATGTTCTCAAGGTTCATTCATATTGTAACAAATGTCAGAACTTCCTTTTTAAGGCTGAATAAAATTCCATTTTTAGTATATGCCACACACACACACACACACACACACACACACGGATTAAAAAAAAAAAAAAAACACTTTACCTTCCAGAACCTGAGTTACAACCACTGGGTGGGTCAGAGGACCCAATGTACCTGCTGTGTGAGATGAGCCGAGAACTGGAAACTTCATGTATTACTTCACCTCATACACCCTCACCCTAGCAAGGAGCCGTGAAGGCGCTTTGAATCTCTAGATGTCAGAATTAATTCAGACTCTAAATCCAACAGCCCCCAAAAGATCTGGACATGCTCCTTTTCCAGTGGACTACCTGAAAAATGGCTCCAGGGCCCTCCAGGAAAGGCCTGGGGAATCGCTGCAGCTTTTCTCATGGTGAGATTACGGCATCTCATTGTGGGGACTTGGCTTCTCCATTCCATGGGTTCCTGCTCAGGTCTGGAAACTGGCAAAGGACTGTGACTTTCTACCAGTCAAAAGATATTAAGAATGATGGCCACTCATTCTTAAAACCTTTTGATTTTAAATATTAAATAATACTCTTTTTAAAAATGTTATCTTATTTTATAAATAGAGACAAGGTCTTGCTATGTTACCCAGACTGGTCTTGAACTCCTGGGCTCAAGTGATCCTTCCATCTCCCAAAATGCTGGGGTTACAGGTGTGAGCCACTGCACCTGGCCTAAATAGTATTCTTAGTATTAACTGTTGTATCAGTCATTGTTCCACCATTGAAACAGAATCCGTAGGAAATACATGTCGAGAGATTTATTGCAAGGAATCAGCGTGTGCGATGGTGGAGGCCGCCTAGGCAAGTCAGGAGGCACAGGCTGGAACTCTGGGGCACAGACCAAAGCTGGCATCCCCAAGGGAGCTTTTTCTTTAGGAAAGTCTCATCTCTATTCTTCAAGCCTCTGAACAGATCAAATGAGGCCCACACAGATTCCCCAGGACAATCTCCCTTACTTAAGGTAAACCAACGATGGACTTTCGTCACGTTCACAAAACACCTTCACAGCAGCAACGAGACAACAGTTTGAGTGAATAACCGGGGACTCCAGCCTGGCCGAGCTGGCATGTAAACCCCCCATCACACCTGACCATCTCTCTTCTGGGAGCACTACGTTCTGCCATGCAGCTCTCCAGATTCCTGCAGGCCAGGAGTCTCTGGCTGCCTTTCTGACCTTGCTGTGCAGTACAGGGATCACACTGACCTTGCTTCTGATGGTTAAGGGTTGAATAGTCTCTGCCAGTCCAGCAGCCCATCACCCCCACTGCTGCCAGGGAGTTAGTTCTGTAACAGCATCTCCTATCATCATCCACATTCTAGAGAGAACAGCCTCCACTCCGATTCTTGGTAGTGTTGGTGTCCGCCCACCCCATGGAGTGTCCCCTGGGCCCTTCTAAGGAACCCAGCTGACAGGTTTTCCAACATTCCCCAGTAGACGCATTCTAGCACAGCCCCTTCCCTGAGCCACTGTCTACCATGCAGGGTGCAACTATTCTTCACTTAATGTGGACTGTTGGCTTTTCCAAGCTTTTTAGGGCCATCCTAATGGTGCATTGAACTTTCCCAGGGTCCTTCTAAGGTGTCAAATCCTGTGCTACAGTGACAGCCTTCATGGCAGTAAATTTCTTATCCAGCTTTCTTTTCTGTTGTTGGGGAAGAGAAACCTTTCCTTCTACCCTTATAGGTTTAGCAAATGAGGGCCTGTGAATTAAACTGACAAAAGACAGATTAGCAAGAGAAAAGAGAGAGTATGTGGGGTGGGGGGGCACCGGTAGTGGGTGCTTGGTGGCTCACACCTGTAATCCCAGGACTTTGGGAGGCTGAGGTGGGCAGATCACGAGGTCAGGAAATCGAGACCATCCTGGCCAACATGGTGAAACCCTGTCTCTATTAAAATACAAAAAATTAGCTGGCTGTGGTGGCGTGCGCCTGTTTTCCCAGCTACTCTGGAGGCTGAGGCTGGGGAGTCGCTTGAACCTGGGAGGTGGAGGTTGCAGTGAGCTGAGATCATGCCACTGCACTCCAGCCTGGCGACAGAGCAAGAATCAGTCTCAAAAAAAAAAAAAAAAAAAAAAAGGAAAGAAAAGGCAGAGTTGATTTACATGTCCAGCACACACACATGCAGAGTGCTCAGTGGTGAGGAACTCAAAGGGCCCGTGCCTGCAGTGTGAACAAAATACCAAGCAACAGAAATTTATTTCTCACAGTTCTGGAGGTTGAAGAATCCAAGATCAAGGTGATGTAGGGCAGACAAGCCCAAAGTGGAGCTTAGCCTGTGAAGACACTTGGTTTTGCCCAGGAAAGAATTTAAGGGCAAGGCAGAGGTAGAAGGAAAGTTTCATTGAAGCAGTGGAGTTACAGCTCCAGGACTGCTCCTGCAGAGTGGAGCTAACCCACAGGCAGTGAGTAGCAGCTCAGGGCAGTTCTGTAGTCATATTGATACCTACTTTTCATTGCATGCAGATTAAGGGTGGGTTATGCAGACATTCCTAGGGAATTTTGGGTCTTTGGGTCATTGCCATGGAAAGGGGCAGTAACTCCCAGGCGTTGCCATGGCGATGGTCAACTGACATTGCACACTGGTGGGCTGTCTGATGGAAAGCTGCTTCCACCCCAGCCCTGTTTTAGCTAGTCCTCAATTTGATCTGATGTCCAAGCCCCACCTCCAGAGTCAAGCCTCACCTCCTACCTCCCTAGTGCCAGCAGATTCCGTGTGTGGTGAGGGCACGCTCTCTGCTTTCAAGATGGCACTTTCTGCCTGCATCTTCACGCAATGGAAGGGATAAGGCAGCCTCTTCCACCTCTTTTTTAAGGGCACCAATCCCAGGGATGAGGGTGGGGCCCTCCGGATTTAATCTCCCCCAAATCCCCACCTCTTAATCCACAAGGTTAGAGATTAGATTTCAACACAGGGATTTTGGAGAGACACAAACATTCAGACCATAGCATGTGCCTAAATTATAGGGGAAAGGGAGAAGGAGACAGGTTTCTAAGGAAGAACAAAGTTGCTTTAGGAAAGACACATGGGCTTTTAGCAGGACAAATGGGAGATGAGAAAGTGAAGGATAGAGTTTGTTTATGCAGATGTGAGTGTTCATCATGGTCACAAAACTCCCCTGGAGAAGGAATTCATAGCAGGTTTATTCTGGATCTCTCTCCTGGGAGGAGAAGCCACCTCAAAGAGGGAATTAGGGCACTTCTCACCTCTTAGAAGTTTCTTTTAGTGAGATGAGAGAAGTTCTAAGAAGGTTTCTTTCTGCATCTATTAAATCTTTCTTACATGACTTCAGCTTAAAAGAATCTTCATACCGACTCTGGGGTTCCCAGGGGTTCCCCACCCTGTTTCCCTGGATCCAAAGCCCTGGAGACTCCCCTTCAGGGATGGTCTTCTGGGTCCTGCTCCAGGTGTCAGCCAGGCAGTGCTGCGATTTGACCAGACACCCAGAGGTCAGGCCAGGAAGGAGAGGGAGGCAGGTGCTGAGGAAGCCAAGATTTGTCCCACAAGACACCGCTATACCAGACCCCTTTCTACCTTTAAGCAGAAGAGAGGGTGAGGGTGAACGGGGGAATCTATCTTTGAACAAGGGGCAGGGGACCACTTTTGCAAGCCCAGAGAATTAGGTGGAATCTGGCGTTTAAAGACTTCAGATGCACCTGCCCAAGTATTTCCCCCCCAAGGCTTGGGGTCCCCTCCCCGTGTCTCAGACCCTTGACTTCAGCCCCAAGACAGCCTGTTTTCCTCTTTGAAGGTGTAGCTGCCCACTTCTAGCCTTTACAACCACTATTCCCATGACCTTCCAGCCACTGTGCCTCCCTCCACTGCCACCTACCCACTCACCCAGCTGAGGGGAAGCTCCCTGGACACTGGGGCTGAGAATCTTCTCATCCCAGGTGCTGGGACCCTCAGGGCCACCCAACTGGCAGGGATCCCACCTGGACAGGGTCTCATCTGCAGAGTCTGCTTCCTGGGACCCCTTCCCTAGACCCACAGCCTGAGAGACGGATTCTCATGGCCAGTCTATTGAAAAGATGAGTGGCAATGGGAGGGGGCCTTGAGCAAGCCGGGGGCTGTGGGGAAGGAAAGAGCCGAGACAGCCTCTGCGTGTGGTCACACCACTGCGTTGCCCCTCGCTGAGGAAAGGGGCTGTGGCTGTACCCCACATCAGGCAGTGAGGCCCTGGTTGTAGGCTGGGAGTAAGTGGTCACTTCTGGAGGCTGCCATTAGGCCCAGAACACTGCTCCAGGTACAGGGATCCGGGTGGGGCCACCTCGGCACGCACCTGCCCTCATGTGGGCAGCCCTGATTCCTGGGACAGGGCTGAGGTTCAGCTTTACGGCAGTTGGAGGAGCTGCCCCCCTCTGCCCCCACTCCCCACCAGCTATTGCAAAGCTGAACGCCTACAGGGCCAGGCAGGAAGTACAGAGTGCGCCAGCCCCCGGGGACTCTGTGAACTGCAGTGTGAGCAACTCCCCTACACTGGGAAGGCTTGGCCCAGGGCACTGGACTGGTCAGATCCGGCTGACTCACAGGTCACCAGTCTGCAACCTTTGCCAAACACTCTCACTCCATCCCGCTACCCGGAGCCAGTTGGCATCACCTTGGCCATGCCAACATTCCAGGGTAGAAGTTAGCATTTCCAAACCCAGTTCATCGGCAGAATTGCTTGAGACACTTTCTTTAGACTGTCTGGATTTTCTTCTCTTTTTTTTTCTGGAATTTTTTAAATTTCAGAAGTAACGCATAGTTGATTTCAGAAGGTCAAGCGTGAAGGAAGAAGCAGCTACGGGAACATTTTGCAGCTGAAAGCCTGTCCCCCACAACCTCTGTAGGGCAGCTGCAGATGCCTCACACAAGTCAGTCCATTCCGAAGCAGGACTTTTGGGATGCGGCCGTGCTCTTGGATGGTCCACTCAGTGCTCTCTCTCACCCTCTCCAGGATGTGCTGAGAAATGGTAGCCTTGGGAGACACCCACTGTGAGGACCTGTGGCTCTAGAGCCAGGTGCTCTGAAGGAAAACAGCAGAAAGGGATGCAAGAGTGGCACGGGCTGGGTGGGCACGGCCGTCCCTTTGGGGCTGCCTCTTTAGGAGGTGGGAGAGGGCTGAGGCCAGCGGGGAGAAGGAGTCAGCTTCACCCACGGTGCTGGGAAGGGCAGAGGGAACAGCACGGTGCAGCCAGGCAGGGATCCCCAACGTCACTGTCAGGTGTGAGCCCCAAGGTGCCCAATGTCACACTGCTGGGAACTGAGCCTCCACAGGCCCTTCTCTAAACCTGCATCCTTCTCTGTTGCACTGGAGATCCAGGAGATGAAGATAATTAGTATTATTAGTGGGTAGAGACAGGGGTCTCACCATGTTGCCCAGGCTGGTCTCAGACTCCTGGGCTCAAGTGATCCACCTGACTCGGCCTCCCAAACTGTTGGGATTACAGGCATGAGCCATGGGGCTCGGCTGCCAGGAAATAATTTATATATAAATCTCTCATGGGCCACTGTGTAGCACCTGACATGTTGGTGCTCACCTCAAATTCTCAACATCCTTATCACGTGGAGACACTGAAGTCACTAAAACATCCCTTGGGGGTGCTTGCCAGGGACTCGGGGGACGGAGGAAAGGGGGGTTGCTTTACATGGACACAAAGTTGCAGTTTTGCAAGATGAAAAAGTTCTGGAGGTTGTTTGCACACCAGTGTGAATATACTTAGCACTACGGAATTGTGCATCTATGATTGGTTAACATAGTACATTTTATTTATGTATATTTACCAAAATTGTGTGTGTGTGTGTGTGTGTGTGTGTGTGTGTGTGTGTGTGTGTGATAGAGTCTCGCTCTGTTGCCCAGGCTGGAGTGCAGGGGCGCGATCTTGGCTCACTGCAACCTCTGCCTCCTGGATTCAAGTGATTCTCCTGCCTCAACCTCTCTAGTAGCTAGGACTACAGACGCACGCCACCACACCCGGCTAATTTTTGTATTTTTAGTAGAGACGGGGTTTCACCGTGTTGGCCAGGTTGGCCTCAAACTCCTGACCTCAAGCGATCCGCCCACCTAGGCATCCACAGTTTTTTTTAGTTTCTTGGAGAAGTGGGCTGGGGCCTCCTGATCCCATCTCAGTACCATACTCCATTCCATTCACATCATGAGGATGGATCATATGATGAGGATCCCATCAGATCCTCCTGATCTCAATACCATACTCCATTCCAGCCACATCAGTCTAACCCATAAAACAAGGGAGGAGATGGCAGCTCAAATAAGCCAACAAGCCTGAGCTTTTGCACCATCCCCGCAAGGAGGAATGCCATCGTCCCTTAGGATGCAAAGTTTCTGGGCTCCTACAAAAGCCTCTGTCCCCAGAGGACTCTCTTGGCTTCCCGCCCTTGTGGAGGGTCCCGGGCATCACCCCAGGACCTCTGTCAAGAGCCAGGGCTCCCAGGCTCATGGTGGTCCAGTGGCCCCCTGCAGTTGTGGCTGGGACACTCTGCTGCGTGATGCAGCTGGCGTTCGGTGTTTGTAGCAATGGGGTCAGCCTTGCATGGTCCCTAACCTCCCCTGGGGACTTACAAAGTCTCTGGTCCCACATGGCATCTGAGATCTGCTTCCTAACTGAGGCAGCTTCAATTTAGCTTCCAGGTTCAGTGGCCCTGCCGTGGGACAGGGGCTCACCTACAACAGTGGGTGGAGCAATCTGCAGCAGGATAGAAGGAGGAGAAAAAACTAGAAGCTGAGAATGAATGGACCCCAATGCAGCAAAATGCTACTGGTAATTGCATTAACATAGATAATAGCCTGTAGTCATTCATTCACTCCTTTTTTCTTTCTCTCATTCCACAAATATTTATGGGGCTCCTCCCTATGCACAGCACTGTGTTATGCACTGCAGACTTGAAGGTCCATGCATCTGTGATGTCTACTTCCCTGAAGCTGGCATCCTCCAGGTGGAGACGGACAACACACCAGTACCCAAAATGATGGCAGGTTCTGTGCCGTCAAGAGAGTCAACATGGTGAGGACGTCGGGTGCAGCTGCTGGGGACGGGGCATGGCAGCCCATCTTTGGGTCCGGTAGTCAGGAAGGCCTCTCGGAAGAGGTGATATTGGATCTGAGATCCGGAGGGTGAGAGTGATCTTTGGAGGGGCCGCCCATGCTCAGGAAAGAGCAGAGACAATGATCATGTCATCTAGTATTTCAGCCCCTGTTCATCTAGCTTGGCTAACAAATCACCTTGTGATATATGGTTTGGCTGTGGCCCCACCCAAATCTCATCTTCACTTGTAGCTCCCATAATTCCCACATGTTGTGGGAGGGACCTGGTGGGAGATAATTGAGTCATGGGGTTTTCCCCCACACGGTTCTTATGGTAGGGTCTCATGAGATATGATAGTTTTATAAGAGGAAGCCCCTTTCACTTGGCTCTCTTTCTCTCTCTTCGCTGTCACCATGTAAGACCTGCCTTCACCTTCTGCCAAGACTGTGAGGCCTCCCCAGCCACATGGAACTGTGAGTCCATTAAGCCTCTTTTTCTCTATAAATTACCCAGTCTCAGGTGTGTCTTTATCAGCAGCATGAGAACAGACTAACACACCTTGCCAGTGTTTATCCTTAGAGGTGCATTCCTTTGCACCAGTAACGGAACCATTGATATTTAGAGGATCAAAGATGCAACCAGGAGTGGTGGCTCACGTCTGTAATCCCAGCACTTTGGGAGGCCAAAATGGGAGGATCACTTGAGGTCAGGAGTTCGAGACCAGCCTGGCCAACATGGTGAAACCCTGTCTCTACTAAAAATACAAAAATCAGCCCGGGGTGGTGATAGGCACCTGTAATCCCAGGTACTCAGAAGGATGAGGCAAGAGAATCGCTTGAACCTGGGAGGCAGAGGTTGCAGTGAGCCGAGATCGCACCACTACACTCCAGCCTAGGTGACAGGGTGAGACTCTGTCTCAACAACAACAACAAAAAGATGCAATTGTAATGAGCTCTGTGTAGTCTATGAGCCCCCAAACACTCACGTTTGCCAGGTGTGTGTGTCACCACAAGATGGGGCACAGGGGCTGCCCTGGCAGGAGGGTCACTTGGAGAAGGAGTAAGCCCTGTGGAGGATCCAGTGTTCATCCACCCTGGGGCTAGGCATGAGAGGGTCCTCCAGGAGAGGCTGCACACAGAGGAGGAAAACCTGCAGGGCTGACTTGAAGCCGGGACACTTAAGGAGAAGCCCCAGTGTTCACACTGTAAAACCAGCCAGGACACTGGCAGGAACACTGTCTGGGTGTTCGGGAACTTCGCATTTCCAGCCAGCATGTGAAGGCGCGTTCTTCCACTTTAAGGTCCGCTGCAGAAGTGGCAAAGCCATGTGCCTTGAGCTCTGCTCACAGGAAAGAACACGACAAAGCTAAGGGGACTTCACAAGGGCTGTGTCAAAAGAGGTTCACTTCCCTTCTGTCAGACGCGGGGCAAAGGTCGGGAAAGTGTGCTGCTGTGACTCACTGCATGTCTGTAGCTGATGCCCAAGCCCTCTTGTTTGTTTCAATGTCTTCATGCAGAGATTGACTTTTTAAAATCAAAGGGACCAACATGTCTTCTCTGAAATCCGCAGGGCCAAGGTGGGTATAATTGCTTACGGGGGAACCTGACAGTGCCCCTCAGCAGTTCTGATTCTAAAAACTGTCACACGCTGGGGGTGTCACCCGCAGAGGGAGGGGGTTCTTGTTTATCCAGCAAGCGTGTGAGTACGGGCTTAAATCGTGACGACCACCTCTCCAGCAGCTTGACAGTCCCCCACTGGCAAACTCCTTGAATTTTCTGGAGGTCAGGTAAGTCTATAAAATATCACAGAAACAGCAGGTGCTAAATCAGAGGAGGTGACAAGAGGCCGGAAGGGTTTCTGGCTCTTTAACTCCCTTCCAGCAAAAGGGTCTTGCGATCCCTCCACCAACTTCAAGATATGAAGATAACTCCTCAGAAGGAAGCCCCTGGGTCCGGTCGTGGAGGCCCAGTGTGCTGAAGCTGTGTAGTAAGCCACTCAGACGGGAGATTTCCAACGCCAGGTTCAGCTGCGGCTCAGACGACCCATGTCTAACCCGACCGGGTGCTGTCAGCCCCTCCCAGCCCAATCTGCTCCTTCTCCTTCCTGGATCCACCCTGGAGCTCCGTTGTTTGATTGTTTTTGGCAGGGGACAGCCAAACAGCTCTGTGAATGAGGCATATCCTGAACATTTTCAGTTTTGTGGGCCATGCTGCGCTCTGTCACGCGCCTCTGCTGTTGTCGTGGGAAAGCAGTCCTCAACAATGTGTCAATGAACCGTGGGGCTGGCTTTCAACCCAATGCTATGTTCAGAAAGGGGCAGCGCCCGGACCCAGGCTTACAGGATTAAACTGACTCATCTGGGGCCGGCATGGAATGTGAGAGGGAACTTGCCTCACCCACGGGCCCCCATCTCCCCATGAGCAGACATGCTGGGACAGAGGGGGGGCTTCATGCTGTGGCTTCCAGGAGCCCCTGCAGGCTCAGACAGGGCTGGGGGAGCCCAGCGGATCATGTGGGGCCGCCTTCGGTCTATCAGCATCTTCGCAGCTTCCTCTAAAGAAGGCAGAGCTGTTCTGCTAAAGGCAGGCAAACAGTGCAAAAGCTGCCGGCCTCGATGCTCTTTCGGTCCGCAGATGGCTTCTGTGACTGCACCTAAGCAGTGGCTGCTTGGACAGGGTCCTCAGACAGCCTTTGTGATTTTGCACATAAGCAGCGGCTGCTTGGATGGAGCGCTGTCGCTGGGCTGACCGATGTCGCTGGCGGGAGCCCTTGCCCCAGGTTTTCCCTGTCTTCTGAGTGACAGCCCCCAGGGTCCTTGTCAGCCTTCTGGGGAGGCTCCCTCCCTGCTCTGCCTTAGTTCCGGAGCACAGGGAACCACCAGGTTGCATGGCCCCTTCCAGGCTGGTATGTGGGCAGCCTAGCAGCACCTGCTTCAGGTCCCTGTTGGAACTTGGCACACAGTGGGTGGGTGGCGGGGGGAGGTTTACAGGTTACCATGGGGTCCTGGGTGTCCTGGCAGCAGGCCTGCCCCACCCATGAGTGGACCCCAGCTCCCTCTGGGGTCGAGAAGCCCGTGTCCTCACAGCACAGCCCCTCTGACAGTCAAGGAAGAGGTCTCGTGAGCCGGGTCGTGTGTTTACAAACAGCACTGGCATCTTGTGGAGCAGTCACTAGCCTGGCTTACTTCCCGGGCAGGAGGGCTGATTGTGAGGCCCAGTGGTCCCAGTGGTTGGCCTGGGGTTTGCTGGCTGGTGTTCACAGCTCCAGCTGGAGTAGCTCAACCTCTGCAGAAGATGGGAGAAGGGTGGCACTGGGATCCTCAGTGTCCACTGGGGAGGGCTGCCCAGGAGACCTTGGGTGGCGTCAGGTCATCACTGCCCTTCCATCCAGGGCACAAAGCTGCCTGGAGACTGAGCACCGCCTGAGGCTGGCACGAGGGCTGGCCTCACACACGTGACACTCCTCACACATGGCACCCCTCACACACGGCACTCCTCACACACACGGCACTCCTCCTCACACACATGGCACTCCCCATGCATGTGACACTCCTCTCCTCCTCACACACACATGGCACTCCTCATGCACATGGCAGTCCCGACCCCACCAGAAAGGCATCGAGACTCCATCTTACCCTCAGGGAAACTGGCACTCAGTGAGGCCCAGGGCCAGGCTGCACTGCAGCTGAGGGCTGGAGATCTACACACCCGAAGGCTTTGCTTTCCTCCTCGCGCTCCATGGCCTCCAGTTGGGGCACCCATGGACCACCTTGCTCCCAAGCCAACCTGATGTGGGGAAGCAGCAATGGAGAAAAGAGAATAGACTGGCAACAGGAAGACTTCCCCAAAGGACCCGGAGGGGCCTCTCTGGGAGAAGCACCCTTCCCTTCCGGGGCTGTATCTGAAGGGGAAGTGCTCTCTTAGCTGCACCCTCCACCATCCCCTGTGGGCCGCAGGGAGGTGGGGCTCCTGCCTGGGCTGCTTCCCCCAAGGGAAAGCATCTGATAAGGTCATAACAGCCCCTTCTCCAGCCTCTCCTGGGGAGCTCCAAGGATGACCTCACCTCTGCACTACCTATGAGTCAAGGAAACGGGCACAGCCTCTCATTCTAGAAGAGGGAAGAGGCAGAAAGGGGAAGCACATGGGTTAATGGCGGGACCCAGGCCTTCGAGACCTCCCCAGGCACAGCTGACCCCATCCTGGTTTTGATGACTGATTGACAAGCATTCATTCATTCAACATGCTTTGCTTGGGGACAGACACCAGATTCATCAGATGGGACTGGGGGTGGATTTGGGGTGGGGCCAGCTCACGGAGAGCCTTGGTTTCCAGGGCATTTGGATGCTTTTCTGTAAAGAGGGGCACTCCGTGAACATGTGTGACCAGAGCTGGGCCTGGGCAAAGGCATGAGTTTTAGCCCTGGGGGTACAGGAGAGCCAGCTGGAGGGGAGGGGGCAGCCCCCACCAGAAGCAGCCTGGGGTTCGGGAGGAGATGTGTTGTTATAAAGTAGGACTTCCTGAACCTTTTGTACCACAGATGCTGCTCAGAGTGTTTCAAAATAGCATGTAGGATTCCAGAGGAAACTAATGATGTTAAAACACATTTGCCAGACTTCAAAAAACAAAGTTAGATATGATAGTATCTGAGCTCTCTATGAGCACATTTCATTGCAAGACTGGGCATGGGATCTAGTGACCATCACACTTTTACCACCATGATGAGTGAAAACATCACTTCTAGACAGCAGCAACACCTGAGATGCAATATGAACCTTTCTGTGACTTCAGCTGGGAACAAAGTCACTTGCTAGCCAGGAACGCCATTGCAAGTGGTTTACTTTCAAAATAGAAGGAAATTCTAAACTTCACTTAAAGGTTGGTAAAAATGAGATGCAATTTTTTTCTCCTGATTTTTTTCTCAAGGGAAGATGCTCTGTAGAAAACTTTGAGAAGGTCAGGGGCATGAGAAGCCCTGAGATCAGCCAGAAGCTGATGCCTGAGTATCGGGGTACAGGGGGAGCCACGAGGGTGGGACCCACAGCATTGGCATGGAAGTGAGGAGGCTCCTGAGACCAGTTAGTTCTCCCCGGACTGTCCCAGTGAGGAACCCAGGACCCAGGTGACCAAATGATCAGTGGGCATCAGAAGTAGGATGGAGACTGGCCCTGGCTCACAGCGCCATACTTACCCGAGAGAGACCCTGGGGGCAGACCCCTGGGCGAAACTTCCCAGGACAGCCAGACGTGGAGCAGCCAGCAGGTGCTTCCAGAAGAAATGAACATTCCAAGCCAAGGCACCTCCCGCCAACACCACCCCCCAAGGCGCTAAGGATGCCCAGAGCCACTCCATCTTGGGGGCGCTGTCATTTGGTTTCAGAAAACCACATTCTGTAGTGGGTGCCAGGGTGTCCTCAAGACTTCTGGGCTCTGGCACTCGTCATCTGGACTCCTTTTCAAAGGAAAATGCCCCAGGCGAGGTGGGGCTAGCATCTGCCCCTCACCCTGCGGCCAGCTGGGCGGCCCCACCCAGCCTGGCTCTAAGACCTGTGCCCCCACCCCTGGAGCCTCTGTCCTGTTTCACAGAATCCTCACAGCCACCCAACACTGCCCATGCCTACAGCACTGCATGCCCCCAACATAGCACCCCTTGCCCTACACCCACACACAGGTAGAATGTGGGGTCTTCAGGGTGTTGGAGGAAGGGAGGGGAGACTTGCAGAGGTGGGGGATCTGAGCCCCCATGCAAATATTCCCTACCCCCTGACCTCCCCCAACCTTTTACCCCTTCTGTGATCCCCAGACTGCAGGCGGCAGGATCCTCCACCCCAGCCCCCACCCCCACTGGCTTGCCTGAGCTGGGCGGCCCCGCGGTCTAAGCATTAGAGCGACCTACCTGTCTCATCTTGCCGGAAAACTGGGGATAATAACGCTTACCTCACAAGGAAGGTGTGGGGATTAATGACTTAATGCTGCTTAGCGCCCCTGTGGGTCTGCTGAGCCAGCCAAGGAGGGCCGGCTGCCCTGGGACCGGAGCCCAGCACTTGGGACTTCCGGGGCCCTGTAGGAGCCGGGGTCCTGGCGAGCACTCCCCAGGCCTCACCCCCGGCCCAACCAATCCATGGCCACTGAGTTTTCCAGCCCTGAGAGTTCGGTCAGTGCTGGCTCTGACTTTGGGGATTTTCTGAGGAATGTTTCATTCAGCCCCATCTAGAACATCCCTGGCGTTGGAGCAGCAGAATGCTAAGATGGGCTGGCTCAGTCTGGGAGCCATGAGCAGAGGGAGGAGGAGGCCTGCGGTGCTTCCACGCGGGGCCTGAGATGCTTGGAGCTCAGAGCAGGTGAGAGTCCAGATCCCCAACGTGGTGAGATTCTGGGGTCCAAGCTCAGCACCCCCTCCCATGGAACATCCTGCTGCATCTCAGCCACACATCTAGAGGGCAGGCGGCAGGAGGAAGCCCCTTCAGGATGACACAGCCCCCCATGGGGCCTCTGGCTTGTCTTCTATGGAAGAGTTGCTCCCCTGACCTGAGAGCCAGAAAATTACACTCGAGCAGCCGGCTCGGGGACCTCCGGGACCCTGGTGACCGCAGCAGGCCCAGCACCAGCATTCATCAGCTACTCCCAGGTGTTTGTCAGGTCAAAGGAGAACAAAGCTCCCACGAAAGAAAATCAGGTCTCCTAGACACACCCCACCCACCACCAGAGCATCTCTCCCCTCACCCTGCCCTTCCCATCGTGACCTGCAGGGTGGCCAGGGTCCCCCACCAGAACGCAGCTCATCCCTCAATGATCATCCACACACTAGGGGCTTAAACTATAGAAATGTATTTGCTCACAACTCTGCAGGCTGGAGGTCGATCCCAGGGGCTGCAGGGCTGGTTCCTGAGGCCTCCCTCCCTGGCTTATCAATGGCATCTTCTCCCTCTGTGTTCTCACCTCCTCTTTTTATAAGAACATACGTCTGTGTTCTCACCTCCTCTTTTTATAAGGACACCAGTCTGATTGTATCAGGGCCACCCTCATGACCTGGTTTTACCTTAGTCACCTCTGTAAAGACCCCATCTCCAAATACAGCCCCATTCCAAGGCCCTGGGGGTTGGAGCTCCCACACATGGACTTGGGGATTGATTCAGCCCACAGCAATCCCCAGCAGAGCCCTACACATCCTTCAAGGAGAGCAGGAAGTCCGCTTCCTCCATGGGGAGAGGCGCCCCTGCAGCCTCAGCAACGTCCGTTTAGACCTGCTGGGCATGAAAACGGTGGGGCTGGGTGCTGGGTGTCTAGGGAGGAATCAGGCAGCACACCCGCCCTTGAGGCCTCCATTCATCCCGGGCTATCTGTTAGCACACACTCCAGGTGCTGGACCACAGCGGTGAAGGACCTGCGGCCTCCACAGCAAGCTCTCCCGGATTGGCCTGCGACTCCGGGAGCACTGGGTCGCGTCCTACAGTTCTCAGAATCTCCCAGCCAGGGCCTGCGTGCGGGGCGTGCCCGGCTGGTTCTGTTGACCGAGGGTCAGCACGCAGGTGGGCAGGTGGCTTCCCAGCACCAAGAAGAGGTGAGTCCAGCAGGTCATCTGCCAGGTTACTGCAGCAACAGGAGGTGGAGGGGGACAGGGAAGGAGGCGAGGGAGGCGGCCGGTCCTCCATCTCTGCCGTCCACCCACCATGCCCTGGTAGGATCACAACATGGCCAGCGTGAGCCGGCCACCCTTCTGAGTGAGCATGTGTCCCGTGAGCCTGAGAAAGAGCCCCAGAGTCTCCCAGGCAGAGGCATGGGGTGCATAGGGATATGGGGTGGGCCAGTTTGCTCCTCAGACCAGAAGGGGTGCAGGATTCCCCCCGATCAGGATCTTGGAGAAAGGTGTGGACAGAGGAAGGGAGGGAGGGAGAAATGGCAGCTGCCCTGCAGTGGGTCCAGAAAACCCCCAGGCTGGGCTACATTCTGCCTTGGGAGGTGGAAGTCAGATTTGGGTGTTTTTTTTCTTTATTTGCCTTTCTTTCCTTTCCTTTTCTTTCTTTCTTTCTTTCTTTCTTTCTTTCTTTCTTTCTTTCTTTCTTTCTTTCTTTCTTCTTTCTTTCTTTCTTTCTCTTCTTCTTTCTTTTTTTTCTTTCTTCTTTCTTTCTTTTTTTTTAAATGAAGCCAAAGATTGAAATTGACCTTCAAATGAGAGCAGGCAGTTCCCAGAAGGTCCAGTTTCTTTTAAGTAATTTTGTTTTGGTGAAAAGAAACCAGCACTTATTACATACTGTCTTAGGAGGTGGGGTACCCACAGCTGTGCCCTAAGTCAGTGGCAGCTACCCAGAGACTCTGAAGATGGAGGCTTGGAGTAAAGCTCTGTCCTGACAGAGGATGGGCATTCTGTCTGTCTCCTTCTCAAGACCGTCTTTCCTTTGGGGGTGGAAAGTTATCAAATCAATCCTCCCCAAGCCAGGGTAGGTAATGAGACAGCAGGCAAAACTGCCTGGGGCACCCAGGCCTGGAACTGTGAGCAGAGAGATTTTTGTGTTCCCAGAGAAGCAGCAGCAAGGCTGAGACAGAACTCCAGCTCAGGTAGGAGGGAGCCTGCACCTGCAGGTGGTGCCAGCCGTGTCTCGGGCACAGACCCCTTCCTTCTGCTGGGAGGGCCCTCAACATCTGAGGGTCTTACAGTCAGGTGCCTGCTGTGGAGGTGAGCGTTCTGGAGTAATGAAGGCTTGCATTTATAGAGAACTCTCAGTTCTCATGCCAGATCCTGTGGGGGTTTGGAGAGGAGGCAGGGAAGGGTTAGTTGGCTATTAGCATTGAGGAAACTGAGTCACAGCCAGGTTAAAAGACTTCCCTGGGGCATGAAAGGATTACAGCTAGAGAATGGAGCTCAGATTTCCGGGCAGTGCGTCCTGTCCCGTGCACTGGTCCATGGCATGGCTGAAACACTTACAGAGGCTTCCAAAGGGCAGGGACAGTTTGGCACAAGGAGGACGGTAGTGGAAGCCACAGAGCACCCGAGAAACCACTGCTGGGGCAGGAAAGGGAACCCCATTTCCTGAGTCCCGCCCAGGGAGCTGCTGGGGGCCGGCTCACTAACCCAGGAGTGAGGTCATGCCGGCAGCATCACGGTTCTTATCTTTTCTCTCTGATCCAGGACCTGGCCTGTGGGTCCTTCTGAGAGGCTGCCCTCAAGAGCAGGTATGAGAGTGAGTGAGTGCACAGCCTGAATCCGGCTCAATGAAGACAAAGATGATGGTGAGAAAAGTGTCCATGAGCCCTTGGAGAAAACCCTCTCCAGCAAGAGGGACACCTTAGCCACCTGTGGCCTGGCCCGGATCACCTGAGCAGGCCACTGCCAGAGGCCGCGCGGGAGAGGACACGGCTGGCCTGGGCCCCACAGCCCTGCTGGGCGGCAGAGCTCCGGGTCACGGGCCTCACCAAGGTGGACAGAGACCGTCTTCCAGCAGACAGACCTGGTCCAGATGACCCGAGCAACTGGGTGCTAGTGCAAGCGTTACAGGAGGGAATGGGGGTGCGGAGCCCTGTGCGCCAGAAACCTTACAGAACCAGCTCCCGGGGGCCTGCGGATTCACCCCAAAGCCAATGAGGCCCTCCTGACCCAAGGGGAAATGGAGAAACTGAGGCAGGACGGAGCTGACTCCAACCACCCCCTACTTCTCTCTCTGTCTCTCTCACACATACACCACACACAGCACTCCCTCACACACACAAACCACACACACACCACAAACACCACATATACACCATGCATACATATGCCACACACACACACACCATGCACACATATACCACACACAGCACACACACACACAAACCACACACACATCATACACACATATACTACACACACCATATGCAAACTACACACACACACCACATAGACACCACACACATACAGACCACACACACACACAGACCACACACACACCACACACAGACATAAGATGACACTTAGACACACACACTCACTTGTACAAACAGAAGTGGGCGTCCACAGTGTGGGGCTGTATTTTCTTTTCCTTTCTAGGAAGGGGATGCGGCTAATTTGTGTGTGTCTTCCCAGCGGCCTGCAGGCACCCCACCCGTTACCCCCACCGCCCCCCACCCCCTGCTGTCCTCCCCAGGGCCGGGGCCACCACAGGAAGCCAGCCCATGCGGAAGCCATGGAGAGCAGGAGCGGTGGGGCACCGGGCAGCGAACAGACGGGATCAAGAGGCTGAGCGTGTGACCCCAGGGAAGACAGTTCACATCAGCTGTGCCTCAGTCTCCCAGGCACCGAAGTGATGGTCAGGCCTGACTGCGGCTGGTGATGCCACCCCCGTGCTGAGGGGCAGAGCCCCTGGGGCAGGCCCACTGCAGGTCCACAGCGAGACGGGGAGATGCGCCCGGCCAGCCTGTGGGGACAGAAGCAAGAGCGGGAGGACAGCAGGGCCGGCGGTTCATGGCCATAGACGGGACAAAACAGCCTCAAACAAAATGGGTGTGGCTGACAGAGATACTGGACACAGGAGTCCTCGAGTCCAGAGCCTACACCTGCCAAATGCCCAGCTCACTGGGCACCACAGACATGATGAGGACACCACTTCTCATGCTAAAAATCAGCAATGGAAGGAAGTCATGAAACCGTCTTCTGTTCTTCCATAGACAGTCTCTTGCAGGGTTAAAACATAGCCCAAGTTGCTGTAGGTCAGTTCTTCCTACAGGGAATTCAAGCTGATCAATATGGAAGAAATTACAGAATTAGAAAACCCCATTTTGCAAAATAATTGAGATGCAATGAGCCTCAGCAGGTGGCATCGTTGGGTGACAGTTGGTGAGAAGGGCAGCTCTCCCTGCTGCCCTGGCACCTGCACTGCAGGTCTGCCTCTGCCATGGTCTCGCCTGATAAAGTGAACAGGAGGCACAAGTCCCCACTGGAACACTGGCTACCTCTGAAAGAAGGCCAGCAATCAGCCGTTCCTCCTTTTCCTATCACTAAAGCTTCTCTTCCAAGGACAACACGAGGAGCTCCCTGGAAAAACCAAAGGCACCCAGACACAGTGGCTGGGAGCAGGGGAGCCCCTTTAGTCTTGGTGGGTTTGGCGGGAGGAGCATTTGACGCTGCCACTTCTTCTGCCCAGTGGGTGAACCAGCGGCTGTGCTGTGGCCTGAGTCCAGGCCAGAAAGATGTAGAAAGCTATGAGGGCACTAGTTGGCAAGGTCAGTGGGAAGCAGCTGGAAATGACAAGTTGGGCGCTGGGAGATTTGTTCAGAATGTGGAGACTGAGCTGTGCCAACAGAGTGCGTGTAGAGAGGTGCCTGACCACGCTGCCGCAACGGGGTCCTTCTGTATTTCATGGTGTGGCTCTAATTCTCTCAGCATTTAGCAATGCATTTTTATATTCGTAATAAGACCTTTGGGCCACGGTGAGCTAAAAAATAAAATGAAAGTGCATGTGAAATAAGAAGTTAACTTATTGGATTTCTGTTCCTCCAGAAAGTTGATTATGATGTCTACTTACACAAAATGTTTGTGAACATTTACCATTTGCGGTAAATGCAGTGACATCACCAAGCACATGAAAAGCAGAAGAAACAGCAGCATCAACCTCAAAAGCTGGTAACTCTTTTCAGGCAGCCAAAGACAGTGACTGACGCCTGCAGCCGTGTCACTCGGGGACTTTTCTTGTAGATCAAATGTCAGTGCTCATTAATTTCCTTCTTTGTCAACTTTGAGTTTTCTTATGAATTTACTCGATGACGTGATAGCTGTTATTGTGTTACCTCCATGAGCCCAATTTCACAAGACAGTTAAGTGATATGGATGTAATATGTGTATTATCAGATGCTTCCAACAGAAAAGCTCATTCAGTTAATTTGAATAATGACTTAATTTTTATTCAAATCATTAAATAAATGTAAAGCTTTTATTAAAAACAATTATTATTGTTTTAATTATTAGCAATTATTAAAAGCAAGTTTGCAAACAGAAAGACTATTTAAATTTCTTACCACAAAAGAAAGAGAGAAACTGAATAAAACGCATAATGTCTACCCAAATAGTGTATGAGAATAACTTTGGAATTCTAAAATTGCTTCTTGGAGCATCTCAATTTATGAAACAGATTTTTGCTAGAGCTCATATTTTAATAGTATGTATGTTTATTATATATGAGAATGGAATGAAATTGAAAAGGCCTGTGATTTTTAGCACATAAATTTGATAAAACATTCAAAGGAATTATACATGAAAAAAGCCTATTTGACTCATTTTGCCCTATAAAGACATTTATGAAAGACTTTGGATTGAACTCAGAACACAGGACCTGTGACAATATCTGGGTGAAATATTGACCTTTTCATTAGAAAATACTGAGACTGTCTTCCCCTGAGCAGAGTCAGCTCAGATCTTACCTCTACAGCTGCTCATTCATCTGACAACCTCAGGGTCTACAGAGAAGATTCCACTTAGCTGGTCGGCAAACTCAAATTCATTAGCCACAAAAATGTCTTCTTGGAGAGGATTCCAGGCAATTTTATGAAAGATTAAAATAAGGCAATTCTGAAAATAGCACATTCTTCTGAAAAATGCCACTAATGGCAATAGAAACAAATAAGGCTTAAAAACTGATTGAAGAATGTGAATAGGTATCAAGAAAAATTATTCAGGCCGGGCACGATGGCTCACGCCTGTAATTCCAGGACTTTAGGAGGCCAAGGTGGGAGATCTCTTGAACCCAGGAGTTTGAGACCAGCCTGGGCCACATAGGGAGACACTATCTCTATAAAAATAAAAATGAAAAAATTAGCTGGGCATAGTGGTGCATGCCTGTGGTCCCAGCTACTCGGGAGGCTGAGATGACAGAATTGCTTGAGCCTGAGAAGTCAAGGCTGCAGGGAGCTGAGATCACGCCCCTGCACTCTAGCCTGGGCGACAGAGCTGGACTATGTCTCAAAAAAAAAAAATAATAATAATTATGCTTGTAATTGCTTTTTAATATCCAGATAATCAATACAACAAAGAAGGCATTTGTTTTTTGCTTTAATGTAAACATATGTTATTTTTTACTTTTTGAAAGAGCATTTAATTTTTTCTCTCCAATTACAATTTTCACTTTACTAGAAACAAAAATTACACACCCCTAGAGTATTTTCCCCTTGTCCTTATATACCAAGATATTTCAGTGGAAATTTATTTTTCTTCAGCTTCATTGAGTTATAATTTATATCCAACAAAATCCACCTATTTTAATTTAGCAATTGGTAGCTGTAGTGTAACCATCACCACAATCAAGAAATAGAACATTTTCATCACTCTAAAAAGTTTTCTTTTGACCCTCCCCTGAGCCCTGACCCCAATTACTAATAATCTCGAAAGCATCGAAAGCATCTTTTAAACAACGTAATTGAGGTATAATTGCCATATAATAAACTATACATGTTTAAAGTGTGCAACTCACATGTGTTGACACATGTGCAAGTCTTGAACATGTGCTCAAGATGTTCAGCATCAACAACAAGATAGTCAGCATATGCCTCCTTCCATTGTGTGGTTATACTGCAGTTCCTTTATCCATCTCACCCATTGATGGACATTTGGGTTTTTTCTATTTGTAGCTATTACAAATAAAGCTGCTATGACTTTTGCTTATTTATGCAAAAGTCTTCACTTGGGCACAGACTTTTCTCTTGGATAAATACCTCGGAGCAGAACAATGGGGTCATGTGGTAGCTGTGTGTTTAATTGTCAAGAAACCGTCAGTTTTCTTTTTTCTTTCTTTTTTTTCTTTTTTTTTTGAGACAGAGTCTGGCACTCTCGCCTGGGCTGGAGTGCAGTGGCGCCATCTCGGCTCACTGCAGGCTCCGCCTCCCGGGTTCACGCCATTCTCCTGCCTCAGCCTCCCGAGTAGCTGGGACTGTTTTCTAAAGCGGTTGTACCATTTTACATTCCTAACCACAGGGTGTGAGAGTTCTGGTCTCTACACATCCTCGCCAACACTTGGTGTGGGAGCTCTTCTTGCAGTTATTCTAAGCTGCTTGTAGTAATAGCCACTGTAGTCTTAATTTGTGTTTCCTTAATGACTGATGCTGCTGAATCTCTTTTCATGTGCTATTTACCATTTCTATATGGTGGGTGAAGTATCTATTCTTTTCTCTTTTTTTTATTTTTATTTTTTGAGACGGAGTCTCACTCTGTCACCCAGGCTGGAGTGCAATGGCGCGATCTTGTCTCACTGCAACCTCTGCCTCCTGGGTTCAAGTGATTCTCCTGCCTCAGTCTCCTGAGTAGCTGGGATTACAGGCACCTGCCACCATGCCCGGCTAATTTTTGTATTTTTAGTAGAGATAGGGGTTCATCATGTTAGTCATGCTGGTCTCAAACTCCTGACCTCAGGTGATCCACCCACCTCAGCCCCTCAAAGTGCTGGGATTACAGGTGTGAGCCACTGTGCCTGGCCTATTCTCTTCTTTTTTTAAAAAATTAGGTTCTTTGTTTTCTTACTGTTGAGTTTCAAGCAATCTTTATCTATATGGCTACAAGTCATTTATCAGATGGGTGATTTGCAAGTATTTTCTCCTGTGGTTTGTCTTTTCATTCATTTATCAATGTCTTTCAAAAGCAGAAGAACCTCTTCACTTTGACAAAGTCCAATTTATGGTTTTAGTTTTTGTTTTTAAACATCGAATACTTTTGATGTTGTCTCTAAGAAATCTTTGCTGGCCGGGTACCATGGCTCACGTCTAGAATCCCAACACTTTGGGAGGCCGAGGCAGGAGGATGGCTTGAGCCCAAGAATACCAGCCTGGGCAAAAGGGCGAAACCCCATCTCTACAAAAAATACAAAAGAAATTAGCTCGGTGTGGTGGCAAGACCATGAGGGAGGGGCCGTAGGGAGACGCAGGGGCATAATGGCAAGTGGTTAATTCTAGCAGCCTAAGAGGTAAAGTAAACAGGAAACCGTTGAGGTGGTGTTCAGGGCCACAGGAGAGACTGGAACACTGGCCAAATGCTTGGCTCTGTTAGAGTGAGCAGAATAAAAGCAGGCCGGAAAAAGCAAGTCAGAACTTTGGCGATTTCTGTCACTATCAGGAGGCACTGGACTGCAAGTCACAGAATAAACTCATCCACCGTGACTTAAACACGTAGGGACTGTCCTTCTCCCATCACAAGAAGACTAGAGCCATGTCTCTGCTGGGGGCTTCTGAGGTTCACGTTGTCAGAGCCAGGATGTCAGCAGTTCTTGGATCTTTTGTCAAGGCCATCTCTGAGTCACCTCTGTCTGCAGGGGACTGTGGGATGGTGAGTGTTTAGCTCTCCATCCTCTGGATGGAAGCAGGCAGGGGAGAAGAAGGTTGGGGAGGGTGCTGGGTTAGCCACCCATGTCCACCCTGAGCATGCTGGGGGCCAGGCACGCAGCTTCTGCAAGACAAGCGTGGTCCCGAGCCCACCTGGAAATCTGGGAGCTGGCAAGTGTTCCCTGAATTCCTGCCTCCCTGCTTCTCCATCGGCAGCATTGCTCACCGCATTCTTGTTGTAACCTGTCTCGGCTGTGAGCTCTGGGCGTTTGCTTCCTTCCTGGGTAGCTGCCAGTCTGAATTATTTATGAACCTAAGGTACACACTGATGGCATTCCAACAAAGGCCACCAAAGGGAGCAGCCTGTCTGTAACCCTGAAGCTTAGCACACAGCGAAAAGGACTCAGATAAAACTGTAAGCTTCCTCTGCAGGGAAGAGGAAGGACTGGACTTCTCCAGGGCAGGCGGAGGCACCAGAAGCAAACCTGTTCCTGCTTCCCTCCGTTTTCCAGGTGCCTTAGGGTGACTGCGGTAACTGGGAGCTGAGCACTGATGGGCAATGGGGCAAGAACTGGGCCATGTGCCTCGGGGTCCCAGCACACAGGCCAGCCCCTGAGGGTAGGAACGAGAGCCCAGACTCTGGAGGCAGGCAGACCAGGGTTTATGCCCTGGCAATTCCTGATGGGGCCGAGGATCTTCACCTCTTTGTGCTTCAGTTTCTCTATCTGGCCAGTGGGGTTGCTGTGAGGATTAAATGCAGCCGTCCCTGTGTGGTAGATTGTTTGCAACAACAACAAAAAAATGGCCACAATTGTTCCACTCCCTGAGTTCACACCCCCTTGCAATGTGACTTAACAGCAACTCTCACGGAGAGGCGGAGTCTCTTCCACACCCTGGAATCTGGGCGGGCCTGTGACTCACGATGGCCAATAGAATGCCCTGCAAGTGACGTCATGCCCTTCCGAGCCTTGCAGCTTCTGCTGGTGGGAAGGCCGATGGCAGAGCCCAGGGAAGTTATGTAACGGGCCCAGCTAATGAGTGGCAGAGGCCAGAGGGCTTGGCCTGCAGAACTGTCTAAGGCCAGAGGCCGTCCATACACTCCGTCTCCTGAAGGGGAAGCGGGCTCTTCTCAGATGCACAGGGACAATGTGAAAATCCTGTCCTCAGATTGAGAGGCTGTTTCGTGGGCACCGAATTCGGGGTCAGGAAAGCAGCCTGCATCCACGAGTATCCTCGGGTTACTAAGTGGGGCCAGTGGCTCCAGGTGTAACCCATTTAAGTTTGCCAGACAGCCGGGATGTAAGGAATGCCCTAATGATTCCCCTTTCCCCCCCACGGAAAGTGGGCAGTGGGGTCTGGGAAGGGGTTTGGGAAGGGGTCTGGGGAGTGGGATGAGGTTGGGACTAACTCTTGTTGGCTTTCCTTACAGAAGGGGTAGCTGGAGTGTTTCAGGTCTATTTGCTTGTTTTGTGTTTTTCAATTTCGGGTTTTTTTTTTTTTTAAGACAGGGTCTTGCTATGTTGCCCAGGCTGGTCTAACTCCTGGATTCAAGCGATCCCTCCACCTCAGCCTCCCAAGTAGCTGGGACTACAGGCATGAGCACCTGCACCTGCTTGTTTTTTTGTTTTTTTGAGATGGAGTCTCACTCTGTCACCCAGGCTGGAGTGCAGTGGTGTGATCTTGGCTTACTGCAACCTCTGCCTCCTGGGTTCAAGCGATTCTCCTGCCTCAGCCTCCCAAGTAGCTGGGACTACAGGTACGTGCAACTATGCCCAGCTAATTTTTTGTATTTTTAGTAGAGATGGGGTTTCACTGTGTTAGCCAGGATGGTCTCGATCTCCTGACCTCATGATCCACCCACCTCAGCTGCTTGCTTGTTTTTAATATATCCTTGCTCCCTGTCTTTCACAAAAGATGCTTTTTGCGGGCAGCTGATGTTCTGTAACTTCTTGTGAGTCTACCGCAAGCATGCCTGTGTATGTGGGAGGAGGAGGTGAAAACGGCCCAGCAGCTTCCCCTGTGATCACAGAATGGGCACCAAACTCTCCATCGGGAAAAACAGCCCTGGGGACTCCACCTTGAGCTTATGCATTGGGGCTTGGGGCCACCAGATAGTTCTATTTTGTTTTTAAAATCAGCCAATGGCCAAAATGCCAAAGCAAAGACAAAAGGTCCCCAAAGCTGCCATTGCTCATCTCCTATTAGTCTTTAAATCTGGAAAAAAAAAAACAAAACAAACAAAAACCACGGGAATAAAGCATACACGGAAGTGTTGGCAGCTTGCACACTCAGCCATGAGATCCCAACCTGAAACACCCATGTCTGTCCCAACGGATTTAGCCTCCTTTAACCAGGGCCTCCCGGAGATCTAGGTTTGCAAACTCCTTGGAGCCCTCCTGGCCCTGGATTCAGCAGCCTCTCCATAGTTCTGGCCTCTGGTATTTGGCAAAAAGCCTAAAACAAAACAAACAAACAAACAAACCTGCTCTGCAACTGCCCAGAGACAAAAGCTGTTTCGCTGTGAGTCTCAGGCTGCTCTGCGTAGCTCTGAAAGGGCAGGTGACAGTCTTTGTTTTTAGCATAGTTGCATGTTTCCAGCACAATCTCGTCAATGGCTTATGTGGTAAGTAGGTGCTCAACAAAGGTGTCAGTTAACTGAAGAACCCCCTGGACCAGTGTGAGAATCTCCAGGAGAGCTCCCTAAGGCACAGATGGCTGAGCCTTGCCCTAGATTCCGTGGGTCTGGAGAAGGGCCCTGGAATGTGCATTTGTCACAAGTTCCAGGTGATGCTGGTGCCGCTGGCTGGGGACCCCACTTTGCGAACCGCAGGCAGAGTGGATAGAAGCCTGTCTCCAGTGCCAGACGGCCCGGCTCCACAGGACAGCTCTGTAGTACTCAACTTCCTCCTGCCTCGATTTCCTCATCAGTAAAATTGAGGGAATTATAATGCACACGCCGCCTGGTAAATGACGCATAAATGTTATTTAAAACATAAGGAAGCACACAGAAAAGAGAGAACAAAAGTGAAACTCCTCACCGCTCTGTTTCCCTCCTTTCCCTTCCGCCTCCTCGCCCTGAGCTGGAACGAGGGGGACGTGGAACCCTGGCTCCATGCTAAGACCCCGCTGTGGGCAACCGGCCCTGACCCCCCAAAATAAGCAAATCGCAAGGTCAAATTTAGACTCCCAGGCCCCGGGGCTCCAATGGCTCCAATCCCCTGGACTCACAGAACCCGAAGAGCCAGTTCCTCTGGGCACAGAACAACACGCGTTGGGCACTGACAGGAAGGGAAAGAAAACAGCCTGCGGAGGTATTTCCAGCGTGCCCAGGGCAGCTGGGAGGAGGCTCCACGGCGCCCGGTTCTTCTGTTGGCAGAAGGGTCCAGAATCCCACATCTGTACCTTCCCCGCTGTCACGCGCTTATGCCAGGAACAGCCTGAGCAGGGTGGCCCTCCGGGGTTCCTGGGAGGCAGGGCTAAGGACCCATGGCAGGCCTGGGTGAGCCGCCTGCACGCACTCTGCTCACTCGTGACTCCCCTGCAGAAGCACAGCCTTTCCCGTGCTCCTCAGTTTACCTCCGTTTGCACTAACACGAGGCGGGGGACAAGAACTTTCCTGTACCTCCTTCGCTGGCTCTCTCTCACACAACCCCCACCAGGGCAGCTGAAGAACTCTCAGAACATGAATCAGACCCCAGAGCCACCTTCACATGGTTCAGTGCCCACAAGACACCTCGAGGGCTGCTCGTGAATTAGTCGGGGTCCCTCACCTCATCCCACACCCCTGTTCCCGCCACCTCCCACAGCTGGGGCCCCCAGACATCATCAGCACAGTCACTGCTGCCAGCCTTGACACCTGCTGTTCCCTCATCCGGGAAAGCCCTTCTGCACCTGGACCCCTGGGGAGCCCCCAGCACCAGACTCTGGGGCACCTGGACCCCTGCAGGGCCCCCAGCGCCAGCCTCTGGGACAGCCTCTGCCGGTCAGTGGCTTCTCTCTGGTCTCCCGCCATGTGCTGTGTCCGTGGCTGTCTACAGAAGTAGACACAATCTCCGGCCACCTCAGTTTTCTCAGTACCCCGATCACAATGTAGAAATGACCTGCTTTGTGTCTGGCCCTCACCAGACTCCGAGCCCCTCGGAGCAGGGTCAGTGCCTCCACGGTGAGCCTTCTATTCCCCGCTCTGGCAGGCCCAGAAACTCCAGCCTCATGCAATTTGAGCACCTCACCGACGCAGCGCTCCAGGGCACGGGCTCTGGGCCCCAACTACCTTGGCCCAAGCTCCAGCCTCGCCGAGCAGCTGAGGCAAGTCCTTTCACCTCGTGGTGCCTCTGATTCCTTATCTGCAAAATGGGTACAACCTCTGACTCAGAAGGCTGAGAGGTTTTGTAGGTCTCTCACCCTGCCTGGCACGGGCACACCCATGAGGCTGAGGCACAAACCAGAAAATCTGCTTCTCCTGGGTGAGAAGAATGAATGTCAGGCAGCCCAGAGAGTGACCCGCACAGCATCTTGGCCTGCAGACAGGCGGATTATCAGAAGGAAGCAGGGAGGCCGCACTGGGACGGAGAGGCAGGGGCGCCGGGGCGGAGAGGCAGGGGCGCTGGGATGGAGAGGCGGCAGCTGTCAAGGCTCACCGTTCCCGCGCCATCACTTTCTGCTTCTGCTCTGAGATGTTCCGCCTCCCACCGTCTCACTGGAGGCCTCCAGACCTGCTCTCCTCAGCTGGACCGCTCTTCCCTGAACAGGATTCCCCCCCAGCACACACGCCCAGGCCTGGCACATCCAGGCTTCCCCAGAGGCAGAGCCAGCCAGCCCATGTACAGGGCCTGACCTCTGCCCAGACATGTGTAGGTTTTGTAGCTTGACTTTCTGAAAGCAATGGTATTCTCCACTTTTCTTCTCGGTGGCCAGGGGTGGGGTGGGGAGTCCCCTCACTGTCACCATCTCGTCCCCTGTGCTATCTTCAGAAGGCATCCAACACTTGCGAGTGTTTTAAATAAAAAACCAGGTCCACCCACTGCAGACAAGCAGTTTAGACAGAGGCTGTCCTCACCCACCTGCTCACCGAGGTATCAGACAATGCCCTGTGGCCCCCACAGGGTGCTGACCGTGTTAATTTCATCCATTTTCTTAAGGCTCCAGAAATGGATTTGGGAGCTGAGATCAGTCAAAAGGCATGTATCTAACATACACACAACCACACACACACTCATTCATGCATACACAGACACACACATAGGTACACACGTGCACACACACACGCACACACGTCACAGACCCAAACAATAAAGACACAGATTTGTTTGGTTTCTTACATCATTTTTGCTTCAGGTTTTCACACAATAAAGGCTATGTTAAGCTGAAAAAAATAAGATTAAAGGTAACCTACTGGTCTTTACGTGTGTGTGTGTTCATAAACACAAGTGCATGTGTGAGCACCTCTACTCAGAAACCCACTGAAAATAAAGAAAATAATGATAGAAGAAATCAATGACTCTCTAGCTGTAGCTCTGAGGGCAGTTCAGAAAAATGATCTTCACCTGCCGCAGAGTAGAGCTGGAGGCTGCATAGGAGACGTCATTCCCAGCATCCGATTTCTAAGACATGAGCCCACATAGGACTCCTGTGCACACTTCGGCCTTGTGAGAATCAGCATGAGGGCCGCCCCAGCACAGGTGCTGCTCCCATGGGGAAGAAGCTTCCTCCCCGAGGCTGAAGAAGGGGCCCACAGCCTCCGGTAGCGGCCAGCTGCAGATGTCTGCAAAAGCAGCGCCCACTTGGGCCTGCCGACCTTGAAGTCAGACAGGCCAGTGACACTAGTCAGTCATCACTGGCCATATTGACTTGGGCCAGTCTCCAAATTTCCCACAGCTGTAGTTTTCTCACCTTGACAAAGCTATTTCATCACCTCGCTGCTGTTTTGGAGCTGGGGTGACAGCAGCCGGTTGTTGAAATGGCTGCGCAGATGGAAACCATGTTGGTCAAGCCCTGACTTTATAAAAGGTGTTAAACAAGTGTGCAATGAATGGTAGCTATCATTAGTTTGTAACAAGGGGAAATACATCATCCGAGGGAGGCAGGATGTGCTGCGTGGAAAAGGCACCACCTTCCAGTAGGAAAATGTACCTTGAAAAGGCCCCCTGAGGACAGGGGTGTCCGTAACAAGACGGGCTGGGGTGCTACGGGCAGGGAGAGACTAGGTTATTTTTTGTTCTGCAGGAGAGGGGGTTGATATGAGGGGAGGGAGGAGGGAGAGAAACGGGAGGAGGGAGAGGAGCCAGGAGAGGTGGGTGGGGCGGGAGCTGGAGATACGAAATTCCTCCACTGTGAGTAACCAGAGGACCCAGCAAACACGACCTCGACCAGGCAGTGGGTGTGAGAGTTTTCTTTTAACACAGACGAGTACAAACAAGGAAACACAAAATCTCTCCCCGTGGATAACTCCTGGAGACATTGCGAAAAACAAAGACCTGTACTGGAAGAAAATCCAAACAGTACAGGAAGGTACAAAATGAAAACAGAGCCTCTCCCAGCCCCACCTCCACAAAATGTTTTCCCAAATATCTTCTGTTCCCGAGATGGCCCCGGGGCAGGGAGAACGGACCTGACTTCCTGCCCCTGGGACTGCAGGAGCGGCTGCAGCTGCTGAATCCATGGCTATGGATTTAGTGGCTTAAAACCACAGAAATGTATTATCTTATAGTCCTAGAGCCCAGAATTCTGAAATGAGTCTTAGGTGTGAAACGTGAAAACCGAGTTGTAGGCAGCACCCTCGGAGGCTCTGGGAGGATCCTACCTGCCTCTCCCAGCTTGCGGCAGCTGCGGGGGTCCCTGGGCCTGTGGCTGCATCGCTCCCATCTCTGCCTCGTGGTCGCACGGCCTCCTCCTCGTTTGTATTCAAACCTCCCTCCATCTCCCTCTTGTAAGGACCCTTGTGATGGCATTTAGGGACCGCCAGATCATAGACGGTCATCTCCCCCTTCTCCCCCTTGCAACATCCTTCCTTACATCTGCAAAGTCCTTTTCACCAGGTAAGGTCACATTCACCGGTCCTGGGGTTAGGATGAGGCTCTCTTTGGAGGCCATTATTCAGCCAACCACAGGGACTTGAGCCTGAGTCTGGCTGGAGGAGCTGGTTAAGGGGGCCCACACCCAGCTCTGCCTTCAGTTCTGACCTGCTTTCTTCTTAGGGAGCCCTTGTCTTGTACACGATCCAGCATCTGACCCCACCTTGTCCCCAGCGCCTGTCACCCTGCTGGGAACCCCTGTTTTTCCAGACCTGGAACTTCTGTTTCTCCAATACTCGTTGCACACTCCAGACCTCTCTAGGAATTGGAAGCTGCTCCTGAGCCCCAGGCCCGTGGTGTTCCCCCATATCTAGCCCACCTCCCAAATGACAACTCCCTGCCACCCTTGCAGGGACCCCTCCCCAGCCTCCTCCTGCCTCCTAGCTGGGCCTGCCTCCTGCTGTGCTGAGCAGCCAGGACATCCCCTGACACCACTCCTGGACCCCACCTTGCCAACCACAGGCTGCTCCTGGGTCTTCCTGTCTCCTGCATCTGGGAACACCCCCACCCACACCTGGCTTCGGTGGAACAGTCCTGGCGGTGCTGCTGCTGGGAGAGGGAGGGGAGGCAGCGATGGAGACAAAGGGAAACTCAAGGGCAGCTCACAGGCCAGGAAGATTCAGGGACTCAGAGGTGGGGGGCCTGAACTGGTGCCCCTGGCCTCCTACCCCACTATCCTCCTGTCAACAGGGTACGAGCCTCTCCCTGCTCAAGACAGGTGACCTCCACAGTGAGGTGTCCATGCCTATGGTCATGGTCACCAGCTGACACCCTCAGAAAGTCACCCTCAGGGTGCAGAGCACGGGGCCTGGGGTAACTGCCTGGCTCCGCTCCCTGGTCTGGAATCAGCAGTGTGGGGCAGGTGGGCAGTGGGGTATGGACTTGAAACTGCTTTCCCAGTGCAGAGCTGCTTTCAAGGCCCTCACTCTTAGCTTGAACAGCAACCATGACTGTTTCCCAAAAGGGAAGGAAAAATGTCTTTGCTGCTATCAATAGCCAAATGGATCACGAATCCCTGGGTCCTGGTGTTTGCACATCATGTCATCTCAAGGACCAAGCCACGTGGCCATTCTTGGGATAACATTGGGTTTTTTCTACTCCAAAGGGGTAGATCCGTTTGTTATACTTTGCATTTTGTAGCTTACTGAATGCTTGCTACAGGCAAGCCCTCGGGTAGTGCAGGAGGGGCTGGGAACTCCTCAAGGGCAGGGAGCAGGGCTTTTTGCTCTAATTGCCTAGTGTCTAACACACTGTCTGATAAATGGTGAATGGAAAAAGGGAGGAAGGAAGGAAAACAGCACTCTAAGTTTCAAGGAACTTAAAACCTCTTGCTAGGGTTGAAATGGTTGTGCCCCCCTCAAAGCGATATATTGAAGCCTAACCTCCGATCTGCTGATATTAGGAGGCAGGGCCTTTGGGAGGTGGTCGGCTCTTGAGGGTGGAGCCCTCATGAATGGGACAAGCGCCCCTATAATGAGATGAAAAGATCAGATTTCTCCCCTCCCCCCGAGTGAGGACACAGCGAGAAAGTGCGCTCTTTGAACCAGAAAGCCCTCACCAGACGCCGAATCTGCTGGTGCCTTGACCTTGGACTTTCAGCCTCCAGAAATGTGAGAAACAAATGTCTGTTGTTTATAAGCCCTTCCAGCCTATGGGATTTTGTTCTAGCAGCGTAAGTGGACTAAGACACCTATGAAGGACATTACACATTTTACAAGTGGACAATGAATTGACAATTGTCACAAGGCTTGAGCTATTCATATGGGCTTCCTACCCAACTCTGGCTGAATCCAATGTCCTCAAGCTTCTCTTATTCCATTCTGCCTCTCTCAGGGTGTTCTCCTCTGCCAAAGTGGGGGGACCCTCTTCTGATGTTTACGCGAGTCTCAAGTCCCCAGGGATTCATCTCACTGTGATTTAGCCAGGGCCTTGTTGCTTCTTCGGGAATCAGATGGCTGGACCACGAAAGCCCAGCGCCTTTCCTATCCTGAAAGAAGCTCCGGGGAAACCTTATTCAATACGTGGAGTTAGGGAGCTGCATCCTTAGCATGAATTCAGGAGGTATCTTTTCTGTTTGAGATCAGGCGTCAAAAGCCATCATGCCACATTGCTTAAAAACCTGGCCCCTGGAACCGGAACACCTGGGTTCAAATCCTGCCTGTGCCTCATGTCCTTGGGCAACTTTCCTAGCGCTTTATATGTCAGTTTCCTCATCTGCAAAATGGGGACCACAGAAGCTCCTCACCAGGGGCTGCCGTGAGAATCAATGGGGCTGGTGTGTGACGATCAGGTGACCAGGGCACCTTGGTTGGTTTGACTCACTGTGAGCCCCACCCACAGCACTGCACAAGCCCTCTCAGCACTTAGGGTCAGAGAAGTTCAAAATTTTTGAATTTCAGGAAAGTAAAATGGTGCATGTACCGAACAATCCCCAAACCCGATGGTGGGATCTATTAATATTTAAGGGCAACACTCTTCATATTTCTGTGACACAGCACAGTCTCCACACCCTGAGCAGGATCATTAAATGCATTTTTATAGTCAGTTCAGGTCAGAAACTGCTACTGCATGAGTCACATATCAGATCAGATTTTGCCATCAAATGAATTACAGAACAGGCTTTTCTGTGTATTTTAGACTTCAGAATTGAGGACAAGAGGTTTTTATCTGGTCTTACAAATGCCAGTGCAGTCAGGGCCCAGGACATGGGGTCCATGAGTGAGGGGTCCTGGGGCTGTGAGAGATGGAGCCCACAGAGGGCACAGTGAGTTCGACTCCAGCGGAAGGAGACTCCTGGGCAAGAACGTCCAATGCCGCAGGACGTCAAGGTTTAGGTGAAGTCTCCTGGTTCATAAATGTTGTAAGATGACAAAATTTAAAGCGAGGGTTGGCAAGCCAAGAAAAGCTGACTTGTAATGTTGTCCAGCCCATCGGGAACTCCAGGTGGACAAAGAGAGTGTGGTACCCGGGTGGCCGCCAGGCCCTCCCTGGATTGTCCTGCCTTTCCCGGGCTCTGCCTCACTCACTCTCCCTTTTCAAAGGTTCTGGTGAAGGATCTGAAGTGTATGGCCACACCAGTCCCAGAAGAGCCTGGGAGAAGGGAAGATGGTGAACACAGTGGAGTTCTGCTGCAAAGCCGAAGATGGTTCTGGCACGTGGCATGACCCACATGACTCAACATCAGGAGGTAGAGCCTTAAAAATAACTCAAATAAGGCTGAGGCAGGTGGATCACGAGGTCAGGAGATTGAGACCATCCTGGCTAACACGGTGAAACCGCATCTCTACTAAAAATACAAAAAATTAGCCGGGCGTGGTGGTGGGCTTCCGTAGTCCCAGCTACTTGGGAGGCTGAGGCGGGAGAATGGGGTGAACCCGGGAGACAGAGCTTGCAGTGAGCCGAGATTGCGCCACTGCATTCCAGCCTGGGCGACAGAGCAAGACTCCGGCTCAAAAAAAAAAAAAAAAAAACTTGAAACTCAAATACCCTTCCATTAAATTAAATTAGGGTGCAACTCCCCCCCGCCACACTGTCGTCACTGCTAAATATTACCATGCCTAAATTTGACATCCTCCTGATGAACAGGTATAACATTGATTCACAAGGAGTGCTGCTTCAGGTAGCTTTGGTCTGAACTCTAAATTTCTCTTCTCTCTCTCTTTCTTTCCTTTTTACTGTTTAGAATGAACTCTCTCTGGCATTATAATAACAGGGCAGCCTCCTAACTGTCAGGGTGGCTTCTGTTGCAACACCTAGATATTTCAAATGCAGGAGAGTGATCGGATCATTCCAAGGGCAGGCTATCCCACACAGGCCCTCATCACCAGGTCAGCCCACACGGGCCCTGATCACCGGGTCATCCTGCACAAGCTCTAATCATCAGGTCTTCCCTCACAAGCTCTAATCACCGGGTCATCCTGCACGGGCCCTCGTCACCGGGTCACCCTGCACGGGCCCTCGTCACCGGGTCATCCCCCACGGGCCCTCGTCACCGGGTCACCCCGCATGGGCCCTGGTCACCGGGTCACCCTGCACGGGCCCTCGTCACCGGGTCACCCCGCACGGGCCCTGGTCACCGGGTCACCCCGCATGGGCCCTGGTCACCGGGTCGCCCCCCACGGGCCCTCATCACTGGGTCGCCCTGCATGGGCCCTCGTCACCGGGTCATCCCCCACGGGCCCTGGTCACCGGGTCATCCCCCACGGGCCCTCGTCACCGGGTAATCCCCCACGGGCCCTGGTCACCGGGTCATCCCCCACGGGCCCTGGTCACCGGGTCTCTCGTCCTCCCTCTGCATTTGCTTTTGTAGATTCCACAGATGAGTGAGATTGTATCATTTGTCTTTCTATGCCTGGCTTATTTCACTTAACATAATGCCCTCTAGGTTCATTCATGTTGTTGCAAATGGCAGGATTTCCTTCTTTTTTAAGGCAGACTAATATTCCATTCTGTAAGTATGTCACATTTTCTTATCCATTCATTCACCGATGAGCACTTAGGTCAATTCCATCTCTTGGCTATTGTGAGTAATGCTGCAATGGATATGAGAGAGCAGACATCCCTTCAACATACTGACTTCCTTGGGTGTATATCCGGAAGTGAAATTGCGAGCAATCATATGGTAGCTCTACTCTAATTGTTGAGGAGACTTCATATTGCTTTCCGTCATGGCTGTACTGATCCACGTTCCCACCAACAGTCATGCCTGCACTGATCCACGTTCCCACCAACAGTCATGGCTGCACTGATCCACGTTCCCACCAACAGTCATGGCTGCACTGATCCACGTTCCCACCAACAGTCATGGCTGCACTGATCCACGTTCCCACCAACAGTCATGGCTGCACTGATCCACGTTCCCACCAACAGTCATGGCTGCACTGATCCACGTTCCCACCAACAGTCATGGCTGCACTGATCCACGTTCCCACCAACAGTCATGGCTGCACTGATCCACGTTCCCACCAACAGTCATGGCTGCACTGATCCACGTTCCCACCAACAGTCATGGCTGCACTGATCCACGTTCCCACCAACAGTCATGGCTGCACTGATCCACATTCCCACCAATAGTGTGCATAGAGGATAGTCCACATCCTCACCGGCACTTGTTTTCTTTCATCTTTTTGATAATTAGGTGTGAAGTGATATCTCATTGTGGTTTTGACTTACATTTCCTAGATGGTTGGGGATATTAAGCATTTTTTCATATACTCATTGGCCTTTTGGATGTCTTCTTTTGAGAAATATCTATTCAGGTCCATTACTTATTTCTTAATTGGGTTGTTTTCTTGATATTGAGTTGTTTGAATTCCTTATATATTTTGGCAATTAACCCCTTATCAAGTGTGTGGCTTGCAAATATCTCCTCCCATTCCATAGGGTGTCCCTCCACTCTGTTGCCTGTTTCCTTTGCTGTGCAGAAGCTTTTGGGTTTGATGTGATCCCATGTGTCTATGATTTTACTTTTGTTGCCTGTGCTTTTGGTGTCATATCCAAAATCATCATTGCTTAGACCAATGTCATAGAGCTTTGCCCCCTATGTTTTCTTCTAGCAGTTTGAAAGTTTCAGGTCCTACATATAAGTCTTTCATTCGTTTTGAGTTGATTTTTGTATATGTATGAGATAAGGGTCCAATTTCATTCTTCCACATGTAGATATCCAGTTTTCCCAACATCATTTCAGTTTGTTTTGTTCGAAGCTATTGAGTTGGTGGTAATTTTCTACAGCAGCCCCAGGAAATGAATACTGTGGTCATATTCTGAACATCTGAGTTTTCACAGGGGCCTCGTTGAGATAAAGTTTGATCCGTGTGCAAGGGTGGGTTGACAGGGAAGCCCTGGGATCCCCTCAATCCAGGTTTGAAGCCTCCTTGCTGAACAGGGCACCTGCACCCCTCACCTGGGATGTGGTGCTAGCAGGACTTGCCTTGGTGGCTTCCTGGCATGACTAAAATTCAGATAATAGGTGGAGGGTGCCTGGCTGGGGCTAAACAGATGCATCTCCAAAAAGAGTTTTGCTCCAATCAAGGGAAAGGAGAAGGAGGCAGAGCCTATGCAAGCCCTCAGAACCTGGCATCAGGGAGTCTTCCACCGCCTTCACTCTCCAGATGGCCTTGCCCACATCCTGGAAAGCAAAGGACCCTGCCAGCTCTTCAACAGAAACATTCACACCAGGTTTTCCATCACTCCACAATCACCAGCTCTTTAGAAGGAGGCAGAGCAGCGATCATCCCCTCCTTGCACAGAGAGTGAGATACAGAGTTCTGCACCCTCAAAGCCACAAGCACAAGCGTATCTAGACTTCAGCCTTCCAGGCTGCGAAATCAGCAGGAGTTCCTCTCATCCACAGGGACCTCCAACCCCAGGTCCTTCCAGCTCCCCCAGGCAGAGCCCAGCCTCCATTCCAGTGTCTCTAGCTTTCTGAGGACTCTCTTCCAAGTCCTCCCTTATCTCTGCCCCCAGGCGAGAGGTGGCAGCTTCCTTCCTTCCTGCAGGAGTGGGAGGATGAGTGCTATTGATTCTCACTCATCAGCACCCACTTTGCTTTTGGAGGCGGCTTTGGAAATGCCTTTCCCAGGCTCAGCCCTTGCCTGCAGCCATGACCTTACCTGAAGAAGAGGATGGATGAGGGACTGTCCCTAGGATGCAGGAATGGTGAAAAATGACGCTTGTGTTTACTTAGACCTCCTCACCAAGTCGGCCTGCGTTCTCCTCTGAGTTCCACATGGGTCCTATGACGTAGGCACTAATGCCAGGCCCACTTTAGGGACAGGGAAGTAAGTACCTAGCAAAAGTCAGAGACAGGTACCACTGGGATATAAACCCAGCTCCGAATCCAGCACCACGCTTAAGAAAGCTGCTCTGTACCTTGTTGCCAAGTTGCTGCTTCTTTCAACTCCTAAATGCAGCATTTTCTTGTTCCTTCTCCAAATTGTTTCTCTGCTGAGCAGCTGCAGATGGAAAACCACCTACGATATTTACGTCTGCCAAAGCCAAACCTTCTCCAGTTTGGCAGGCATGTGAGACTCTGGCACAGGGTGGAGGGGCCTCTCGCTAAGTCCCCTTGCTCCGAAGCAGGACAGCAGTTCCTGTCAAGCACCTGACATGTATGAAACAACTGTCGGCCCCACTGTGGAAACAAATGAAGACCACCCACCTGAGACCAAGCGCAGGCTGTGTATTCTGAGCAGGCTCTAGCGAGGGGGCCGCTTCCACCAGCTGCGTTTGGCAGAGACTCAGGGCAGGCAGTGGGGAGCTTGGTGGTGGACGACAGGCTCCAGGGGTGCCCCGATGAGGCCGTCTTCAAAAGGGAGCTGGGAAGGCTCGTGGAAGTGGACATCCTAGGGGATTGGCTAGGGGCGCATATTTGACTTTCTCTGGTTGGCTCTAAATTAGAAGTAGGAACAAAAATTAGAAAAGCTGGCAGTCATCAACCAACTCCTGACCATTCTGGCCTGATTGCTGCAAAGACTGTGAGTCTCTCCATTGTCTTTGTAGGGAAGGAAACAACTACTTTACCGTCTTAGGTTCAGTAACTGAGGGCTGCAAATTACATGGACAAAAGACGGATAAACAGGAGAAACGGGTTTATTTTATGTGCCTACGGGAGCCAACAAAAGAAGTAGCCGGGGCCGGGTGCGGTGGCTCACACCTGTAATCCCAGCACTTTGAGAGGCCAAGGCAGAAGAATCACCTGAGGTCAGGAGTTCGAGGCCAGCCTAGCCAACATGGCGAAACCCAGTCTCCACTAAAAATATAAAACTTAGCCAGTCGTGGCAGTGTGCATCTGTAATCCCAGCTACTCAGGAGGCTGAGGCAGGAGAATCGCTTGAACCCAGGAGGCGGAAGCTGCAGTGAGCAGAGATTGCGCCATTGCACTCCAGCCTGGGTGACAGAGCAAGACTCTGTCTCAAAAAAAAAAAAAAAAAAGAAGAAGTTGCTGGCTGATAAATAGCTAAAGACTTGTACACCTACTTAGTAGGGAAAAGGAAATGGGGGAGAAGTGGCTTTTATGAGAAAAACAAATCATTTTCTTTAGGAAAAACAAATGGGATTTTAGGAGAAGAGAAGGGCGATAAAGTTTGTGATAATGTTCGTCTAAACAGGTATGAGTGGTCTTTCCATCTTCTTCAGGGCCATAAAACTCCCCCAGAGAGGAGAATTATGGTTGCCTCCTTGCCCAGAAGTTGCTGTTTTTAATCAGATAAAGGAAGGTCTGAGGAGGCTTTTTTCTGCATCTATTAAATCTCAAATGTCTTCAGCTTAAAGCAATCTTTATGTCATCTCTGGATGACATCTGTGGAGTGGGTCCCCACATCTGTTTGTATACTCAGTCTCTCACCATTTTAAGGGTGAGGAAACTGAGGCTTGAAGAGGTGAAACACCTTACCCAAGATGCCCATCGGTGGGTCACAGAGCAGTCCTGCTCCAAGATCCTTTCTACCAAGTCACCTCACTCATACAGGGAGGGTCACCAGATTGTGTAAAGATGATGTAACAGAAGAAAATCCTGCTCACCCACTCATCCATTCATCCATTTATCCATCCACCCATCCATCCACCCATCCATCCATCCACCCATCCATCCATCCACCTATCCATCCATCCATCCACCCATCCATCCATCCATTCATTCATCCAAATATCCATCCATCCATCCACCTATCCATCCATCCATCCACCCATCCATCCATCCATTCACTCATCCAACTATCCATCCATCCATCCACCTATCCATCCATCCATCCATCCACCTATCCATCCATCCATCCACACATCCATCCATCCATTCATCCATCCATCCATCCATCCACTTATCCGTCCATCCATCCACCTATCCATCCATCCATCCACCTATCCATCCATCCATCCACGCATCCATCCATCCATTCATCCATCCATCCATCCATCCACCCATCCATCCATTTATGCATCCACTCATCCATCCATCCACCTACCCATCCATTTATCCATCCACTCATACATCCATTTGTCCATCCACCTATCCATCCATTCATCCATTCATCCATCCATCCATCCATCCATCCATCCATCCATCCATTTGTCCGTCCACCTAGCCATCCATTCATCCATGCATCCATCCATCCATCCATCCATCCACTCATCCATCCATTTGTCCGTCCACCTAGCCATCCATTCATCCATGCATCCATCCATCCATCCATCCATCCACTCATCCATGCAATAATAATTTAGCCCCGAATCATGCTGGATGCTTGGAGTATGAAGTCCGATATGCCACAGTCCCTACTCTAGTTTTGAGGTGTCCCTACTCTAGTTTAGGGGAGATAGACTCATAAAGAGTTATTGTTGTTATAATATATTAAAATCTACAGTGACTACTTTCATGAAATACCTGGCCATTCACCTATATCCCGGAACAGAATGTTGTCAGTGCATGGTGACAAGCATGTTCACCAAGGTGGTGAGATGGCAGAGATCTGTGTCTTCCCATTTATCATGTTTGATGTTTTCCAAATTGTCTGTTTTCCGAATGTATTATTTTTATAATGGGAGTGGGGATTCTTTAAAACTTCAATATTTCTATATTGTCTAAAAGTCGATTGGTTCTTGGGCCCATTTGACACCTTACCTAATCAACTCTCCATCCTTGCTGCTCAGAGGCTGCCCTCCCCCAAGACTCCCCCAGCCCACCCCAGAACACCAGAGCTTTGCAAACCTCCAGTTCTTGCTCACCTTGAATTCTGTCTGCAGCGTTCTTACCATCACCTTTGCCTGGAAAATTCCTTTTCCCTCAAAATCTAGTTTAAAGGTCTGCTTTCCTGTGTCACGTGGCCTGCCTGCCTCTATGATTTTCCCCCACTTTCAGTGTTCTTCAAAATGTGCTATTTAATAGATGCATGATCTCCCCTATCAGTGCACCATAGTTTATTTCATCAACCCTTGGTATGGGATCATTTAGGCTCTTTCTGACATTTGCTATTATAAATAATGCCTTAATTAGCCTTCTCCTTCACAATCTTTGATCATATCTCTGTTTCCTTAGAATAGATTTCTAGAAATGGAATCTCCAGGGCAAAGAGTAAGAACACTTTTAAGGCTCTTCATACATAATTCAAAATTGCTTTCCAAACAGGTTGAACAATCTGTGCTCCAGCACCACAGTGTAGGCCTGCCTGCAGGAAGTCATTATTTCAAGTGTTTGTTACTTTGACAGCTGAAGATGCCACTGTTTCATTGTTTTAATTTGCATTTCTTTGACTGTCAGTTATTTTGAGCTTTGAAAAATGAGCTTACTTTAAAAAGTGTATTTATACAGTGTAGTGGTCAAGGGTGCAGGCTTCAGAGTCCAAGAGATGTTCAGACCCTGGCTCTGCTGATGAGGACCTAGTGACCTGGGGAGCCCTCGTGAAGATGAAATGAGGTCATGCACACAGGTCTCTCCGCTGGTGTCTGTGACCTGAGTGTGCAATCAACATTAGCTTCATTGTTCTCAGAGTTCTGAGAGCTTCCTTTGTTTTGTGCAATTTCTGTGCATGCTTTCTGACCAATTTGCTAGTGGAGTGTTTTTCTTATTAATTTAAAGGAGCTCTTCTATATATTTAGGAGTTCAACCCTTTGCTTGCCATATTTATGCTAATATTTTTTCAAATTTTTTCTCTTTGCATCATTTTTACTCCAGGAGATTTTTATTTTATGTATTCATACCTTCATTGATGGTTCCTTCCATTAATTTTATGCCGACAATTTCTTCCCAGAACTGAGATCCATTAAATATTGTCCTCTAATATATATTGTTTTACATTTATCTTAAATTCACAGGCAAACTACCTTGGTATAAATTAGGGAAAATCTAACCTGATTCTTTTCCAGTGTCATTCAGAAAATAATTCCCTTTTACGGACTCAAAAGCAGAAATGTGACATAATCAGATGTGTTTTTAAATAGCTTGCTGGCTCCAGTGTGGTAGGAAAAAAAACAGCAATCATAAAAAACAACCAACATTTATTTAGTACTTACTGTGTACAGGCTGTGTTCTGAGTCCTTTGCAGATATTCACTCACTCAACCCTCATAATCACCCCATAGGAAACAAAGGCTTACGCTGGGGTTTAAGTAACTTGCCCAAGGTCAGAGCTAGAAGCGGCTGAACCAGGGATGGGATGGAACCAGGAAGGGGCCATCAGAGTTAAGCAGATAAGTCAACGCACCAGTCCAGATGAGGTAGAGGGACTGGCCTAGACCACGGCAGGGAAAGGAGAGGAGATGGCATACTGGTCACGTATTGAAGATATGAGTCTGGGATTTGGCAGTCAACCACCCATTGCGGACCACGAGGACAAGGGAGAGCTCTAGAGCCCCATCTCAGCATGCAGCTGTTAAGTCCCTCAAAGAAGACTTGCACTTTCCGTAAAACCATCGCCTTCCTCTCCCTCACTGTTCCCAGCATCCCCGGACTGCACAGGGTAGAAAAGCAGCAAGTTTGGACCACAATCCCAAATACCGAAATCCCAAAAGATCAAAATCGCTAAAACCGCCAACATCTAACATCCCAAAAGTGGCAATTACAGGACAAGTTTTTTGTTTGTGTTCCTTTTCTTTTTAAAGTTTTTTTTTCACTATTTTAAATTGTCAGCATTTTCATTCACAGTTCTGCATGCTGTGTATTTCATCTTTGCATCATTTCCAATACTGGAGGTATAAATTGTATAGGGACTTTTTATTTTTATTTATTTATTTATTTTTGAGACAGGGTCTCTCTCTGTCATTCAGGCTGGAGGGCAGTGGCATGGCCACTGCTCACTGTAGCCTCCACTGCCCGGGCTCAATGGAGCCTCCCAAGGAGCCGAGACTACAGGCACACATCACCACGCCCGGCTAATTTTTGTATTTTTTGTAGAGACAGGGTTTCGCCATGTCATCCAGGCTTGTAGAGATTTTTAGAGTTCTAATTCTTTATGCATTTTTTGCAGATCTGACTTCATAAAAGTGAACTATCACAATGCTGCTTTGCAAGCTGTGTGTGAGTGTAAAAGCGTTGAAACTTCCTCAATAAATGAAAAGATATCTTTTTTGTACATCTGCATTTGTGAAAGACAACATTTCTCCAGATCTCTCTCAGCTCTTTGGGTGACTGCATATGTATGTGGCGGGGACCCATCGAGGTTGCTGCGCGATCTTGTCAGTAGACTTAGGTTGTCCGTCACGGCACTTCAGGTGACCGCAGTTATACGCCAGGTGCACACAATCACCAACCATAGCGATCTGCATTACCACATCTCCCTTTCTGACCCATTTCCTTATGAATACGGTTCATCTGCTCATAGTTGATATACCTGTGTGACTCTCATTAGCACACCTGTCTATGCTTACAAAAACATGTGTGTTCTTACTGCCTGTTTTATTAAAGTGGCCTATGAAGTGTTCCATTGTGCTTTTTATGTTTAATTTTTATGTTTTATGTTTAATTTTAAAACATACGTTTATGTTTTGTTTTTATGTTTCTCAAATAAATTCCCTTTTAAAAATGTAAATATTTTCTAACATTTTAAAATTATTTTTTACAGAATCAGGGTTTTAGGATTCTGATTTTTCAGGATTTCGACACTCGGGATTGTGTCTATTGGGATTATGATGCACTCCCAACAGCAGGCCGGTCCTCATCTGTCCCAAACAGCTCAGATGCGGTGGGCACTGATGTGGCCGGGTGGGCTCTTCGTTCCCGCCCACTGAAATCCCACCCACCTGTTTCTTTTCCTCTTCTTCCCCCAGCCACTCCCTTCCAAGAAGCCTGGCTCTGGCCTGAGGTTCCTGGGGAGGGAAGGTCCACGCAGTGGTCCAAGTGGCCTGCCTGAGTCACACCTGAGCCATCTAGTCACTTCTCCATTAGCTCACACTCTCTGAGCTACAGAGGCTTCAGGTGGTGTTAGGGGGCCCAGTGATCCTCTAGTCGACCAGCTCTTGCAGAACCAGCCATGACTAGGCCAGTCATTCGGGGTGTAAGAAGCCACGGTCAGTCCTCACTCTGGACCCTCCGATCAGACGACGGGCCTGCTGTTCTGAGACCGAGGCAGCATCTCTGCGAGGGCTGCAACAGCTGCTGGGCTGAGCGCAGACCTTCCTGATACGCCTCATCTGTGACCTCTGGGTGGATTTGAGCTCCTGGCTTTACCTCTATTGCCTATATGATCACAACAAGTTTCTTCTCTGTCCTCTGCTTCCTCTTCTCTAAGCTGAAGCCATTGAAGCATCCAGCTCAGTTTTCAAAAATTAATAGAGATTCATGGAAATAAGGTACCCACAGGATTGAGTCAGTGCCAGACCCATAGCAAACTCTCAAAATATACTAGCATAAAAAAAAAAGTGTATTAGTCTGTTCTCACATAGCTATAAAGAAATACCTGAAACTGGGTCATTTATAAAGAAAAGAGATTTAATTGGCTCACGGTTCAGCAGGCTGTACAGGAAGCATGGGGACATCTGCTTCTGGGGAGGCCTCAAGAAACTTACAATCATGGTGAAGACAAAGGGGAAGCAGGCGCGTCTCACATGGCCAGACCATGAGAGAGAGGTGGGGGAGGCGCCACACACTTTTAATCAACCAGATCTCATGAGAACTCTATCACAAGACAGCACCAGGTGATGGTGCTAAGCCATTCATGAAGGATCCACCCCAGTGATCCAACCACCTCCAACCGGGCCCCACCCCCAGCACTGGGGATAACAACTGAACATGAGATTTGGTGGGGACACAGGTCCCCACCTCACCACATCACACAATTTCTCTCCTTTCTTTCCAGGTAACCAGTTTGCAAGGGCTTGCCGTATCCTCCATAGATGGTGTAATTGGAAACGCATTTGTGGGCGTGGCGGTGTGGTCTGGGGGAGGAGCCCTAGCCCCCCTCTCTCCTCCAAAACTCTCACTGGTCACAGATTCACGTGTGTTTATAATTCCTCATTTTAAGAAAATATCATGATTCCCATTTTACCTGCCATTTTCCCCTCAGATGGCTGAGGGAAGAGTCTGGGATGATGATTGGCTCCTGTGCTCTGAGTGTGCAAATGCTCCAAGGGTGCAGCCATGCTCTGGGCACTCAAGTCAGTCTTAGTCAGTGCTCCTTCCTCTTCTGCCAGCTCCTCCCGTTCCAGTGACCATTCCTCTTGCTGAACCGGCTGGAGAAGGCGCGCGCGGTCCCAGGCCGCTGTCTGAAGGGCTTTCCATTTGTCTCTGCAGACAATCTCATATTCCTTTTCCAGCCTCTGATGGAAGGGGCGAGGGGGACTCCTCCAACCAGCTAGCTGTGCCTTTCTGACCCAGGCCCAGGGGCTGCTGCCTGCCGTGGCAGGTCACTGGCTGTCCTGGAACTTCCTGGACATTGCTGGTCTTGCATTTCCTATCGTGGAACACTTGCTCCATGACACAGGTCTACTTATCTGTCAACAAAACCACCTCATTTACCTGCTTCTCCACCCACCTCCTTCCAGCCATCTCCGCCCCTGCCCTCACTGGTGAATGGATGAATTACCCAACATGGCTTTGTGCTGGGAGCATGGCCTGCCTTGGAGAGAACCACAAACAATGACCTGGGCTGCATGAAGAGTCAGGTCAGCACACTGGTGAGGTTAAGTCAACTCCCAGAGGCCACGATGACAGGCCACGAAGAGTCAATGAGAGCCTTTTGGGTTTGATGCCCGAAGCACTCTGTCCCCCATCACAGTCTTTAGGGGCAAGTGCAGGAGCCTCCAGCCAGTCAGAAGACGTTTCCTCCAAGTGTGCAGCCATAGGTCATCAAAGCGAAGGGTATTTAGATTTCTCAAACAGAATCAGTAGGAGTTAGAGAGAGAGGGAAGAAAGGAGGGAGGGAAAGTTATTGGGAAGACCTGGCTCCCATGGCTATGGAGGCTGAGAAGCCCCACGCTCTGCCATCTGCAAGCTGGAGGACCAAGGGTGCTGGTGATGGTGCTGAGATTGAGTCTGAATCCAAAGGCCTGAAAACCAGGAGAGCGATGGTGGAACTCTCAGTCCCAGGGTCAGAGAAGGTGAGAGGAGATGTCCCAGCTCAGCAGACAGGAGGCATGAGAGGACTAATATGGTTTGGCTGTGTCCCCACCCTAATCTCAACTTGAATGTTATCTCCCAGGATTCCCACTTGTTTTGGGAGGGACCCAGGGGGAGGTAATTGAGTCATGGGGGCCAGTCTTTCCCATGCTATTCTCGTGATACTAAATAAGTCTCACAAAATCTGATGGGTTATCAGGGGTTTCCACTTTTGCTTCTTCCTTGTTTTTCTCTTGCTGCCGCCATGGAAGAAGTGTCTTTTACCTCCTGCCATGATTCTGAGGCCTCCCCAGCCATGTGGAACTTTAAGTCCAATCCAACCTCTTTTTCTTTGCAGTCTCGGGTATGTCTTTATCAGCAGCGTGAAAACAGACTAATACAGGGTCAATTTCCCCTTCCTCCACCTTTCGTTCTATCCAAGCCCTCAGGCGATTGGATGATGCCCACCTACACTGGGGAGGGCCATCTGCTTTACTGGGTCTACCACTTCAAATGCTAATCTCTTCTGGAAACATCCACACAGACACCCCCAGAAATTATGCCTAATATGGGTACCCCATGGTCTAGTCAAATTGACACCTAAAATTAGTCATCACTCAGAGTCTGTGTCTCTTTGCAACATTAAGTCAACCTCCACTCCCCTCATCCTCTCCTCCCAGCCACAGGTCTTGCCCCAAGAAGGACCTCCCACCCCATCCTTGGTCCTTCCAGGAGATGCAGTGTCTTCCCTACCCCTTCCCCAGAACACCGGTGATTCCGACGCCTCCTTCTTACATGCACCTTCCATTCACTCATTCTCTGAACAGCAGATCCAGTGGTTACCACCCTGGGATCAAGTCCAAGTAATGGATATTTAGTAACAGTGAGAGCTTGGGTGAGTCATTTTGCCTCTGAGAGCCTCCGTACCTCCATCTATAAAATGGGGATGATTTCTTCCCTGTAGGGTCATCATTAAGAGGTTATTACCTCCACTGAAATGAGTGAGTAGAGCAGAGGCATTTGTCAACTGTTGCAAATTTGGCAGAGCTGGGCTTCTGCAAAGGGCAGCTTCAGATTCTGTGACCCATGGTGGTAACAGGACTAATGCTTTGGTCTTTGGCAGCCTCCTGGGTGATGCTCAAAAAGGTGTCGGGGACCCGTTGGGCAGGTCCCAGGAGAGCTGACTGTTGGCCTTGGGTCATCTGGCCAGCAGCACCCCTTTTGACACCATGCCTCTCTGCGTGCCCCAGGAGGTCTACTGGCCTTCTCCACTGTGCCACCTAGCATTGGATCTGCCAAGTTGTGTTGGCTGAAGCAGAACCCAGAGCAGACACCCCAGGAACCTTCCCTGGAGTAAGGCTTCCCCCAGCGTGCCTGGGGGTCTTGGGCACTGCTCTCAATGTCTCCCAAGTATTAACCCATCTTGTTCTCATATAACCCTGTGGGGTCTGCATTCACTCTGCAAATACTGAGTGCCTGCTCTCTGCAGAGTGCTGTCGTACGCCCCAGAGACACATCAGCACACAAAGCCTGTGAAGACCCCTGTCACTGAGAGCCTCATGTCCTAACTGCATGACTCAGCAAACACAAGACACGCATTGTAGAATGTGCTGGAAGGAGCTGAGTGTGTCACAACTGAAATGAGGTAGTTGGGGTTGCCTTGCTAAGCAGTGACTTGATGCAAGTTCGATGACGAACCCCGTGGGATTCTTATGCCCATTTTGCAGATGACGAAACGGAGGCACAGAGCAATACAATTTACTGTATTAGTCCGTTCTCATGCTGCTAATAACAACGTACCCAAGACTGAGTAATTTATAAAGGAAAGAGGTTTAATTGACTCACAGTTCAGAATGGGTAAGGAGGCCTCAGGGAACTTACAATCATGGTGAAAGGGGAAATAAATGCATTCTTCACACGGCAACACCAAGGAGAGGTGCCGAGCAGAAGGGGGAAAATTCCCTTACAAAACCGTCAGATCCCATGAGCACTCACTATCCCTGATAACTGCCCTCATGGTCAAATTACCTCCCGCTGGGTCCCTCCCATGACACATGGGGATTATGGGAATTACAATTTGAGATGAGATTTGAGTGGGAACACAGCCAAACTATATCACAGAGTACTTGGTCAAGGTCAGGAGGCTTATATGAGGCAGAGGGCACCCAGGAACACAAGCGTCTGATTTCAAAGCCCATCTCTAAACTAAAACACAAACTTTTCCCTACAAAGGGCCTGGGAGGAAAAAGTGGCTTTGCAGGTCACATGTGGTCTCTGTCACCTATTCTTTCATTTTTTACAACACTTGAAATGTGAGAAAACCATTCCTGGCTCTCCAGCAGTGCAAAAACAAGAGCGGTGGCATGGTTTCCAACCCCGGCTCTGAACCACCAGGCTCAGCACTTTCCAAACTAAGTTACCTCTTCTCAAAACCCCGCACAGCACAAGGAAGAAGGCACTTCTATTTTACAGATGAGGAAACAGAAGCTCAGAAAGGTGAAATCACTTGTCTGTGGTCATGGAGAGCCAGACAGACATGATCCGGGCACCCTTTTCATTCTGTGCAACATGTCTTCATTCCCACTTTTGACACATTCTTAAATCCCTGCTTTAAATGCAGCATTCATGGCCAGACACAGTGGTTCATGCCTGTAATCCCAACACTTTAGGAGGCCAAGGCAGGAGGACGGCTTGAGCCCAGGAGTTTCCGACCAGCCCACACAACACAGCGAGACCTCAACAAATCTCTACAAAAAATTAAACAATTAGCTGGGTATGGTGGCTTGTCTGTAGTCTCAGCTACTCAGGAGGCTGAGGTGTGAGGATTACTTGAGCCCAGGAGGTTGAGGCTGCAGTGAGCCAAGATTGATTGTGCCATGGCACTCCAGACTGGGCAACAGAGTGAGATGCTGTCTCAGAAAAGAAAAATGCAGCATCCACAATTCCTCAAAGAATTAAACACAGAATTACCGTATGATGTAGCAACTCCACTTCTGGGTTTATACTCAAAAGAATTGAAAGCAGAGATTCAAAGAGACAATCACACATCCATTTCATAGCAGCACTATTCACAGCAGTCCAAAGGTGGAAGCAGCCAGGTGTCCACTGACAAATAAGCAGATACACAAAATATGGTCTGTCCATACAACAGAATATTCGTCAGCCTTAAGGAAGAAAATCTTGACCCATGCTCCGACATGGATGAACCCTGAGGACATTATGCTGAGTGAAAAAGCCAGACAGAAAAGAACAATAATGTCTGATTCCAGTTATATAAAGTCCCCGGAGTAGTCAAATCCATAGAGACAGGAAGTAGAAGGGTGGGTGCCAGGGCTTGGGGAGGGGGAATGGGGAGTGAGTGCTTCGTGGAGTGACAGTTTCAGTTTAGGAAAATGAAAAGGTTCTGGAGGTGGATGATGGTGATGGTTGCAAAACAATGCAAATGTCCTTAATACCGATGAACTGTACACTTAATAATGGTTAAGATGGTAAATCTCATGTTAGATATTTTATCACAATAGTTTTTTAAAAGCAACATTTATGGGAGGAATAATTCCCCAACCCCTGAACACCTGAGCGAATGTCCATCCGTGTGTCATCAACTTGTCCAGGGTGACAAGGGCCAGGCAGCAGCCAGGCCTACGAGGGAGGGAGTGGGGGGAGCCAAGGTCCGGGAGACGGAGGCTCACTCCCGCCCCAGATGACAGACCCCTCGCATCACACACCAGGCTGACTCCTCCACACCCAGGCGTGAGAGGTGGGGAGGGGAAACACCCTGCCAGCGAGAGACCCGCCTGCCCAACTCCCCCCACCCCACCATGCCCCCGCCCAGCCTGGCTCTGCAGCTGTAGTCCTAAGCTGGGCCACTCTGCCCGTGGCCCCTTCAGTGCCTTGGCCTCGAGGAAGCCCCACGTGTTGGGAAGTTGTGGCAGGCAGGGCCTGCAACCTGCAAAACTCCCAGCTTCTCGCAGGACATGGCTGCGGTGGGGACTTTCCCAAAGACCCAGGTGAATTCAGCTGACAGGGCCAACCTGTTTGTCTTTATGATCCCAGTGTTGTCACAGGCCCAGGACTGCCTGTCCAGGCCCAGGGAGGAGTCGCTTGGCCCCAGAATAGCCCCTGCAGGAGGTGAGCAATTACCTGGGCAAACAAAGAGAGTGCAGGTGTGCCAGGCGACTCACACACCTGACCTCAAACAGACACCACAGAGTTCAGGGGGCCACCCACTTATTGGAAAACTACATTATATTCATAGTGATCACTACTATTTATTGAGGTCTTATTATGCGCCATCCACTGTGCCTAAGTATTTTGCTTGTAATAATTCATTAATTCTCACAGCCACCCATGAAGAAAGCACTTTCACCCCCACCTTCCAGGTCAGGAAGCTGTTCCGAAAGGTCAAGTCACTGGCCTGGTGTCACTCAGTAAATTGAGATGTCCACTCCGTGGCCCCCTCTCTGTCCCTAGCACATTGATTAACCTCTGCTTTTCAAGGGTGGATTGGATTTTGGAGATTGACAAGTGCTGGCAGAGCCAAGGGAATGAAGTGATCCAGCCAGAGGCTACGCTCTGAGTTCCGCAGCAGGTGCAGCTCTCCAGCAATGAGCCCAAAGCCCGGCCATGTGGGTCCTAAGCTCACCCTGGAGGCAAAAATCCAATGGAGAGTCTCCAGCCATTCCAGTCGGGTTCTCTGGGGTCTGTCCGTCTCTGCTGTTGGGCTGAGCGGTGCAGAGGACTCAGGGGTGCCCTCAGGACAATGCAATCCCAAGAAGGCTGTCCCCCTCACACACACACAAACACAAACACAAACACACAAACACACAGCATGTGCAGCATGCCGGGTACACACAGGTCAAAGCCAAGCCGAGGGTGGTGGGGGGAGGGTGGGCTTGTATAGCCTTCAACACCCACCTCAAAAGCCACAGAGCATGCAAAGGACCAGACACAAGGAAAACCCCCTCCCGCCAGGCACCTTCCAGAAGGCACAGGTCAGGCAGATGGTGATGGCAGAGGAATGTATCAGGGGAAGCTGAGGTATAAAGGACCTTCAACAAGTTTGGTGACAAGGGAAGAGGACAAAGTGGGACTGTGCTAGCGAAGCATGTTGATGAGAGGAGTTTTTAAGGGTGGAAAGTTCTGAGCAGCCATGAGGGTGGAGGAGGAGGTCAGTGACGAAAATGCTGTATGTGAATTGTATCCACAAATGATATGTCCCAGTCCTAAACCCGGTGCCTGTGAATGAGACCTTATATGGAAAGAGGGTCTTAGAAACGAATCAAGTTAAGATGCGGTCATGATGGGTTAGGGTGGGCCCTAAGTCCCATAACACTGGTGTCCCTGTAGGAGGGAAGTTTGGACACAGACCTGAGTAGAGGGAGGATGAAGTGAGGAGGCACACAGAAGCGGGCGGGCCAAGGCCAACGTGGGGATGTAGTGATGCAGCCACCAGCCACGGAAGCCCAGGACCACGGGCCACTGACAGACATGGGAGAGACGCAAGGAACTGTCCTTCCCCAGAGCCTTCAGACGGAACACAGCCCCACACACACCTTGATTTCAGATGTCTGGTCTCCAGAACCATGAGAAAAAAAAATCTGTTGTTGAATTCACCCAGTTTGTAAAATTTGTGGCACCAGCCATGGGACACTCATGCAGAGGGTGACCTGCTTGGCTCCAATTTCTCAGAGTTGGGCACAAAATCAGCCACAACCCTGTGGTTGTGTCTGTTCTGAGCACAGGGATGCAGCCCACCCCTTCCTTTCCGCACTCTTCCCTGGGACAGCAGGGATCTGAGGAATTCCTCTAGGGGCCTGGCTGCAGGAGGTCCCCGCTCCAAAGCCCAAAGGAGGCAGGTGGGAGTAAGTGAACAGGACGGGAAACGCCGAGCAGGAACCTGCATAGTACGGGGGAGCCCCCAGGCCTGCCTACCGTCTCAACACCAGCATTTGGATTCCACTAGGAAGGAAAACAAGAAGACTGAAAAAGACAGAGAGGAGCAGGAGAGTGTGCAAGGGACAGTCTCTGTCTTCCACATTGGCTGTTTGCCAGAGCATGGCCTGTTGGCACCCCTCGCTTGTTCATAGGTGGCTGACAACATAGCCATAAATCCACCTGTGCCAGTCCATGAATGGACAAAGGGCGAGAGATGACCCTGCTTCAGCCACAGAGGCCAGTGCTCAGACTCCAGCCAGCTGGAGGCCCCCAGGCAGGCGAATGGGCTTGGGTTTCTAAGACCAACACAGAAATGCCCAGGTACACTGTGCTGCTTTTCTCTGGAGAAGAGAGAACGTCCCTTTCACCAAGTTATTATTTCTTCCTTTTAAAATTTGATTGTTATAACATTGTTTTAATAGTCAAGTAGTGCTGCAAGGCTTGTGATAATAAACAGTTGTTATCACTGCACCTCTTCCCACCTCCAGCTCCCTCCCCTGTGAGTCATCGGCCTTCAAGTCTCTCAGCTGTTTCTCTTGACCTTGACCTTCACACTTCCAACATGATTACAGTACTATTCCTTTCGGTTTTATCTCACTTACACCACCACCTCCCACACACTCCCACCTATTCCACCTACCCAGCATCTTCACAACTTACACAGTTACACAATTCGCAACCTTTGGCCAAGTCAATATTTAGTTCTGATATTACTATGACCACCATAAATGTTGTCACAACTAAACCACTTAGGGAACTAGGATGGTCTTTTCTTTTTAGTACAACTTTTTGATTTTCCTGGGGTTAACAATTGCCTCATTTTTTCATAAACTTAATTTTTTTGTCTACTACTTACCAATTATCCCCCCCCCAATTTTCTGATAGACCTATAAAAGTCCTCTCAACAAAGTCAAACATACTAAGTAATCATTCTTTTGTTGTTGCTTTGTTGTTGTTTGTCCTTCCCCTTGGAGACATCCCCTCCAGAGCTCTCTGTCCTATTTGTATCTGGGCTGGCTGACCTCTTGGCTTGTGGCACAGCTCCCCCTTGAAAGTTCCCTTCAACTTCAGTGAGAATTCCTTCGTATTTTTCTGGTGCTAAATCTAATGTGTCCTGTGCCTCACATCTTTCTCTTTTGGGGTTTACTTCCTTGTGCAAGTGACACCCATACCACAGGAACTTGCTGAGAAAGAATGCATGTGAGGTTCAATGATTTCATCTTGCATACCTTCAAACATCTTTGTTCTACCCTTACATTTGATTTTTCATTTATTATTTGAAAATGTGGCTTGCCTTTTCAGTAAGGAAATTCATGTCCTGCAGGTCGGTATTGTTTTGTTTTGTCTTTTGGCATCTTTCTCCTCTTTCTGCTCGCTCTGAGTGCCAACTCCAGAGCTGGTCTGGCTCAATTTCTCTATAGTGTGCACTTCCTGAGTTCTCTTCAGTGAGGTGGATGAGTCATCTAGCCAGGTGGATAACGAGGAAGTCTCAGGGACTAAGTGTCTCTGACAATACATTCAGCCACTACTACAGTATGAAGCCAGCCCCTCATCCCCACCTTCAGAGACCCCTGGTGCCTCAGATTCCTCGGCCATTCTGGAGCTGCTGTGCCCGAGGCTTGTGTAGTTGGAGATCATTTTGGCAGTCAGTGCTGCTTCAGCTTTCACTGTTCTGCTGTGCCAGCACATCACCAGGGATCACCTTTGGCTGCATGAACCAGAACCCCATTCCAGGGCTCAACCAAACAGCACTTTAATTTTCTTACCCAAGCAAGCAGTCCTGGCTTGTACAGCCTCCCCAGGATGTCACCAGGACCCCAAGCTCCTTCTATCTTGCTGCTCTGCCATCCTGTGTCACTTTCTTCCTCATGGAGGCTTCCTGGTCACAGGACACCCACTCCACCTCCAGTCTCTTGTTCACAATCCAAGGAGATGGAAGGAAAGAAATGATGAGGAACCAGGGTGGCTGCAATGTCAGCAACAGTATTTCCCAGGATCTCTAGCAGATTTTTTTTGGGGGGTGGTTTGTTTGTTTGTTTGTTGGGGTTTTTTGTTTTGTTTTGTTTTGTGACAGAGGCAGGGTCTCACTCTGTCACCCAGGCTGGCTGGAGTGCAATGGTGCAATCCTGGCTCACTGCAGCCTCGACCTCCCAGGCTCAAGCAATCCTCCCATCTCAGCCTCCTGAGTAGCTGGGACTGCAGACACGCACCACCAAACCTGGCTAAATTTGTTTATTTTTTTATAGAGACAGGTTTCACTATGTTGCCCAGGCTGGTCTTGAACTCCTTGGCTCAAGCAATCCAAGCTGGTGAGAACGTGGAGCCAGTGAAGCTCACACAAGTCACCAACGAGAATGCAAGATGCAATAGCCACTTTGGAAAATAGGTGGGCAGTTTCTTATAAAGTTAAACAGATACTTAATGAATGACCCAGCAATCCTAATCCTGGATATTTACCCAAAAAGTAAAAACTAGTGATCAGGGCAGGCACAGTGGCTCACGCCTGTAATCCCAGCACTTTGGGAAGCTGAGGTGGGCGGATCTCTTGAGGTCAGGAGTTCAAGACCAGCCTGGCCAATGTGGCAAAACCCCGACTCTACTAAAAATACAAAAATTAGCCGGGTGTGGTGGTGTACACCTGTAGTCACAGCTACTCGGGAGGCTGAGAGAGGAAAATTGCTTGAACCTAGGAGGCGGAGGTTGCAGTGAGCCAAGATCATGCCATAGCACCCCAGCCTGGGCAACAGAGCAAGACTCTGTCTCAAAAACATAAACAAAACAAAAACAAACACAAACAAACAAAGCCTAGAGATCACAGAAAAACCTGGAGACAAATGTTTCTGGCTGCTCATTCATAATCGTTCCAAACTGGAGACAACCCAAATATCCATCAGCTGGGACGTGGATAAGCAAACTGTGGGGAACCCTAACAGCAGATATTATTGTTCAGCAACAAAAAGGAACCATCTACTGACACTTACAGCGACATGGATGAATCTCAGACGTGTTACGCTGAGTGAAAGATGCCAGACACCAAAAGCCACACGCTGAGATCCCATGGAGAGGACATTCTGGAAAAGGCAAAACTGTAGAGACAGGGAACAAATTGGTGGTTGCAGGGGCTGAGAGTGGGAGCTGGGAACTGGCTGCCAAGGAGTGTGGGGGTGGTTTGGGGGTGATATAGATGTGGTCTATGTTTGGCTATGGTGGTGGTTACACAACTGTGACCACTTCGTCAAACTCATAGAACTTTGTCAAAACTCGTAGAACTGTACACTAAAACAATGAGTTTTACCGTATGTTGATTATATAACTCTATCTTTTTTTTTTAATAGGGTCTCATTCTATTGCTTGTCACCCAGCTCAAGCAATCCTCCCACCCCAGACTTCCTGGTAGCTAGGACCTACAGGCGTGTGCCACTATGCCCAGCTAGTTTTAATTTTTTTGTAGAGATGAGGTCTTGCTATGTTGTCCAGACTGGTCTCAAACTCCTGGCCTCAAATGATCCTCTCACCTCAGCCTCCTAAATTGCTGGAATTACAGGCATGAGCCACCTCGCCAGCCTATATCTCAATAAGCCTGACTTTTAAAAGGTTTCAGGCTGGATGCAGTGGCTCACAAGACCAGCCTGCACAACATGGGGAGACCCCATATCCAGAAAATGTTTTTAAACTATTAGCCGGGCGTGGTGGTATGCACCTGTAGACCCAGCTACTGGAGAGGCTAAGGCAAGAGGATCACATGAGCCCAGGGTTTTCAGGCCACAGTGAGCCATGATCATGCAACTACACTCCAGCCTGGATGACAGAGCAAGACCCCATCTCTAAAAAATAAAGGGAAAATAAAATTGTAAAAGGTTTCAATCAACAAACTTGTGGAATACTGAATACCACACCGCTATTTATTGACACCCTGATCATGTGGGTTTAGTCAAGGCCCTGAAAAGTCCTGCAGTTCATTTAACCAAGAGTATTATCCTTCAAGCTTTTTTCCAAGTGACAACAAAAAGGAACCATCTTGATGTACTGGCAAGCATCAAGCAAGATGATCTGGAATGTCTCCCTCCGCACAAATAGTCTGTGACTGTAAAGTGGTTTGGGCCAATGGCCTCCCTGAAGGAGGCTCTGGGAAGTGGGAATCAGACCTTGTGTTTAGGTTTCTTTGCGGAGAGCCGCCTCCTCTCCTCGTTCACGTGCTGACTCAGGTCTTCTCCAGCCCAGGAAACATGGAGGGAGGGAGCAGACCACATGTATGTCCACACCCTTAGAAAACAGTGGCTCCCACAAAGGGAGAGAGGCTGAGCCCCAGTCCTGTGGATGGTTGCTGCCCAGCCCTGGGAGGCTGGTGGCAGACACGCCCTGGGAGGCTGGTGGCAGCCAAGGGACCAGACCCTCTCAGCCCGTGGCCCCGCCATCAAGGCTGTCACTGGTGTGTCACTTCCTCATGGGCTAAGCACTGCTCATCCATTTCTAGTTTGGCCTTCACAAGTGCCCCTTGAGGCAGTGTGGCGTCATGTCCATGTGTCATGACATGTGGCAAAGCCGCTCACCACCGACCAACAGGCCTCCCAGGAGTCAGGAGTCCAGTACCAGATGGGGCAGAACCATCCTTCCCAAGGTCTGGGCCATCTGTCCTTCGAGTCCGAGCAGCGCAGGGCCCAAACCCTCGAGTCACTTCCCATTTCCACACCCTTCCAGGTGTTTAGGGAGACAGCTACAACTCAGCCCCCGGGGAAGCACTCACCAGGAACTCCAGCAGGAAAGGAGGGCGGCCAGCCAGCGTGTGGGTGCCTTCTCCTCCAGCTCCACTAGCAGCAAATCATGCTGGCCTTGTCCCTCCCTCTGCCTCACCCCCAGCCTCCTGCTGCCCGGTCCAGATGCTAAAAATAGCCCCAACCTGCATTCAGAATCCAGCACATCATACCTTCCACAGCAGGCATCTGCACCGTTGACAGTGGAGGCCACTGTGACTCCACCACCTCCCCAACACAGCCTTCCACCAGCCATGGCAGAGGGAGCTTGCAAAACCAGAGGGTGGGTGCAAGAACTCACGCCCTCTCCAAACGCTTTCCAGAGGTAGGCCAGGCGGCCAATGGTTGCACCTGAGGCCCAGGAGAGGAACTGACCTCACTGGCTTTGTAAACGCCATGATATTCAAGTTCTCACGTTTCCTATTTCTGAGCAAGCCAAATCAATGTCAACATACATGAAATACATCTATGAATGTGGTCTACAAAGAGATTCTTTATTTTGCAAGACAAGTCCATAGCAAGCAAATCTTTTGAGTCCTGAAAATATATTGTTTTTCAAAATTCCGAGTGACGTGCAACTATTTCATAAACTGGAGCACATGATCGGGTGTACTATTACCCCTTCCTCTAGGTGGTATTTCAAAGGGTACGTATTTCCCCCACCCTTCATGAATTAACTCCTTGTTTTACTTTCCTAGGGCGGCAGTCACAAGATACCACAGACTGGGTGGCTGAAAACACAGAAATGCGTTCTTTGGCAGTTCTGGAAGCTATCATGGAATCCTGAAATCAAGGTGTGTCCCGGATGTCTCCAGGGAGAACCGTTCCAGGCCTCTCCCTGCTCCTGGTGTCAGCTGGCACTGCCAGGCTTCCTGGCCTCTCCCTGCTCCTGGTGTCAGCTGGCACTGCCAGGCGTCCCTCGGCTTGTAAGGGCGTCACTCCCGTTGCAGGCCGTCTTCTCCTTGCCCCTTTACTTCACCTTCCCTCAGTGTGTGTCTATGTCTGTATCCAAATTTCTCCTTTTTGAAAGGACACCAGTCATGCTGCACTAGGGTCCCTGCTAATGACCTCATTTTAATCAGTTACTCTGTAAAGGTCTTATCTCCAAGCACGGTCACATTCTAGGGGACTGGGAATCAGGACCCCAACATACCTGTTTTGGGGGGACACAATTCAACCCTAACACTCCCATTTTCTAATAGAAGAGGAGAGGGGAGGGAAGGAGGGAAGGGGGAAGGGGCCGGAGACCTCGGCAGGAGGGAGGGAGAAGCCAGCCTGCCGCCCTGCGCGCACCGGCTGTGTTTCTGTGCGTTGTGCTTTTGTTCTGCATGCTGGGCGGGCGGAACAGGGTGCTGGCATCCAGGCTCACCCAGAGGGGAGGGGGACCTGCAGGGGGAGGGGAGCACTCAGGGGATCAGGGGAGGAGAGTGTGGGCCAGGTGACCTGCCAGGCGAGAGAAAATCGGGGAATCCGCACAGCATTTTCAGACAGCCTGACAGCAGCCGCTCGCTCCCCTCTGAGCCCCAGCCCCCAGCAAGCGGGCCTCTGGCCCCAGGTCTGGGAGCGGCGTGGAAGTAGACCTTGGCTCTCCCTCCCCGGCAGCACCCCACCTCCCTTTGTCTCTCCAGCCAGAGGTGGGCCTGTGGGGATGCTAATCTCAGAGCCACCTCTCCATCTAAGGTTGCTAGAAATTCGGCAAACAAAAGATAGATTTAGAGAACAAAAAAATTTAAAAAAAATAATATGGCCGGTTAAATGTGAGTTTCAATTTCCAATAAATAAATGTTGCCTGGGATATGCTTATATCAAAAACTTACGTGTCACTTACCTAGCATTTGCATTTCACTGGGCCTCCTAAATTCTGTGTGGTAACCGACTGCCACCGGACATGCTGTTTACTTCTCTATCCTCACGCAGCCAGTTGCCACATTCAACATAACACTGCAAATATTGCCGGTGGATCCTGACTTCCTCGTGGACCCTACTGTGTCGGGAAAAACAAACAAACGAACCCTGGAAGGAAACACCATGAGTTGTTAGTAGTGCCTGTCTCTGAATGATGGGCTTACAGGTGGTTTTCAATTTTTTGTCTTTAATTTTTTTTTTTTTTTTTAGACTGAGTCTCACTCTGTTGCCCAGGCTGGAATGCAGTGGCATGATCTTAGCTCACTGCAACCTCTGCCACCCGGGTTCAAGCGATTCCCCTGCCTCAGCCTCCCAAGCAACTGGGATTACAGACATTCGCCATCATGCCCAGCTAATTTTTGTGTTTTTGGTAGAGATGGTGTTTTGCCATGTTGGCCAGGCTGGTCTTGAACTCCTGACCTCAGGAGATCTGCCTGCTTTGGGCACCCAAAGTGCTAGGATTATAGGCGTGAGCCACAGCACCTGGCTTGTCTTTAATTTTTTGTTTATACTTTTCTATACCTTCTAATTGTTTTCAACCAACACGTATATCCCAGAAAATGTTTTAATGATTAAAATAAAACAATTGCCCTCTCCTCCTTGGAGCCCCATCCACAAGAGCAGCTTCTGCAGATGTGGGAAGGAGAAGACTTTGTACCTGGGTCCCAGGCCACGTGAATAATTAACCCTGTCTAGGGAGCCTTGGAGGTCTGATGAGGCCAGGGCTTGAAGGAGAGCCGCGGAGCACGCCAGGATCCAGGCTTGTGGGTAGCAGCATCCCTGGAAATGGTCCCCAGTGGGGGAGGAACCAGTAGCCATCACCTCCAACCCCCAGCCACCGCCCCGCGCCATGTGAGTGAGGTGGCATCTGGTTTTCCACACACACCTCCCCATGTCGCTGGACGCAGGCAAGGCCACCCAACCCCCAAGCCAGAGTCACCCGGACAGACGGATACTAGGCACCTTAGCACTTCCATGGCCAGAGGCCTCCTGAGGTGGGAACCGGGTCCTAGCCCATCCCAGGCCATCCCCTCCAGGACCTTCCTGGAGGAGCGGGGAGACCAGACTTAGAGGAAGGCTCCATGTCCCAGGTCCAGACAGGGGTGAGGGGGAAGAGGGGTGAGCACCTGTGTTAGGCACTTTGAACTCTCCAGGTCAGGTGACTGCATCCAGCTGAGACTCCTGGCCTCCCTCCAGCGTGGAATGAGCAGCCGGTCCTGTCCCGTCCACCCCTCCAGTGCTGCGGAACAGAACGGGAATGGCAAGTCCCCATGTGCTGTCTCCCCGCCCTTCTACAGCACCGGTGGCACAAATGCTGGGGACAGTGCCGGCCCCACTCACAGGAGAGCTGCTGGGCTGGCTCCAAGGCTCCTCCGTCCATGGCTGCTGGGCTGGCTCGGAGGCTGCCTCCGTCCATGGTCTCTGCAGTGGACAGTCTGTGTCACGCCTCCATCTGTGGTCTTTGCAGTGGACAGTCTGTGTGACGCCTCCTCCGTCCATGGTTTTTGCAGTGGACAGTCTGTGTCATGCCTCCATCCATGTCTTCCAGCAACACCACCTCACTCTGCTTTACACAATCACTCCACCTCCGTGTAATGCCCAACCTTGTTTTTCCTTTATTCACCTAGCCTTGCTTCTCCCTTAGCTGAGAGAGTCACACAAACTCCATCTTGGCTCTTTCACCGGCAGCCCCTTCCTCAAGGACTTAACTTGTGCAAGCTGACTCCCAGCACATCCAAGAATGCAGTTAACTGATAAGATACTGTGGCGAGCTAGATCCGCAGTTCCCAGGAATTTGTCCGAATGATAACGCCCGAAGCCCCGCGTCTATCACCTTGTAATAGTCTTAAAGCCCCTGCACCTGGAACTGTTTACTTTCCTGTAACCATTTGTCCTTTTAACTTTTTGACTACTTAACTTCTGTAAAATTGTTCTAACTAGACCCCCCTCCCCTTCCTAAACCAAGATGTAAAAGTTAATCAAGCCCCTTCCTCGGGGCCAAGAGAATTTTGAGCGTTAGCTGTCTCTTGGTTGCCAGCTAATAGAGGACTCCTAATTCATCTCAAAGTGTGGCGTTTTTCTAACTCGCTCAGGTACAACATCCCCACATGCCCTGCCCCCGCTTTGTATGCACACAGCACACACCTGTGCACATACAAACATCTGCTTTCACACATGGACACACTCACTGAGGTGAAGAGGCACACTCAGGCACACACACACTCACATTTGGTACATGCAGCTCCTGAGGGGCAAGGCTGAGCTCCTTCTCAGGAACGGACACAAGACTGAGGGCTGGGTCACTCAGATACTTTGCCCCTCGGGCCCCACGGATTGATTTAGGGGTGAACTGTGAATCCCTGGGAGATTCCTTCCTGCCACGCATTCCTGCTGATGGGAAACAAAGCGGTCTTTGAGGGATGCTGGAGGAGGCAGCAGTTTGTGATAAAGAGCTGTGAGAGGAGAAGCCCCTTTGCCACCTGCCCTCCTTTGTGCATTGGATGTTGTCCTCAATGGACGTGATGCCTGGAGTCCCTGCAGCCATCTTGCCTCCATGGGGCAAGCCAGGAAAACCTCACCGACTTAATGGCTTCCCTCCAGCCTTTCCAAAGCCTTGCTCTGGTCTCAGAGAGTTAGGAATTCTGTCACTTAAGGCCCAGAGCATCCTGCTGCTCCCTTCACTCCAGAACCAGAGCCACACGGCTAACAGGCAAAGGGTCAGGAACATAGCCCGTGTTTTCTGCTCTCGGCACTTGGTCATTCTGCATAGAATTTGGCTCCAAGGCCTGGCCTGACACCTTCGCACCAAGGTGCCGTAAATGAAACCTTTACTCCTGAGACTTCCTCACCTCTGCGTTCCCAGGGATCCACAATCTTCTATTTGTAAAATGATTCCCGGTTGTCATGGAGACCAGGGCACCGCAGTGGAGCTGGAATGTTAGGTGGGGTCCAAGGTTCAGTCCTGGGGGTAGGGAGTGGGGCAGGCAGCTTCACTGGGCCCTTTATCTGCCTGATTCTCATCTTTCTTACACAATAGTCTACTCATTATTCCTTCCCTAAGGGCCAGGACACAGGCCTGCCTGGGGTTACAGTCCCTGTCTTTACAAGTCCTCTCCTTCTGGCTCTTGGGCGTGCCTGAGCTCAAAGGAGCCTCCAAGCAAACTTGGCAGGGGGTGTCCCCCAGGGCAGAGGTGGGGCCCTGGCTCAGCACCCCCAGAAACCACAAGGTGGGGGCGGAGGATCCTGCACCTGACCTTCACCTTCGTGTGGATCAGATCAGAGCAGAAGTTCTATTTCTGGAACTGTCAGACCTGCTGACCTCCAGTCAATGGCAGAGGCAGGAAGGCAGGCAGAAATACAAGATGCAGCTCTTGTTACACCTCCTGCACAGACCAACCTAGTCTCGGCTCCACACAGCCACTCACTCTTTCACTCAACACGTGTTTCCGAGCATCTTCTATGTGCCTTTTCTCTATCATCAGATGGGGGCCCCTGCGGTGGGCAGAATAACGGCCACTGCAAAGATGCCAAATCTTATCCCCAGAGCTTCCGCAGAGATCCTGCAGATGTGATTCGAGTCTTCCAGCAACACCACCTCACTCTGCTTTGCACAATCACTCCACCTCCCCACATGTTGCGGAGATTCTCCTGGGTCAGTCGGGGGGTCCAGTGTCATCCTAGGGTCCTTATGAGAGGGAGGAAGGGAGGCGGAGGAGGAGATGCAAGGATGAAGCGAAGGTTGGAGTGATGTGGTCTGCTGCGGGGACCCTGAGGCGTGCAGGCGGCCTCTGGAAGCTGAAAAGACAGGAAGGCAGCTTCTCCCCTGAGCCTCCAGAAGAACCCGGCCCTGCTGACACTGGCCCAGGAGCCCCTTCCCCCATCAGGGCCTGGAGAGGGAAGAAATGACTGTTCACAGATTTTACCCCGCAAGACCCATTTCAGCATTCTGATTTTGAGAACCATAAGACAGTGTGTGTTGTTTAAGCCTCCAAGTCTGTGGATATTCATTACAGCAGCCTTGGGAAACTGACACCACCTCCCCCTAATCCTCCCTCCCGCCCCCACCTACACCTGAACCCTCCCCTTGCTCTTCTCTGCCGATTCACAGGGATTCACACTCTTCCTACTTGCAGCTGTGACACGGGAAACATCCTCCACCAGGTCTTCTCTCACAGTGTGGCCTCTGCGCACAGGTTATCCACCTGTAGACCTGGACGGGACCCTCGAGGCTCCCTACTCTGACCATCTGGTTTTATAGTTGAGGAACCAGAAGCCGAGGCAGGTAACTTGGTGCAGCCTAAAGGCCTCCATCCCTCCAGTGCCCACAACTTAGGTGCCCACGACAACAACACTGGCCTACCGCAAAGACCCAGCCCAGAGGAACAAGGTGCCACTGTATGTCTGAAAAGGGGGCCCTCGGCCTCACTGGGGAGCACCTTCCTCCATCAGGGTCTCGACGGTGAAGAAGCAGGCTGTTTCCATCTTCAGGATACAAGCCATCTGCGCATAGGAAGAGGGTCCAGAGGCTCATCTGGAATCCCTCCTCACTCACTGGACGGAGGACCTGACCCCGTTCCCATCATTGGTTCTGAATCCATCAGCCCAGCAAGACAGGTGTCTCCAGCAAGTTCTGTAAAATACAACCATAGCCGGGCCTGGAGTCAGCCCCCAATAAAGGGTTCACCATGGAGTCAAAGCTTCCTTCACATTGGGAAGAGCCTGATGATGCCGCCTTGGTGCCACCCGTGCAGGCCGTGTTCCACTTCTGTCATGGGCTGGAGAGAAAAGAGCGACATGGACCTGTTCATGAAAGGCTCTTCCCGCAACACCAAGCCTGGGGCCTGCAGGGCCGCCATGAAGAAAGGTGGCTCCTGCTTGGCAGAGAGAAAAGGGGAGGGAGGGCAGGTGAGTCACCAGCATTGGGCCCCTCAGCCCAGGCTGCCAAGGCAGCCCAGTGGAACCTGTCCCCATACAGCATGTTTTTAGTTTGAATGGTTTTACAGTGTTGGAGCTGTAACTTTACAAATTTGCTTTGCCTTCATAACTCTGTAAGAGCTATAAGCAAACGTAGCTTTAATCAGCATTTACAGCGTGCAGGAGCATCTTTCCTTTAATTCTGCAGGAGGATTTGTGCCCTGTGGATGCCATAACAAAGTATCACAAACCCACAAGTCAGGAAGGAAGGTGTGGGCAGGGTGGGTTCCTCCTGGAGGCTCTGGGGACACGTCTGTTCTGTGCCCGCCTCCAGCTTCTGACGGTCGTGCCAATGCTTGGCCTCCCGTGACTATGGAAGCCTCTCTGTAGTCTCCACTTCCATCCTCCCAGCGCTCTCCTCCCCTGTGTCTGTCCCTCCTGCCTTCTGTCTGGCTAATCTCATGAGGACACCATTCATTGGGTTTAGGGCTCACTCTGAATCCAAGATGAGCTCATCTCGAGATTCTTCTTCTTTTTTTTTCTTTTTTTTGAGAAGGAGTCTGGCTCTGTCACCCAGGCTGGAGTATAGTAACACAATCTCAGCTCACTGCAACCTCCGCCTCCCGGGTTCAAGAGATTCTCCTGCCTCAGCCTCCCGAGAAGCTGGGATTACAGGTGTCCACCACAACGTCCCGCTAATTTTTGTATTTTTAGTAGAGACAAGGTTTCTCCATCTTAGCCAGTCTGGTCTTGAACTCCTGACCTCAAGTGATCTGCCCGCCTCAGCCTCCTAAAGCACTAGGATTACAGGTAAGAGCCATCACGCCTGGCTGGGATTCTTAATTATCTCTGCAAAGACCCTATTTCCACATAGGTCACCTTCACAGGTACCAGAGGGTAGGGCTTGGACACATCTTTTGAGGGACCACTACTCAATCTACTACACTAAATTTGAGTAATTATGATCAAGACCAACCCCTCATTTTGCAGAAGAGAACAAGGCCTGAGAAGGGAGCCAGCTGGCCCCAGCCTCACAGCACTGCCACCACACGCAGGCCAGCGCTCAGCCACAGTGGCTCCCCCAAACTTGGACCATGAGGCACCTGCTGGCACCCCTCACCTGGCCTGTTCCAAAGCACTATCTGAGGCTGGCTGTTTGCTTTGCTTTTGTAACTCTAGAAGAGCTACAAGCAAACATAGCTTTAATCAGCATTTACAGTGTGCAGGAGCATCTTTCCTTTAACTCTGCAGAAGGATTCGTGCCCTGTGGATGCCGTAACAAACTATCACAAACCCACAAGTCAGGAATCAAGGTGTGGGCAGGGTGGGTTCCTCCTGGAGGCTCTGAAGGCATGTCTCTTCTGTGCCCCTCTCCAGCTTCTGGTGGTCACTTCCAATCCATCAGGAAGCCATGGGACAGAGCGGCAAGAACCTCAGCGTCAGAGCCCAGGGTCTCTACCCTGGCTCTGCCCCCTTGGGTGTCATTCAGCCTCTTTGCCGCAGGGTCTCCAAAGTCTCTGCCTGCAAAATGTGCACAGAATATCTCCTGTGTGTGGCCATAACCACAGTTCACAGAGATAATGTCCTTTGCCCTGCATGAGATTAACCCTCAGAAAATAGCAGTTAACATTCCATCCAGAAGGCAAGTGTGGTGGCTCACGCCTGTAATCCCAGCACTTTGGGAGGCCGAGGTGGGCGGATCACTTGAAGTCAGGAGTTTGAGACCAGCCTGGCCAACATGGTGAAACCCCATCTCTATTAAAAATAAAAATAAAAATAAAAATAAATTAGCCAGGCACAGTGGCATGTGCCTGTAATCCCAGCTACTCAGGAGGCTGAGGCAAGAGAATTGCTTGAACCTGGGAGGCAGAGGTTGCAGCGAGCCGAGATCACACCACTGCACTCCAGCCTGGGCAACAGAGCCAAACTCTGTCTCAAAAAAACAAACAAAACATACAAACAAAAAAAAACCCATTTCATCCAGGCCCGTAAGTCCTCAGGGCGACCCTCCCTGTGAGGACAAGGTCAAGAACATCAGATCCTGGAGGTTGCAGGCTGCCCACTTGCAGACCTGGAAGCAGAGGAGGAGCACAGGCTCCCAGGGACACTCAGAGGGGGTCCTGGAGGGAGTCTTTCTGCAGGATGGGGGTGAGGGGGCTCCTCAAAGCCTCCCTACTTTGACGGATGGCATCTGTCGAGGGAGCTGCTACATCCACAGCCAAACAGCAGGGAACAGGACAGTGTGGGGGCTACGTTTCAGCAGCAATGATTTTTTTTATTTTTTGGTAACAGCTTTATTGAGATATAATTCATCCACCATAGTAACCACGTAAAGTGTCCAATTCAATGGCTTTTACAATATTCAGTAGTGCAACTATCAACATGGTCAATTTTACTACACTTTTATCACCTCAAAAGAAAGCCCATATACTTCAGCTAGCACCCCACAGTTCCTCCATGTCCCACCAGCCTCTGGCAACCATCAGTCTTCTTTCAGTCTCTATGGATCTGCCTATCTGGGTCATTTTCTATACACGGAATCATATCATCGGTGATCTTTGTGTCTGGCTTCTGTCACTGAGCACAGTGTTTTCAAGGTTCATCTACATTGTAGTGTGTGTCAGTGCTTTGTTCCTGGCTGAGTAATACTCCACTGTATGGATGGGCCACATTTATGTATCCCTCCCTCAGTTGGTGGACACTTAGGTTATTTCCACCTTTTGGCTATTAGAAATAGGAATGCTATGAACATTCACATGCAAGTCTTTGTGTGGACATATGCTTTCATTTCTCTTGGGTATAAACCCAGGAATGGAATGGCTGGGTCATGTGGCAATTCTATGCTTAACTTAGTTGGGAGACAGGCACTGCAATCATTTTACATTTTCATGGATAGCATCCAAGGGCTCCAATTTCTCCACATCTTCTCCAGCTCTTGCTATTGTCTGACTTTTTGATTATAGACAGCACAGTGGGTGTGAGATGGCATCTCATTGTGGTTTTGATTTGCATTTCCCTAACAACTAACAACGGTGAGCATCTTTTAATGAGCTTGTTGGCCGAGAAAGCTGCAATGATTTTGAACACAGTCAGGTAAACTTGGAGGCAACAGGGTGTTGGGGTAACGGCTGAAACCCTGGAGGCAGGAGGCCTGGCTTTCCGTGTTTGTTCCAGCACTTAGCTGGTGGGTGATCTGAGTCAATAATGACTTTCTGAGCTTCCTGGTGAGGAAAGCCAGAAAAATAACACTAAACCCCCGGAGTGTCGAGGTGAACTTTTCCTCTTACTCATAATGTAGGTCTAGTACCTGGTACCAAAAAGTTGCTTCCTAAGTAGCTATTGCTGTTTATTGTGAAGCAAATGAGGTTTAGAAGCGCTGGCAGTGACGAGGCTTATGTCCCAGTTTTCAGCAACTGCTCAGGTTGCTTCAGAAAGATCCCAAATCACAGACACCTGTACTCACTTTCTGTTGCTGCATAACAAGTTACCCCAAATATTGCCGCCTGCAACGCCCATTGATTGGCTCACAGTTCTGCAGCCCAGCAGGGCTGGATTCTCCACTCAGGGTTCTTTGAGGGTAGAATTTGGATGTCGGCCCAGCTGCATTCTTGTTGAGAGGCTCTGCAGAGAGTCCATGACACAGTTTGGGCCTGTGTCCTCACCCAAATCTCATCTCAAATTGTAATCCCCATAATATCCATGTGTGGAGGGAGGGACCTGGTGAGAGGTGACTGGATCGTGGGGGCGGTTCCCCCATGCTATTCTTGAGATAGTGAGTTCTCACAAGATCTGAGGGTTGTATAAATGTTTGACAGTTTCTCCTTCACACACTCCTCTCTCTCCTGCCGCCTTTTGCTTTCCCTTCACCTTCCTCCATGATTGTAAGTTTCCTAAGGCCTCCCCAGCTATGTGGAACTGGGAGTCAATTAAACCTCTTTTTTTTTTTTTGAGACAGAGTCTCGCTCTGTTGCCCAAGCTGGAGTGCAATGGTGCAATCTCAGCTCACTGCAACTTCCGCCTCCTGGTTTCAAGCAATTCTCCTGTCTCAGCCTCCCTAGTAGCTGGGACTACAGGCGGGCACCACCATGCCCAGCTAATTTTTGTATTTTTAGTAGAGATGGGGTTTCACCATGTTGGCCAGGCTGGTCTCAAACTCATGACCTCAGGATCCACCCGCCTCAGCCTACCAAAGTGCTGGGATTACAGGCACGAGCCACCACACCCAGCCCCTGTCCTGTCTTATTGAAGTCCCTTGCCAGAGCTACTGGCCCTCACCCTGCCCCAGTGCTGGCCCTTGTCCCTCACCCTTCTTCCCTCCTCCTTTTCCTCCTCAACATTCCCAATTCTCTACCACCATTTGTTACATCGATCTGCCCGGAACCTGCTGTGAAGAAAAAGACCTTTCTCTTGTTGAGAGGTGCCCTCTGTTGGAAATCTCTTGGGCGCTAGGGAAGAGGTGTCCGGGGACACACCCTCCCTGGTTGCCTATGCAGATACACAGGGAAGTACAACCTCAAGGTAAAGTGCCTTCTCCTATGGGGTTTAAGGCAAGGACATCACACCTGGACGGTGAGGCCAGGAGGCTTCCTGGAGAAAGGCAGCAGCCAGGCAGAGGAGGGCAGGGCTTCAGGCCAGGCAGGATGCCCCAGGAGGAGGGGTTCAGTGTGCAAGTCGGGCCATGGAAGACGTGGGGGCTGGGATGGGGGTCAAGGAGGGGGATGAGAGATAGGGCTGGAGACAGGGTTGCTGCAGGTAGAGGAGCTGAGAGAGGCCGGACGGAGGGAGGCCTGGAGACCTCGAGCCTCTTAGAGCCCTCCCCAGGGAGAATGAAAGCAGGGGTCAGGGCTCAGATTCAAGGGAGACTTGGAGCAGAACCCAGTGCTTGGCTGGATATGGGGAGGGCGTGAAGAGAAGGAAGGCTGCCCCAGACTCAGGGGGACACCAGGGACTCCCAAAGGGACACGGAGAGCAGAGCCCGTGGCGTGGGTTGAAGGACAGATGGTGTGTCCTACACATGCTGCCTGTTGCTTTGACACCCCCCCACTTCCCCCCGCACACACACACTCCCACTTCCGGCATCCAAGGGGCAGGCCTGGCCTGGAGGAAGGATGGATGGACGCGCGGCTCTGGAATGGCACAGTGTGGGGAGTTGGGGGGAAAAGAAGAGGCACTGAAGTAGCAGGCACACAATCAGCAGCTCGCTGAGATTTTAGGAAAGAGAAAAACAACCCCACCCCACCCCAGCTGCTCTAATAGGGTGAATTCACATTAAGACCCCAAAGTCCATAAGATAGGATCTGCCCTCAGCTTAACTGCAGGCATGGAGGCTCTGAGCCTGGGCTCTGGGTCTGACCGCCCAGGTAGGAACCTGGCCTCCGCCTTGAAGCCTCTGCTCTGAGGAAGGTGCGCGGCCTCCCCGACCCTCAGCCTCCTCATCGGAGTGCAGGGGTGAGAATTCCCACATCTGGGCCTTGCTTCGTAGGAGAGGGTGAAGAGGCAGGTTCGAAGTCTGAGGACCAGGCTCAGCTGAAAGCCTTGCTCAAGAGGCTCGGTAGGATGAGCGTGAGAAGGCTCGCGGCTCCACACCCCAAGCATACTCGCTGCCCTGTGTGGACTTCTCAGTGCTGCAGGCAGGTTGGGGTCTGTATTCGTCCGTTTTCACACTGCTGATAAAGACGTACCCAAGACTGGGTCATTTATAAAGAAAATGAGGTTTGGCTGGACGCAGCGGCTCATGCCTGTAAAACTTTCGGAGGTCAAGGCGGGAAGATCGTGTGAGGTCAGGAGTTTGAGACTAGCCTGGCCAACATAGGGAAACCCTGTCTCTACTAAAAATAATAATAATAAAAAATTAGCTAAGCATGGTGGTGGATGCCTGTAATCCCAGCTACTCTGGAGGTTGAGGCAGGAAAATCGCTTGAGCCCAGGAGGTGGAGGTTGCAGTGAGTTGAGATTGTGCCACTGCACTCTAGCCTTGGCAACAGATCAAGAGTCCATCTCAAAAAAAAAAAAAAAAAGAAAGAAAAAGAAAAGAAAAAGAAGTTTAATGGACTCACAGTTCTCCATGGCTGGGAAGGCCTCACAATCGTGGCAGAACGCGAAAGGCACTTCTTACATGGTGGCAGCAAGAGAGAGAATGAGAGCCAAGCGAAAGGGGTTTCCCCTTATCAAACCATCAGATCTCGTGAGACTTATTCACTACCACGAGAACAGTATGGGGGAAACCGCCCCCGTGATTCAATTATCTCCCACCAGGTCCCTCCCACAACACATGGGAATTATGGGAGCTACAATTCAATATGAGATTTGGGTGGGAACACAGCCAGACCCTATCAGGAGCCTTAGGGGAAAGAGACGGCTGATGCCTGCCCTGTTAGGTACCTTCTCCCCCAGTGTTTCCTCCACCTTCATGAGGATCCCCATCCTTCTCTTGCCTTGTGGGACAGTCCTGGCTGACTAATCACATTAATAGGAAAATGCTGAGTTCTCTCAGGGCAGTAAACAGACATCTTTGACCAATGGCTAACAGGACTTGAGCTGGTCCTGCCAGCCAGATGTGTGCCACACTGTCTACCCGAAAACTCGCCCAATCCTCCCAGCACTCTTCTGCAGCCAGCACTGTCCTCGCTCCATCCTGTGGAAAAGACTGAGGCTGGGAGAGGCTTGGCACTGCCAGGTTCCCGAGCCTGGCCACTGTGGAGTGGTTTTGACCAGGTCCAAATCCGTGCCCTTGTCCCTGACCCAACTCCGTGCCCTTGTCCCTGGCCCCTCGCTCCTGGCCCAGCACTCACAGTGGAGCCTGCAGCCCCTGCATGCAGGTCTGGGTCTCCTGGGATTCTGTGACCCTCATAGCACTCCCCTAAGTCCCTGGCCAGTGGTGCACCAACACGCAACAGGAGACTTGCCACTGTGAGGAGCATCCCTCCTCGTTCCCTCCCGCTGTGTGCAGCTTTGCAGGTGACAGAGCACGCTGTCTCTGTCAGGCAGGGAAGGAAACTCTCTGCTAGTGGGGTACAGTTCAACCTGGGGAATATACTTATTGAGGGAAAATCCAAATTCCAGAGAATTTAAAAATAAATTTTATTATTTTCTAATAACCAAGCATTACTAGGGAAATGCGATATAAGTAGAGATGCCAGATAAAATACAAGGCCCCCAGCTAAATGTGAATTTCAGCTAATTATATTTAAAAAAAATTTAAAGGCTGAGCGTGATGGCTCATGTCTATAATCCCAGCACTTTGGGAGGCCAAGGTGGGAGGATCACTTGAGTCCAGGAGTTTGAGACCATCTTGGGCAACATAGTGAGACCCTGTCTCTAGAAAAAAAAAAAAATATATATATATATAATATATATAAATATATATATATAAAATATATATATATCAGTATGTCCCATGCAATATTTGAAATATACCTATGCTAAAATATAATGAATATATGTAGTGAAAATTTAAATAAAATGTTAGTAAAATTGAACAGTTAAACATTGAATTAAATATCTAATGAACTACTTTTTAGTATAAGTACGTCTCATGCCATAAGTAGGACACACACTAACAATGATTTGTTGATTATGTGAAATTCACAGGTAACTGAGTGTCCTGGAGTCATTTTCGTCCTGTACTTTTATTTGGTGAATCTGGCAGGCAGCTTTCCCCGCCTGATGAAACTTGGGAGTTGCTGCCGCCCTCTGCCACAAGGTTGGCCGTGTCTTCCCCTGCCGCTCGCAGCTACACACGGTGCACGAGGCAAAGCAGCGGCCAGACGCCCTCTGAGCGTGATGGCGGGCAGGTGCCCCCACCAGAGAGCCCCAAGCCTGAGCACTATTCCTGTCCCTTCTAACTCTGCTGGGAGCCCCATCTTGCCTCCGGCGTCAGCCCCACCCCCCTCAGCTCAGCCTCAGCACCCCTGCAGCGGGGGAATCACAGCCGACTCCTTGAGGTCCCTCCCGGCAACGGTGCCCACTGCCCACTCTGCAGGGGACAGAGTGGAAGCCCCAAGAGGGACGAGAGGCTACAAGCTCTGGGGTGGGGGGTGAGGTCAGCCTGCGCTGGTCTGACCCAGTCCGACTCCTCAGGGCGGCCGGAGCCTGTGGTCGGGAGGCGTGCGGGGCTGTGCCCAGAGCAGCGGGTCGGTCTCTTTGGAGCACTTCCCTTCTGCGCGCGTCCAGCACCCCGGAATTGATTCACAGCCAGTCTGGGTCTGTTTTCTAACCAAGCGCCTTGCTCATGAGGCACGCTGGTGTCCTTTAGAAGGGACCCAAAGCTTAAAGTTGCCTTTGTCAGTTCCCTAAGAACCCACATAAAACTGGCCACGTCCAGGGCCTCTCCTGCCTCCCCGGCACGAAGCGGTGCGGAGCAGCAAGGCCAGCCTGGCCTCCGCAGGGAAAGCTCTGCCTCCAGCCTGGTCGAGGCCCTCCCCTCAGCAGAGGCAACCCTAACAGACTCCCTTTCCCAGGAGCTGACGGGCGAGTGCCTTAGAGCCCTGTTCTCAGAGCCAGGCAGGCCGCTGCGGAGGCTGTAGGGACCAAACAAAGTCAGGTCTGTGAAATGCTCGGCGCGGGGGCGCGGGGCCCGCAGGGAGTCCGGGTTCTCTACGTGTCCTCCCTCTGGCTTTCCTCATCCCTTCCCTTCCTTCCTCCTCCCTCTCTCCTTCTTTCTCCTCCTCCTCCTCTTGTTCTTCTTCTTCCTCCTTCCTGCTCCTCCTTCCTCCTCCTCTTCCTCCTCCTCCTCCTCTTTCTTCTTCCCCTTCTTCTTCTTCCTCCCTCTCCTCCTCCCCCCCCCTTCTTCTTCTTTCTCCTTCCTCGACACCACAACACAAAGCAGAATGAAATTCGTGCCATAGAGAAGTCCCGGCAAAATGCTGCCAGACCTGAAGAAATGGGGACTGCTTCCGCCTGGATGGCAGGGCTGGGGACAATTATTGGAGGAGAGAGCAGGTGGCCTGCAGGGCTGGTGAAGGGTAAGAGGGACTTGTAAGAGCAGAGGTGGACCATGGCAGCCAGGGTGCACCCTCCCCTGCCGGGGCGTCGTGGAACCTGAAGGTCAGCTGGAGGATGTGACACTTCAGGACGGTGTTGTGGGTCCCAAGAAATGCTCTGGAGCAGAGGCCGATGGCAGGATGAGGCCGGCAGCAAGGACAAAGTGCAGGAGTAGAAGAGGTTAGAAGGTGGCGAGGCTGGGCTAAGTGGGCCAGGGGAGGAGCCATGGGAGATTCCAGGGTTCCCAGCAAGGGGGCAGGGCAGGCGGGGGCCTGGCACCTCCAGGAGAGGCAGGAGAGGACCGGCAGGTCTGGGGAAATGGGCGCTGGCGTGGATTGACGGAGAGTCCTGTGTGCTGAGCACTGCGGAGGCATGACTCACCCCTGATCCCCGAGGGGCAGACCGGGACTCAGGCCCAGATCTCATTGACACTGAGGCTTGCACCTCTGGCCACCAGCCTGCTGTCCCTGCACTGGGAGAAGTGGAGCCCCAGGCCCCTCACTTGGTACCCACGGGCTATTCAGGCCTGGCTCCCACTGCTGCTGTCTCCCCTGGCGGGGATGCATACAAGGCTGGACTCTCGGCCTTTCCTGGGGCCTGAGCTAGTCCATGTCCTAGGAAGAGATGACCGTGGCCTCCGTTTTAACAAACACAGACTAGACCAGTTGTCCCCTGGCTGTCATGTCCTAACCCTCCCAGTGGGTGGTGGGACAGCACAACCCCTGGCCCTGAGCTGTAAGGGGAGGGGAGGCCCGCAGGGAGGTCGCCCATTGGGGAGGCCGCCACCACCCCAGGGAGGCCTGTTCAAGTAGGTCGCAGTGATGATTTCCGGTGGCAGGTCGCAACAGGCTGCGCTGGCTGTGAGAAATGAAGGAAAAATGTGCCCAGATAAGTAGAAGCGGTTCCTGGTGGCTTGGCAACCTCAGAGGCTGCCTGGCTGTCTGGTTAACCCCTTCCCTCCCGAAGTGTGGCCCAGAACACACGTGGGACTTCCAGGTCACCCTGCACCCCTGGGAAGCCAGGCACACTTGGTCCCCCTGAGTTCACTCCATGCAGAGTGGAAACGATGTTGCCTGTCCCCCAGTAGTGGAGGCCAGTAGGAGCTGGGATGGCGTGCACAGCCCTCAGCCCAGCGCAGACAGGAAGAGCACGGGCAGGCTCCGTGGGGGCTCACAGCTCCCCAGGCACAGTGAGGGTGGAGGGGACCTTCAGGAGGGGTCAGACTATGGCCAAAACATCACCCGGCAGACCCCACAGAGTCCACTGTGGCCCCTCCTTCCTGAGCCGGCCCTGCTGCTCCACCCCGGCGGCTGGAGCTGCTCATTACCGCCGCCTCCACAGTGCCCTCCAGGAAAACCCACAGGGCCTCGCCCCACAGAGTGCTTCTGTGCCCGGGACCTCCCCGGCCCCTTTAGGAGTCTTTCTGATCTGCCGTCTTAGAAGCGCTCCCAGGAAGGTGTGGTCTTCAGGGCGCCCCCCCTGAGCCACCCCTTCCCACAAACACGTTTCCTGGGAGCTGAGGTTTGGGCCACGCAGGGAATTCTGACCAGGGAGACTTGGCTAAGTGTTCCCACCCGGCGCCTGTCTCCCAGCCAGACCCGGCCAGACGCTCTCATCAGCACCTCCTTCCCGTACTGGGGCCCCAGGGAGAAAGCTCTAAGCTACTGCCCAGCTGGCTCCAAAAGGGGTCCAGAAATCACTTTGAGGGTGACCCTGGGGCTGCTCCCTGCATACCCACATACCCCCCCCCATTTCCGACGAGCAGCACCTGCCCTGGGCACTCCCCAGCTTGCCCTCCTTCTCCTCGGCAGATGGGGCTTCCTGCTGATTCTTCCTGCAGGACAGTCAGGTGTGTGAGGGCGGGCCCTCCAGCCTGGGCACCTCCTCATGCGGCTCCCTTGGTGAGCCGCCATCACACAGAAGGCGGGTAGAGGGAAGAAGGCAGTGGACTTGGTGGTCCTGACCCTTGTAAACCTGAGGACAGGAAGTGAGCAGCGCTGTGCTGAGCTGGTGCCTCTGGGAAATGCTGGGCTCCCTGGGGCCTTGACTGTCCTGTTGGTGGCCAACTCCCTTGGCGTGTGGTCCTGTGCAGTACACGTCTATCAAACGACTGCAGACATGAATGAATGAATGAATGAATGAACGCTTTAGCCTGACTTCATACCACATAGGTAAGTTTCAGGATGTTAGCACAGCTAAAAAGCAATAGGGCAAATTACAAAACAAAAAAAGAAAGCCAAAAAAATACAAAACTGTCATGAGCACGCCTGGCCTCGTAGCAACCCACCAATGGGACTGGAAGAGTCACGTGAACACACACCCATTTGCTGGCTTTAGCTCATGTCCTGGCTGTACAGGACTTGCCTCTGTTTCGCAGCCATATTGCTGTTTAATTTATTCAGGGAGAATTCACATAGCATAAAACTGAGCACTCTAAAGTGAGCAATCCCTGGCACTTAGTGCACTCACAGTGTCATACAACCAGCCTCACCCTCTAGCTCCAAAACACCCCTTCTCACCCGAGTAAAACCCTGGCCCCATGAAACAGTGTCTCCCCAGCCCTTACAGCCACCAGTCTGTCTCTGTGGATTCACTTGTTCTGATATAAAATGGGTGGTACCATATGTGGCCTCTCCACCTGCCATCTTTCACTCAGCACCGTGTTTGAAGGGTGTATCCACATGGTAGCCCGTATCAGAACTTCATTCCTTTTTATGGCTGAATAATATCCCATTGTAGGGGGAGACCACATTTTGTGAGTCCATTGATCTGTGGATGGGCATGGGGGCTATTTCCTCTTTCGGTCCTGTGGATAGTGCTGCTATGCAAATACACAGGTGTACATGTAGTCATTGGAGTCCCAATTCTTTGTACCATCAACAGTTTTTCATCGTTTATAAAACATTAGATCTGTAGAATGTCTACCTCAACCTCCCTCCGTTTCCAGGCATGACTTGACCAAGGGCACAGAGGGTCAGGAATGGCAGGGGCAGGCCTTGGACCAGGTCTTCTGACCACATCCTCCACTGCCACGAGGATGAAGGTCCCCGTGGAAGGAAACGGAGGGTGTGACCCACTCGCCTTAGCAGGTTAGGCAACACCCACCGGGCCAGGCCGCAGGCAGTGCTGTTGAAGGCGGGGCCCCATCGCCTCCCACCACCCACTAAGGTCACAGGAGGCAGCCAGGCTTGCCCACACATGGGGGCAGCTAGAGGAAACCTGGTTAGGGCTTCAGAGAGGGGTCAAGGTTGAAGCCATCTGAGGGGTCAGAGGCAGGAGGCAAAGGGGCCTCTGCTTCCTTCAGCGGCGAATCCAGAGTCTGGGTGCATGGAGGCGAGCAAGAGGAACAGGCTCGTTAGAGAAGCCCCACCCAGTTACTCAGCACCTGGTAAACATCGATTATTCCCACTCCGGGCTAAAGGAAAGAGAAGGAAAATTCCCTGGTAATGCCACCTCCCCAAGCAGCCACCATGAGCCTTTGAGGGTTTGTGTGCATGGAAAGAGAAATCTGGTGTGGATGATTGTACGTCAGTGGATCAGCTCTAAATCAATGGAGCGGGTTTTATGGTATCCCCTTGGTTTCACATCAACTAGGAGGTCACTTGTGCACCTGGGACATCACCTTTTCTCCTCCATGAAAGCTGTGAAATTCTCAACACCTAGTCCAGCAGCTGGCATGTAGGGGGTATAGAAAAAATGCTTGTTGTAGGAACTAATGCTGAAACCCAAAGCGGCCCTCGTAGAAAGTAAAAGCAGATGCCCTTGATGCCTGTCATTCTAGGATCCCTCGGAGAGAAGGCACGCCCACCACTTCCCCACACCTCCCCCAGCCCCTGGCTCACTCATGTTCTGAGCCCTTTTGGACTCTCCTGCCGGCAAAAACAAGTTTAGGCAGCATTTTCGCCTCTGTCCTGTTAATATCTCAGTGGATATCTTAACTACAGAATAGACATAACCTCATTATAACAAATTAACTCAACTCAGCAACTAGAAGGGACAGTTCCCGTTTAAAGGTAACTAATGCTGAATATACCACAAAGAGATAGAAGATGGATACATGAACAGGAAGTTGAGATTTGACGGACAAAATTAAAAGGAGTTCTAGATTGAAAATCACTTTCCTTAGAATGTTGACAGCATTGTTCTCTTGCCTTCAAGCTTCCGTTTTTATTGTCTGTGTCTCACCAAATCAGTAAATGCACACAGTGCAAAAAGTGAAAAACTCCGGGCAAGAAAACACAACGCATGAAGCCCTGCTCTCCCACCTGCTCATCCCCTAAATCCAGGTCTCACACCGCAGGCAGTCACACTCCAGTCTTGCAGCACTTTCTTCCAGTATTCTCCCCATCACATGCTTACACTGATGTTTGTTTGAATTTTTGTTTAAGATTTTATGTATTTATTCCCAACTAGGGAAGATGAAGATTTAGGGCTTTCATAACAGCCCCAGCCACACCCACAGCCACCCTATAGAGTTATGTCATCATTTACAATGAAATCAAAATCCACTGTTTGTACATCATTATGATTCAATGTGATTCCACCCAACCCAGGCCTGCTCATTTGGCTGGATGTTGAGTTCTAGCTTGGAGGAGGCATTCTTTGCTGCCAGTTGCATGGACTAAACATGAAAACATTCCTACCGTACAGCTAGAAGTGTTGGATAAAATGTGAGACTCCTTTTAAATAACTAGCTAAACATACAAGAAGAAAGGAGACAAAATCTCCAGGGGCCAAAAGAAGAGGGAAATAAAGCCTGAATAGTGAACATCGGCTGGGCTTAGATTGACTTGGGGATTGCATTAATATTGGCACCCAGGGACCTGGAGTTGAACACTCCAGAGACAGAAGATAAGCTCAGGGGCCCAAGTGAGGCAGGATATTATAAGCAAAATCCTTGAAGGGCCACCCTGAGAGGAAATATTTACCCACCAGCAGAGGAAGATGACCTGAAAGCATATCTATCTCAGTCCATGCCAGGAGAAAAAAAAAAAGAGAAGAGAAGAGAAAGAGAGGAGAGGAGAAGGGAATGCCTCTTAAGAGCTTGTAATGATGGGTCTGTCTTGTTCAGGTTTTGGATTTGAATTTATACTCCCTGCATAGTCCAGGACCCACAGAGCCACAGAATTAGCACAAAAATGATCACAGGCTGGCAAGACAACTGAGAGTCTTGCAAACACAAAATCTCTCAGTAAAGACAGCTTCAGCTCAAGCACAAAAGATTCTCACAGATAGAGTCCTACTGAAAATGAACTCACAATCCAAAATTATAAATCACACAAGGAAACAATCCACCAGCAGACCCAACAATCAGAGGAATTGGATCCCTAAGAACCCTAGGTAATAGGATTATCAGATGATGGCTTTTAACAGGTATGTTTACAATGATTACAGATATAAAACAAGGAAATGAGCACAAGATGCTACCAAGAAAACAAGGCAGATTCAGAAAGAATGGAGTAGAACATTGGGAAATGGAAAGTATAGTGAGTGAAATAAAAATCTCAGTGGATATCTTAACTATAGAATAGATATAACCTCATTATAACAAAGTTAGCTCAACTCAGCAACTAGAATGAGCAGTTCCCATTTAAAGGTAACTTATGCAGAATATAGCACAACAGATAGAAAAATGGAAATATGAACAGGAAGTTGAGATTTGAAGGACAAAATTGAAAGTTCTAAATTGAAAATCACTTTCCTTAAAATGTTGACAGCATTGTTCTCTTGCCTTCAAGCTTCCCTTTCTGTTGTCTAGAAGTCTGACGCATCTGATATCTGATTTAGCATCTTCTTGCACTCCACCTGAAAGCATTTAGGATCACCTCTCCAGCTCCATCCTAGAGTCACCTCCCCATCCCTGTCCTGGCATCACCACCCCATCCCCAACCTGGCATCCTTCCATGCTGGGCTTGCAATGGCTATTCTCCTAGCCATCACTCTAAGCACTTGCTGAGCCCTCTTTATGTGAGATTCCTGTACTTTAGTTTGGAAACATTTTCTTCTTTTTCTTTTTTTGAAACTCCTATTATTGGGATGATGGGCCTCCTGGAATAATTCTCTAATTTTCTTTCCTTTCCTCTCCTATGTTCCACTTCTTTGTCTATTTGTTCTTCTTTCTCTGATAAATTCTTTGCTTTGCTTTCTTAGACTTATTTTCCACTTTTGAGAGTTTTATTTTTCTCATCACATTAAAAAAATTTCATTTCTGTTCTCTAAATATTTACACACACACACACACACACACACACACTCCTGAGCCGGTGTTCATTAAAATGTATGTTCTGAGACATTATAGATTTTGAAAAAGTCTTCTTCTGATCCATACTTTGTTTTCTCTGCTTTTTTAATCTGCTTGTTGGATTGGTTAGGATGGTCGTGTCTTTGTCTTTCACGTTAGGGCTTTCTTTGTTCTAGTGGGATCTCTGTTCGTTTTTCAGATGTCAGTTAGCAACAGATATTTGGAAGCTCTGTGTGTGTGGGAGAGCTTATCACTGGGTGACTGTCACTGCAGCATGATGGAGGGAACTTCTAAATGTCAGGTCTGCAGATCTTTTCCTGCTTGGAGGTGCTGAGAGAAGGGAGAGAGCCTGGAGGGGTGGAGGTGGGGTGCAGGTCACGTCTTAAGTACATAGAGTCTACCCGATTTCCTCCTGCTGAGTTGCTTCCCCCAGCCCCACTCTGGATATGCCTGGAGTTGTGGGGTTCAGGCACATCTGGTTCAAACTTGTCCTGTCTGCTGATGGAGTGGAGAGTGGGAGGCCATCTGGGTGTCTACCTGCTCCTGGTGAGGGCGCTCAGGTAGTCCTCTTCTGTCCCACTCTTCTCTCTGTCCTTCAGAGTCTGGTGCCTCCACCCCTAAAGATTGACATTATTGTTGGTAGATTGAATGGACGTAACATTATTCTGTCTAATGAGTATACATTTTCTAAATGCTTGTTTAGCTCATTGTGGTCTAGGAACAAATGGTTTTCAGAGCCACACGGCCCACAGACAGACTCACCACCTCCCGATGTGGTCTCCACCAGGCCAGTGGCTGGCCTATAAGTGACAACATCCAGCCACAGCCTCATTAGGGCACCAGGTGGGCTTGTCAGGTCGCACACCTTGGCTGATCGGCAAATGAAGGGAAACGCCAGCACATCTCCGTCCACCATTATCGTGAGAGGGCACTTTCCAGCTCTTCTTTGGGGACACATCCCTCCGCACCTTCCCTCCCTTCCTCCTCCTCCATGCACCCCTTCCCGTTCACCGTGAAGAGACCAGCTGGGCTGGCTCCTCAGCAGACCCCTCCTCAGGAGGTCTGGTCTGGCTTCACTGAGCCCACAAAGGTGATGGGTTTGGCTGTGTGCCAGCACGCGGCCATGCCCTCCCCTGGTCTCCAGCATCATCCCACTTATAAAGAGTCATTCCTTGAAGGCAAAGATGGGGTCCCACATCACCCAGTGTCCTTCCCCGCACCAGCCAAGGTCACCCTCGAAGAGCAAGTTCTTCCCCACAGCCACCAGGAAAGATGGAAAGGAAAAGGAGAGGCTCTGCCTGAGTTCCACAGCCCAGGAGGAGGCCACCCTGTCCTTTCTCCTGGAGCAAGGGCAGCCTCCCCACCGGCCCCACCTGCAGAGCTGCCGGGTGCCACCTCCCTGAGTCTAGTTTTTCCAGTAGCACCACTGGGACCAGGAAGTGATGTAAGGAGGAAGGAAGACACCTCAGGGAGGCCAGCTTCCTCTGGGTTGCCTCAGAGGGGCTGAGGTTGCTGAAACCTCCAGGCTCCATTCCAAGGGGTGAGGTCCGCCCAAACATGACAACGTAAAGGGAGGTCCTCCCCGACCCTCAAGTCCCACTCTCTGGGGCCAGCCCTGCTCACGCTTTGGGGAGCACCTTTCTGAAGAGCTCCACACAGCTGTACATTGATACTGTCGAGTTTACATCGTGTTGTGCAGAGAAATGAGAAGTCGAGAATTCATCCTGCTCCACCGGCTTCCTCACCTTCTCTTGCATTTTCTTTTTAATCTAGCATCCAATGCATTTTTTTTTTTAATTTAAGCTTCCTTCCTTTGTGTGCTAACATTTTACATGTAGATCCTAGCACATTTCTTTAGGCAAGGAAACAGACCCTTTGTTGAGCACCGTCATCGTGGCCACTGCAGTTGCCTGGGAGGCTCCGGAAGGTTTTTTGACTCCTGAAGCCAGCTGAGGCAGCCACCTGAGCAAGGGGGTTGTTCATCCCAGGGCTCACCCTCATTCAGGGCCATGACCTTTTCTAGTAAGTGTGCACTCTCTTAGGTCCCACCCTGTGTCACCCGGACTCTCTTGGAGTTCGGTATGTGGAGATGACTTTCTTCCTCACTCTGGATGCAATTTGGGAACTACACCGAGGATTGTGGCCAGGGGCTCTTCCCTCACCTCTGACGGATCCAGTAGGTGGTCCCAGATTCTCACTCTGACCCACCCACTATGACTTCAAAGCTGCTGTGCACAGTTACCACTGCTGGGCAGACCTTCCAGAATCTTCCAGAACATCCCATGATTCAGAGGGAAGACACCCTGGATGAGGGAGTCCTCCATTTTTCCGAGCAAATGCACGTGTTCTACACACAACTCCAGGTCATTCTCCAGTGGTACCTGAGCCCTCCATAGGGCCCCTGTGAGGGATCCTGGGTGGGGACTTCTGTGACTGTGACAGCTGGCCTCTGGGCCACCTTTTCCAGAAACAGCATTCCTGATTCTCCCTTGGGAAACCATCACCTCCACATTCAGGGTGGCGTCTGCCAGCCTGGCCCAGCCCGGGCTGTGGGAACACTCCCTCCCCGGGCTGACATGCTTGGTTTTGAGGATGGGCGCAACCTGCTGTGGGGCCACCACACTGCATCCACTCTGAGACGCCATGAATTCTAATCCTAAATGTACCATTGTCCTGATCACCTCCAAAATAGGAAAAAATGCTGCCAATGACAATTGTAAGAGGCCATTGACTCCCTCATAGCTGTTAGAATGCAGAAAAAATAGCATCTAAGGAACTACGAATGATTTTTAATCTGGGGCTTGGGAAAGGGGAACTATTGGGAGAAAGAAGTTCTCTTTGCACTGAGATCCTCAGGCCATTTAACCTTGGAGACAAGAAGACAGGGATATATTTTGCAAAGGACTTGCCCATTACTAAAGGTGACACAGGGGAAAGGAGACACTAAACATCTGGATCCAGCCATTTCTGACACTGGATTTCATGAAGCAGTACTTCTTCTTCTTCTTCTTCTTCTTCTTCTTCTTCTTATTATTATTATTATTATTATTATTATTATTAATATTTGTCTGCAGGGCCTAAAGCAGTGACTAGCACCATTCCTGGAACAGACTGGCCACCTGGTGCCTCCTTACTCTGCAGTAAACATTGGTGCCGCTGCCCTCCTGAACATCAAAGTCCGTGGACAGGTGCAGAGAAGGCCAGAGCCCAGGCACCTGAGAACAGGGCCCCGTTGCCTTGTGCAGTGGAGTTCTGAACTCCTGACCTCATGCAACAATTAGTTATGAAAGAAGGGAGAAGCAGGGATTGGGAGAAGAAAGGGAAGAAAGAAGGACAAAATGAGGGAGGGAGGAAAATTTGTTCAGGGTTGATAGTCTAAGATGTCAACCTGGCATCCAAAATGTCAGCTTTGGGGCAGGGATTCCGTCCTCCAAATGTCACCTTGTGCCAGTGCCTGCCCCTCCCTCTGCAGTGCCAGTAGGAGGCCTTCACACACTACACCCACTCTTTTGAAATGAACAGACCAGCTAACCTTGGCACTGTGGATGATCCTGGTAAACAAAGTCCCCTGAGTACTGGGGTCAGTCAGGTTCAAGGGCCTGGGAGAAGATGGCAACTCCTGGTTCAATAGCCTGGGAGTGGAGCACTCTGGGTAAACCAGTTGTTTGCCAAGGAAGCCCTCAGGTACACAGGTCCCTCTGCTGTCAGGCGTCCTGGTGAAGCACCAAGAGGTTGACTGGCCACTGCCCTCCACTCAAGAGGGACTTCAGAAGAACCCTGAAGTGAGGCCCAAAATGTCCTAAGATTTGTAGGACAGTGTACTGAAACCACAGATCCAGAAGACATGCCAATCATGGGTCAGGTGTTCCCCATCTGCTCTCTGAGAGTGTGGCTTCAGGTGTGGGTCTAGGTTGAGTGCTGACAATGAAATCTTGGTGCATCTGAGCCCAGCAGGCTGTTTCTGACTTGGCTGGAGCTGAGGATGGAGGAGCACGGGAAGAAAGTATCCCAAGGACAGTTTTCTGAGCCAGTGTCATGGAGGTGTGAATGAAGCGGGGCAGAGCGGGAAACCCGGGCGGAGTGCTCCACTACTCCTCTTTGGCTGGTCCCTGAACTGGATATCCTGGTCAGTAATGAGGGGATGTTTGGCCCCATACCCCCCGGTCCTGACCTCATCCCCTGGCCACTGGGAGGGCTGCAGTGAGCTAGATGGTCTGGGGGCCTGGATGTCAGGGCATGCGGACCTGTCTTGCACCTTGGTTTGCTCCAGCCGGGGAGAACCACTTTTCTTCTAGAACCTACCATCTCCACATCTCACAGCTGATGAAGGCAGGCTGGAATCATCTCTCTGACATTGCTCAGGGCTGGGGTTCTGGAGGGAATAGCCAGGGGTGTACTAAAAGACCCTTGGCCCCAGAACAACTGCAGAGCATGTGAAGCATAAGACCCACTTTTGTTTCCTCCCAGGAACAAAGGGGCAGACTTTTCCTAAAGTGGAGGATATAAAAATGCATTCAATCCTCAAACCAGAAGATGCTCCTGAACGAAAAAACACAGAATAGAGATCAGAGGGGAAGGAAAATGCCTGAATTTTCTGAGAAATTAAGAAGAAAAATGGGAGGCTTGTTAAATTATCACTATTTCAAGACAGGCAAGGAAATAATGTAGGTTCCTAAATGAAAAAAAAAAAGTTAAGCTAAATGATAGTCTTAGTAAGAAACAGTTCCTAGGCATTGCTACCTAGCATAAAAATCTTTAAGGGTGAGTCACCATTCTGCAGGGCCAGGGAGACCCACTGACAGGGTCACTAGGCACGGCGCAGCCAAGAAGGCCACCAGTGTTGTCAGGGAGATCATCACACACCAAGATTGACCTCGTGTGTGTGTTGAGGATGATGGGAATGGCTCCCACAGCCAGAGAAAGGAGATACAAATACAGACCAGCAAGAGTGACCCCTGGGATGCTGGGCTGTAACCGAAGGCATGGATGTGAAATCATAGTTTCTAGTAAGACACAGAAACGTGTATGTGATATTCACATAGGTTGCATGCAGCTTCCTACGTCTGTCTGCTGAGGGCCTAGAAGCAATGACAGCCCAGTAACAATGAGCACCTCCAGCACCCACATCTTGGCGTCTAAGAACCATTCTCCACTCAGAGAAACGGTTTCCTTGGAGAAATGGCTTCTTCCAAGGCTGGGGAAATAAGTACAAGGTGGGCCTGGAACTGTGTCAGAAAGCAAGGAATCACTCAGAGAAAGATGGGAGGTGAGGGGGCACAGGAGCCTGCGTAGAGGTGCCCAAACCGGCCAAATCAGGGCTAACCTGACCATCAAAATAATCAGAATATCCCATCAATTAAACAGGGATCCAAGACTGCATATTGATGTAAATAAACAAAAGTGGGAGGGGAAAAAGCCCTCCTTGGTACACAGTATCATGTCTGTGGTATTTCTGCCAAAAATGCGTAACCTAAACCATATCTTGAGGAAAATTAGATAAACCTAAACTGAGGACATTCCACCAAATAACTGGCCATACTTCCCAAAAGGTCTGAATGAACCCATGAAGGAGCTCCATGTCATAAGTTAATTCAAAGTCAGAAAAGAGAAGACTGAGGAACTGACGATTGATAAAAACGGAAGCCACATGGCTATTGAACACCATGGGGTCCCAGGCCAGAGAGTGAAAAAAAAAAGAGGTGCTGCTTGCGTGTTTTTCAACTTTCTTCTTCTATAAAGGACAGTTTTGAGACAATCAGCAAAATTTGAAGAGAATTTGCAGATTTGATGGTAATATCCTACCAATGTTAATTTCCTGAATGTGATGGGTAAATTGTGGGTGATGCAGGAGAAACTCTTGTTTTTAGGAAATGTACAGGCAAGTATTTAGGAGTAACAGGGCACACTGTCTGCAACCTACTCTCGAACAGGTAGGTAGGTGGATGAGAAAGGCAAATACAATCAAATATAAGCAAACAGGGAATCTAGCTGAAGGGTTACCAGAGTTCTATGTACTACTCCTGTCACTTTTCTGTAATCTGAAATTATTTCAAAATACAGAACGTAAGAACTATAACATTTCAATAAAAACTTCAGTGTTGGGAGCTTCCATCAAGACACACTTCTCTCCCCCACCTGATCACCCGTGTGCGGAGGGACCCAGGCAGAGGACGACGCCCGGCTCCACCCTCTGCTTTCTCGGGGTCCCGCGGCCTGGGTTAATTGAGGACACAGGGGCCCTTCCAGAAGGCCATCTGCAAGCTTCCGTCACTGCCTCAAGCCTTTGGTTTTCAGAAACCAGATTACTCGAGCTCGTTGATAAGAAAAAGCAGTCTCAACCAGCTTCAAAAAAGTAGGCAAGTACTTTGCTTTATTGACATCAAATGGAACTTCTTGTCCCTCACGCAGTCCACACAACAGTAAAGGCACAATGAGGCATATTAAAACATAGCCAGTTTCAACAGCTTGGATATTTCCTGCCATGGAAAAGTATCCTGCCCACAGATTCACATTAACATACATGGTACATTAATATCAATCTCTATCATATACCAGGCCACGGTACATGTTTGCACGCAGGGTCACGTTCTGCAACAAACTTATTCTAATAACAGTATTCAGAAGGCACCCTATGGGACACAGGTGACAGTGAAGTTACGAGGCTAGATGGCCACATCTTTTACATCCAAGAACCGCCCTGGGGCCACACCCCAAACTGCTGAGGTGCGGAGGCACGTCTGCAAAGCAGGTCAGAAACACTCCCCCCATACCCCAAAACACTATCCCTATCCCAAATCACCTAACAAAAATGAGAGCTGGGAAGGGCGCAGGTGAGCAGTGCATCTACCTAGGTAATACTGTCTATGTCTAGGTAATACTATGTAATTTTATCTTCATACTGCGTGTGGAGATAAAAAACACAGCTTCTCCTGCACCTCTTCCCCAAGACTGGTGCACTCCAGCGACCTGAGGGGGCTCGCCTCAGTCCCCAGCACTGAGGTTACAAAGGGAGAATTTTTTAATGACTTAGGCCTGTGGCTCTAGAGTTGCCAAAACATCTTAGGCAACGAGAAACGAACGGCAGCTAGTACCATGTGGGCACGTGTGTGTGGTTGTCCACAAGGACTCACCCAAGTAATAGACTGGAATGGTTAAGAGCTGGCCACACATACGCCCCGCAAAGCTGGCTGCTACCATTCGTTCCTTGTTGCATAAAACATTGTTTTCAAAGCCAACCCCACTACTTAGTCATCATTTAGAGACTAGACTATCCAATGTTATGAACATTTTTAACAGGTTTCAAGCAACAGCTGATAAGGTATTCATCTCTTAAGATATTTTATAAAACAATTCCATGGAAACTTTAAGACAGGCCTCTCTGCCCACCGTCATGTATGAAGATAAAAAACACAGTTTCCCCTGCACCTCCCTCAAGACTGGTGAGCTCCAGCAACCCAAGGTGGCTCGCCTCAGGAGAGAGTGGATGCTTCCACGCCTGGGGCTTCATCACTGAGAGACCAGCCTCAGCGACCCATTAGGAGCACAACGAAATGATTCTGACCCACGGTCCCTTCAGACAGCAGGTGCCTAGATCGATGATGGAGCGGGCATGTGCACCTGAGCCAGCTTCACCTGGAGGGGACACTCCGGTCAGCAGCAGCCGCCTCCTGATGGCACCATGTCACCTCTGCTTGGTTAACATTTAGGTAAGCCACAACAGGGCCCCACGCAGGATCGTTCCATCCCCACGAGGAACACAGGACAGGACAAGAGCCCCACGTGGACCCCCGGTCTCCGCAGGCAGCCAGCTAGGTCTTGCTTCGCCGCAGGAGCGTGGCGGCGGGGCCATGGCCGCCCTGGAACTTGAGGCTCTGCAGGTTGATGTGGGCCCCATGCCTGAGCAGAGTCTCCACCGTCTGTGCGTGCCGGCCCTGGGCGGCCAGGTGCAGCGCGCTGAGCCCCTGCTCGTCGAACAGGTCAATGACATCGGCGCTGACCAACTCCTCCACCACCTCCGAGTGCCCGTGGGCGGCAGCCAGGTGCAGCGCCGTCTGGTTCAGGGGTCCCCGGGCCAGCACATCGGCCTTCTCCTCGACAAGCAGCTTGACAGTGGCCAGGTGTCCGTTGCGGGCAGCCAGGTGCAGAGCGGTGTAGCCGTCTGAGGTCATGGCCTCCTTGCCAGCGCCCCGATGCAGGAGCAGCCTGGCAGTGCTCGTGTGCCCCGTCTCCGCGGCCACGTGCAGGGGTGTCTGTGCCAGCAGGCTGCAGACGTTGACGTCGGAGCACAGGTCGATGAGGATGCGGGCCACGCGGTAGTGCCCGCGCTGTGCGGCCAGGTGCAATGGCGTCCTCCCATCCAGCGTCTGGGCGTTCACACTCACCCCCGGCTGCTTGGCCAGCAGCTTGACGATGGGCAGGTGGCCCTGCCAGGCAGCGTAGTGCAGTGGCAGCCAGGCATCCTTGCCCTGCAGGCTCACGTCCACGCCTCGGCGCAGCAGGATGCGCACGATATTCTCCTGCCCGTGCTGGCAGGCCACGTGCATGGGCGTCCGGCCCTCAAAGTCCACCTCGTTGACCGAGGCGTTCTTCTCCAACAGCAGCCGTGTGCTAGACTCGTCCCCGTTCTGGGCTGCAAAGTGGAGGGCTGTCCACTGGTCCTCATCCTTGGCGTTGACACTGATCTTCCGCGCCAGCAGGAGCTCCACGACACCCCGCACCCTCCTCTCCACGGCCATGTGCAACGGGGTGGAGCCCCTACGGTTGCTCAGGTTGGGGTTGGCATTGTTGAGCAGCAGCCACTTGGCGCACTCCTCTTGCCCGGCCTCCACCGCCAGGTGCAGCAGGCTGGCACCGCTGTCCAGTGCCAGGTCCACGTCCTGCGGCTGCAGGATCTTCATCAGTTTGCTGGTGTCCCCGGACACGATGGCATCCACAAGCTTCTTCTTCTGGACGTCTGTGGTGCCCAGATCTGCAGGGAGAGGAGAGGCAAAGGTCAGAGCGTGGCTGCACATCCAGGGACGTGGCGTCTCTGGGAGCCTGGCTGTGGCGCTCAGGTGGAGGAGTGCCATGGCCTCCAGGCTGCTCGCTGGTCACCCGACTGTGTTTGAGCGTTGTCTGTGCCTCGTGATTAAGGTCAGTCCTAGCGGGAGCCCCGGGGCAGGCTGGCGAATGTCTCCCAGGTGCTCGTTAGTCGGTTTGCAAAATAAAACCCGCTCTCCCTGTCCTGCGGGGTGGTGAGCCCCCTTGGTGCTTAGAGATGGCAGTGACTGCAAACATCCCTTCATTAAAGAAAGAAGGAAAAAGGGCACAGACTAAAAAGACCAGGCCAGAGCTCCCATTCGCCTGGAAGCCTTGGCACCTGCCACCCACGGACGCCCCAGGCCTAGCAGCCTGCAGAGATGGTGACTAGAGCTGGAAGGGGCTGCTCCAGCTCTTGCCCCACCTCGAAGTGGCACCTCCTGACCTGGGGAGGTTAAGTCGGAAGTTTTCTATGATAATCCTGAAGGGACCGAGCTTCTCGTTTCAGGAGGACGTTAGTCCAGCACTCAGGATGAAAAGTTGTATTTACCACAAAAATCCTACCGTAGTGCCTGGAATGCTGAAACCCTGCAACGAGACTCTCCTCCGCCCTCATGTGAAACGCGTGGGGACTTGGAAGTCGGCGGTGGGAAGGTGTTAAGAAAACGGAACCCTCCCAGTCAGGCTTGGTGTCTGAACACTGGCACTCCAAGTGGAGCCAGTGAAGTAATTCTCTCTCGAGCATGAAGACAAGATGTCATTTCAGAGTATTAGACCCAAAGAGAATGTTCTAGAACGTACTTATCCATGGGAGATGGTGGTATTTCTTTCTGCTCAGTCTTAGACTTTGCCCTGACTCTCCTCCTCAAGCCCATCACCCACTGCTTATCTGCCGTCGAACCAGGTCTTCCCCACTGTGTCTATGTAGCATTGCCTTAAAACAAGACAGCCTCCTTTGCCCCCAATATTCTAATCTAAAAATCCCGGGAAGTCTGTAAGATCCAGGAAAAGTCTTTGCCTCCAAGAGGATGTTTCCAATCCACCAGGAAAAGCCAACTTCCCCTTCCCCCGAGATTGCAGCCTTGGCCCTCAGCCCCCGTGGCTGTAGCCCTGAGTGTAAATCCCTGTATTTTCCATCAGAGCTGCAGCCCCTTCAGGAACAGGGCAGGACCACATCTTACCCCTGCAGCCGGCAGAAAGGAGGCCAGAACAAGCACCAGGTCCAGCACCCTGGGGCAGGGATAGGAAAAAAAGCACCTTCCAGAAACAAAAGCCATCAAAATTAACATAAAAAGATGAGATTAGCTAAAAGAGAAGTGCTCCTCCCTATCAGGTGGTTTGCAAAGGTGGCCTGGTGGTAAAACCTCCAAGGATAACCAACACATTACTAGGCCTGGACTACCGTGAACGGGGAGCCCACATATGCGAAGGCGTGGGTGTGTACCCAGCAGCGTCTGAGCAGAGGGTGCGGGACTGCCACGCCCGAGACAGGAGGCCCGCCAGGGAGTGGGGCTCGGCTACTCGCCAGGCTCACTGCACTGGAGGGGGTTTCCAATCTGTAGACCTGAGGTCAGCCTCCACCCATGGCACTGGCACAGGCAAGACTGCTGCACAGACTGGTGATGTGGCCTGTTCCCCACACATGCTAAGTGACATAAGACGGAGCCAAATGCCCAACACACAAAATTAATTACTTAAGACAGAGAGAACACAAAGAAGAATTCTTGCTGGGTCAAGAAACTGTCCCCTTGATTCCGTTTAGCTTCTCACTGAGTCCAGTCCACTGTCCCGCCAAGCCCAGCATCTCTCGGGACACAGAGGCGTCCCCACTCACCGCTGGTTGAAGGTTCCCGCTCAAAGGACAGCGACAGTGATCCTCTGGAAGAGAAGGCGGAGTCCACCGAGGACACCCCCGAGAGCCTCTTCCCACTGCCGGACGATGGCAGCTTGGACTCAGAGGAGCTGCGGCTGAGCTCCTCGGGGCCCTCGACAGCCTGGGAAACTCCAGAGTCCAGCTGTGAGAGCAGCTCGGAGAGGCTGTAGTCGTTATCGAAGGTGGGGGCAGAGGCCCGCTTGAGCCTCGCAGGCACCACCTGCGAAGATGCAGAAGAGGGGGTGGGTGAAGACCCTGCCATAGACCGCATGGCCCGCCCATGACACAAACACAGAAGAGCAAGGTGGGCCACGGGAGGGAGATGGGGGAGGAAAGGACGGACCCTGGAAGCAATGCAGATAACCTATTGGTCACCGAGCTCAGACCCCGCATCGGCACAGCACTAGGGAGCTCAGACGCCATGTCCACACAGCGCCGCGGAGCTCAGACCCCGCGCCCGCACAGTGCCGGGCAGCTCAGACCCTGCACCCGCACAGCACTTGGGATGCTCAGACTCTGCACCCGCACAGCGCCAGGGAGCTCAAAGACTTGGAGCTACAAAGACTTGCGCTGGCCCCACCCAGCACGGAGACATCTTAAGGAAAGATAGCCTTCATAAAAGTGCAAAATCCAGCCTCATGCAGCTCTGGATACCATCTGCTCAGTAACACTGCACAGAGCGTCACCCAGACAAAAGGCAGGCGGTGTCAAGCTGCAGAATGTGAGGCATGTATGGCGGGACACAGCTGCCCAGCACAGGCCAGCGTTGGCAGGAAACGAGAGGACAGACAGGAACTGGGCAGGACCCCCACACGTGGCCACAACTGCGACCTCCCCGCGGAGCCACGTGGGGCTGGCCTGGGGGCTGTGTGGGGACGAGGGAAAGGGGAAGGACCCGGCTACAGGGACGAGGGGTGATCCAATCCGACATACACCGATGGGGCCTTTTAAAGAGTCTCGCTTCATGGACTGCAGGGGCAGCAGGTTTCTGGTGGGTAAGTGGAATCTGACGGGATTTCACGCTTCTTCCCTTAGGCACACCTGTTTGCCCCAACTCCCCACCCTTTGTGGGACGGCTCGAGGTCCCGCACTGTTGCTGGGTGTACCGAGCCACCCCTACATGTTGGTTGCCTTCTTTCCCTTATCAGGGCCCAGGTCTGCCTCTGTACTAGCAACCCCCGGGCACCTTTGCTCCCGGGCTCACTGGCACACATGCACTTTATGTTGAGGCAGTGGGCGCATATTCCTGATATACATATTTCCTGATCTCCTGAGCTCACACCAACAGCCTGGGATTAATCGCCCAACACCAGATAACACGTTATAAAGCTCACTTATCAGCTGGGCCTCACAGGTCTGCTCCAGCCTCATCACCCGAAAAGGCATTTAGCCAGCCCTGCTACTTGGAGCTTCTTATCACATCTGAAATCACCTGGGTGGCACTCATCAGAGTGCAGACCATTTATGGGCAGCTATAAAGGAACTGGATCCCCGAGCCAGGGGTGCAAAGACACTCAGACACCAGCTCTCCCTCCCCGGCCGGGGCTGGGCCTTCTGATCCCCGTGGTCCACACACATCCAATGAGTGGCTATTTAGTGTCAGGGAAGCCCTTCCGCCACTCACGCAGAATCAGACAGGAGGTGGGGCGGGGATGCAGTCGGGCAGGTGGACCTGAGCCCCCATGGGACCTACACTTCTAATGGAGTTGGGTGCGGGATGGGCTCAGAAGAGAGGGAGAGTGGTCCGGGCGGCGGGGGACTCTGCAAAGAGGAGTGGTTTGGAAACTCCTGCCTGGAAGCCGAGGAGACAAAAGACCCCTGTGGGAAGGACTCGTTACCTCGCTCCTGGGCTCCGGGGGGCTTTTCACGTCCAGATCATGAGCAGTTTCTTTCACTTCGTCATCAGGCTTTTCACACAGGTCCTCGGTTTCAGAAGTAATTTCTTGTGGGGAAGAAAGGGGACATGTCACTCGGATGATGACTTCTGCGTACACACGCGTTCCATATAAACGCAGGGCCCCCACGAGCTGGGGGATTTCTCACACGCCTCGGCCCAGCCTGAGCTCACCAGGCAAGCCCAGGGGCCCTACATGGACAATTTGCTGGCCAAACCCAGGCCCCCCCATCGGTAATCATTTGAAGGCCTCACCAGACTCAAGGCGGAAGCCTTCCCCGGGGGAGCGCCACCTGCCAGTCACAGGGAGCAGAGCTGCCAGCACCTGGCGGATGAGCTCCCCATTCAGCCCGTTTCCTGCCGTAAGCTTTAAATGCAGCAGTTTCCATCTCATCAGGGTGACTTTCCTATGCCAGAGACACATCTGTCCCAGGAAGTCAACTCCTCAAGAGAAGGGCGACGCCGCCGGCCACCGGCCAGGTAAGTCCCCGGGAAGAGCATGGCTGCACCTGAACTTCAGGCTCCCATACAGACTCCTCTGGGTGGCAAGCCCAACCCTGGTGGGGAGCAGGGGGCGGATGGTTGGAGGCAACTCAGTTCCAGCTGCCGTGGCCGAGCCGTGAGTACCAGAGGCCGCAGGCAGGTGCTGGGTCCAACCTATCTGTGCAGGGCTCATTTCGGCCCACCTGTTACACGCCTTGTTTCTCACCCAGGCCTGGTCCCTCACCCTGTCCTGTCTGTCACCTCTGTCTCCTGTGACACCCACAGAATGTGGCGGGGAGACCCCGGGGTGCTCACCTTGGAAGGTGGGCCTAACTCGCGGATCCCCCTGCCAGCACCGCTGCATGAGGCGTATCAGGTGGCTGCAGGCGCGCGGCCGGGCTCTGCACACGGGCGGCAGCTCGGGGCGGTGGCCCTTCACCACCTTCACCATGATGTGCAGGATGTTCTTCTCATCTGCCAAGGGAAGGATGCGAGTCAGGGGCTCTGCAGGGCTGGGTGGCAGCATCTCACCCTTGGGAGGAAACGACACACTCGCCGGGGGCCACAATGGGGCCATCCCCACACCACCCCAGGGAGACGGCTCCCCCACTCCGTTTCAAAGGCAGAGCTTCCTGTAACCCTCACCCTCATGGTGCGCCATGCTCTCTAGTTTCCTGGTTTTGAAATCGACCTCTTTCCCTGGGTTCTGATCTACCAGAAGGAGTCAGTGTGTTTGGTCACAGAGCAGATCTTTCTAGGCATCCCATCCAAAGGAAGATGAGGTTCAAAGGAGAACAATATCTTATGAGGCTCATTCCATCAACAGCCCAAGCCAGCAAAGGGAATGAGGCTCACGCACCATGGAGGAGCCACAGCGTCCTACATCCACAGAGACCCAACTCTCTCTACAATGGCGAAGAAGTCTTCCTCAGTTCCAACTCCAATCCCAAGCTCAGGTCCCCAGCTGGCCTCCCCTGCCGGTGCACCAGGGCTGGGATGTGTGGAAGGGCTCTTTCCCCTCAATTCACCATGTGGGGCCGCACCTGTCCTTTCCAACTGCCTTCACTAGCATGCATGGGCTCTAGCTTATTATTATTATTGCCACAACTTCTACCCTGACTGGGAAGGGCCCAGGGTGACATCCAGTGGGCCAAGTTCTTTTTTCTGCTTAGCCTGGAACCCTCAAGGTTCTTGTTCCCAACAGCCCTCTCTGCCCTCCAGATCCAAACACACCCACGCATGGAATGGCAGCTCTTTGGAGAGGCCATGTGCCTCAGCAGGTGTGGAAAATCAGCCGAGAATCACCCACGGCTGCCAGGATTCCATACAATGTTTTGCTCCACTTTCCCATTAAATCTTGTGCAATAAATATCGTTAAGTGTTTAGCAGGCTATTTCCATGATTATTCAGACTTCAAAACCAACAGCTCCTCTAAATAAAATGGAAGCAAACTGAAGTAAACGCCCGGAATGTTTCCTGCTGCCAAGCACAGACTGGAAAAGCTGGGGAGAGGCCTTGTTCTCCTGCACCTTGAACCCCCTCCTACCCATTTTTGCCTGAGGTTGCAATTTTTTGAATTTGAAAAATCAGACCTTGGCGATGACCTTGAACAGTAGGACACGAATAATTCCCATATGATTAGCGTTCCAATAAGGGAACACTAGGCATATTCAGCAATAAAGCACAAGGGCTTGAGCCTTGACCTGTCCCCTGCGCCTAGCTTCGGGTGTCACATCTATCAGACACTGCCTCATTTCACAAGCCTTCGGGCTGTAGGCCACTGTGCGGGAGAACGTACAGAAGGCAAGAAAGGCGACAGGCGGTCAGACAACACAGACGGACACCGGCCAGCAGAGGCCTGGCAGGACGCGTTCTGTGCTTTCTACTGACATTCTTTTAAAGCTGCCAAGATACTTGATCTTGCGATGCTGGAAGATCTCTTCTCACCCCAGCACTTTCCCATACATCGGCTCCTAGTCTGAGCCCCGACTAACAAGGGGCTAGGCCTTGACTCTCATCTTCATTTTTAGACATTTTCGGTCACACCACAAAATATCATGAGTAGCCCAGAAATGTCTTTAGAGGAAAAGGGAATCTGTCCAACAAAGCTAAAAAGTCCTGGATTTTTATGATAAGTAAGTCAAGGTGTGACAACTTTGAGGATGGTGTTCGGAATGGTGGCTGCCTGGCTGGGGAAGCAAACACCACAGCTCTCAAGCTGGGCAGGGGTGCCACTCCTGCAAGCAACTCCATGGCACTGAGCAGCTCTGGAGGTTGGCTGCGCAAGCACGCGGGTACATGTAATGCTCCTGAACTGTATGCTTCACACGGCTGACATGCTAAGTTTTGTTCTGTGTATTTTATGACTATTTTTTTAAAAAGTAAACAAAAAAGAATTAGCTGGAAATACCAGCACAGGCAAACCCCTGGAGACAGAAAGCAGGTGAGTGGTTGCTGGGGCTTGAGCAGGAGGAAGGGCGAGGGACTGCAGAATGGCCATGGGCTTTGCCTTCTAGCATGATGAGAATGTTCTGGAATTAGACAGTGGTAACGCTTGTTCAACACTGCCAGTGTAGTTAATGTCACTGAATTATACACTTTAAATGGCTAACATGACCAATTTTATGTTATATATATTTTACTACCACAAAAAAACTAGCTGGCACCTAAAAACATTCCATTGAACAGGCCCCTTCAGATCTGTGTCTTTTCCTGCATGCAAATTACACCACAGAGCAGCACCTATGGCAGCGTGGATCACAGGCTCTGTTTTAGGATAGAGAAAGGACAACAAGGTGTCCCCCCATTATTCCAGGAAAGACAAGCACATTACACCTCAAAGACAGGTCCACTCACCTGCAAACGGCTTCTTCTGTGTGAGCACGCCCCAGATGACGATCGCAAAGCTGGAAGAGAAACCAGGCACGTTAGCATCTGACAGCCAGAGACTCAAAGCCAAATGCACTCATGCACAGCAACAGGCGTGAAGACACCTGTTCTGAAGCCTTCCAAAGACAGAGCCATGACACCGAGATATTTCTCCTGTTTTTAAAAAGAGAAAATTCTCTATAGTGAAGCCCAGCATGTTGATAGCTCAGATGTCAGACAGACTCAAGTAACTTCGCCAACTGGGCTACAATCTTCAGGCAGCTTGAGGGACTTCCAAAGAGGGTGCCACCCTATGCGGGGCGTGAGCTCCTGGGGAACAGCGCCTGTGTGCCTCACTGATATCTTCTCGCAAGCACCAGGCACAGAGCACCTGCGCAGGCATTTACTGAAGAAATGGATGAATGAATGATGGGCAACTCCCATGCCCTCCCCCAACAATGATTTCATTCTCTGAAAACACGGATTCTGGTTCTGATCAGCGTTCCTAACGTAGGCTTGCTGAGATTTCAGCGTTCCTAACAGAGGCTCACTGAGAGTTCATCATTAGAGGGTTGTTAAAGAAAGTGCGCAGAAAACGTAGGAGACAACACAGCTGAACGCCCCAAAGCCTTTTTCGGGGGCTGCTTAGAAATATATAGATAATATGAGGGATACGTTCATGTACATTACTCTGGATACACCAAAAAAAGTGCCCAAATTGATTAAAAAAAAAAAAAAAAAAAAGAAAAGAAAAACAGAAGTCCGAAAACTGAGCCTCCAAGGAGCACTGAGTTGGTGAGGGCTGTTTATAGACAACGAATTCACCATCGAAAATTAGTTCAAACGGCAGGTTCAAAAGCTGGAACTCCAAACTCTAAAATAAATGGAGAGGATCTCAATCTCCCCAAACTCTACAAGCTGTGACTAGTCTCCAAAGTGACACTTCCAGGCAACTCTCAGCTTAAAGCCCCAGCTAAGCACATGCACAATGGCCACTGTCAAACCAGTCAGCCTGGGCTGCTGGCGGCGGCAGTGACCAAAAGGCAGAGCTCACATGCGGGGTCCGAGTCACAGTGCTGCTGGATAACAGCCACAATGGGAGGCTTAGTGCCTGCTCACACGCTCCCACCCACTTTTCTTCTCCAAGAAGTCTGTGTGATTAAGACCTTTACAATTTGAAAAAGGAAGGGACTAGGTGACTTGGGGATTGATCTCTGACCAACAAAGGTTAAGTGCCATGAAGAAGATGAGCTGCTCGCCTCACAAAATCAGAGTGAATTTCGGAAAGTACAAACACACATGCGTACAGACCACTGAAAGCAGCAGGTTCTTCCAACAGACAAGCCATAAAGCCCACGGGTCATGAAATCACCAAGGCTCTGACAGGGCAGGGCTGTCAGCCTGGCCCAAATGTGGACCTGGGAACACCCTTCCTCCTTGGCTAGCAACACTCACAGCAAAGAAATCCCTGAACTCTACAAGCACCCACCCCTTCTATGTGGACTTAGCCCCCTTTCTGTTTGTTTGTTTTTTAGACAGGGTCGCGCTCTGTTGCCCAGGCTGGAATGCAGTGGTGCAATCATGACTTACTGCAATCTCCACCTCCCGGGCTCAAGCAATCCCCCAACCTCAGTCCCGAGTAGCTGGGACTACAGGTGCACGCCACCAAGCTGGGCTAATTTTTGTATTTTTTGTAGAGATGAGGTTTCACCATGTTGCCCAGGCTGGTCTCAAACTCCTGGGCTCAAGTAATCCTCCTGCCTCGGCCTCCCGCAGTGCTGGGATTACAGGCGTGAGTCACCGCGCCTGGCCCGAGCCCCATTTCTGACTGGCAGCAAGAGGCCTTTCTGAAAGCTGCAGCTCAGGGCATGAAGCATTGAGGTTGAGAGCCCCTGGCACCCACAGGGGATGGGGGGCGGCATGTCACACACCTGTATACATCGTGCTTGGTGTCGAAGAGCCGGCTCTTCTCCCTGATGCGCTCTGGAGGGAGGTAGGCGATTGTGCCAAACAGGCCATCCATGCTGAGGTCATGCGAGTGGGACAGCCCGTTGCACTTGGCCAGACCAAAATCAGAAATCTGCAACACAGCCATCAGAGCGGGGCTCATTAGCCTGCAACAGTGATATTTTATGATGCTTTATCAAAAGCTCCCTTCTGCAATCTCAGAGGGTGGGTGAGAGCTTTCCAGGAGCCCCTAAGAGCCGTGTCTGTGCCTCTCCAGGTAGCCCTGCCCCAGGCAGGGAGGGAGACAGATTCTGGGGCAGAAGCAAGCCTGGAGGCATTAGGAGCAGCACATTTGACGGGCAGGTGAAAGAATCGTACTGTAAGGAAGGAGTTATCCGGGACAGAACTGCAGAAGAATTAGAATCCACCTTCTGTAAAGCATCATGTTTGCCATGGTGGTTGAGAGCCGGCTGAGCCGGCATAAAGGGAAAAAAACAAGCCTTCGAGGGTTCAGGTAAAGAGAGACACATGTGAAGACCAGGTCTGCTCCTAGAGAAGTCGGGGAGCAGGTTATGCAACCTGCCAGCTGGGGAGGCTGGCGGGCAAGTGGCTGCAAGTCCTTTAAAGGGAAACACAGAAACACACCTTCAGAAGCCCTTTAAACTTTAAAGCAAACAAAACACACGCCTCAGAGCCCCGTCCATCTGGAGTGTTTTGTGATCAGCAGACACTGGCTGGCTGCTTCAAACACATGTGTTCGAGTGAAGGTCTGATAAACACCTCTGCTGGCAGCGCCCGGGCCCCAAGGAGCACCGGCCACCCAGCTCCTCCAGGAATGCCCTCAACGTCCGCATTCAGGGGAGGCAGGTCTCAGGTCTCCTTCGGGCAAAGGTGACCTTGGAGCTCACTGGGGAGACTTCACAGACCCCCGGTCTGACCTCTCTCGGGGGCATCCCCTTTCCTGCCAGTGTCCTACCCTCTCCAGTGTAACTCAGTCCCCTTTGAAGCTGCTGAAAACCGTATGTGGGATGAAGACACAAGTCATCAGCATTAATGGGACTCTTGATCCAGGGGGAGTGCTGCTCTCAACTTTCCTTCAAGGCATATGGATTTTTTTAAAAACCCTTTTCATTAACTCTTGAGCTCCTCTCAAACACACCCATGGAGTGACAGGAAATGAGGCTGAGTCAGGCCTTAATTCTGGGCTGGCCATGCCCATGTGGTGAGCCAATAGGGCTGCTGTCATCAGCACCAAACAGCTGGGAGAATTTATGACCTGTGACTCGGGCTTCCAGGGATCCTGAGCACATCTGCAGGGAGGTAGGGGGGAAGGCCTGCGAGCAGGGACCGGCCCTCCTTCTCTGCAGCCAGGAGCACCAGGACAAGGCCTCGACTCCAGCGGCTCTCATGTCCTCCCACTTCCATTTCTCCCAGGGCCTTCAGGCCTGCACCGCCCTTGAGAGCCACACTCTGCACTCCAGGGAAAGCGCCAGCTCCCCAGAGGAACGCCATCACCCGACCCTGCAAACCCCGGCGGCTGCTGGACGCTGGGACACAACAACGGGTCCTAACTCTCCAAATAGCTCCAGAGCACAGGAAGTTTCAGTTCAACAGTCATCAGTGGCTTGAAAGCCTTCAAATTCAGAAATGGGCTGAACAATGAGAACACATGGACAGAGGGAGGGGAACATCACACGCCGGGCCCTGTCGGTGCGTAGGGGAAGAGGGAAGGGAGAGCATTAGGACAAACACCTAATGCATGCGGGTCTTAAAACCTAGGTGATAACCTAGATGGTGGATGGGTGCAGCAAACCACCATGGCACATATAAACCTATGTAACAAACTGGCACATTCTGCACATGTATCCCGGAACTAAAAGTAAAATAAAAAATAATAATAAAAATAAAGAAAGCATCACATACTTTCTAGGCAATTCCTCCTCCCCCTGTATGGTTGAATGTAGGAAAAAAATATCTCCCTCCCACGGTTAGTTAAGGATCAGACTCACTGTTCTAATCTTGCCTGTACAAGTTAGTAGCTCCGTGGCCCTGGACTATTAGCCTCTCTGTGCCTGTTTCCTTTTTTCATAAAAGGAGGCAATAGCAGTACCCATCCTGTAGCTTTGTTGTGAAAATTAAATGACATCTGAGATCATTAAGAAAGAAAAGAAAAGAAAAGAAAAACGACAGGGGTGCAGAGATCTCAGCCTGGTGCTTCCCCAGGCCTGCAGCCTTTTCTCCTCCTGTCTTTGTCAGATAGAGCCAGCCACTCCAAACTATACTTGGTGAAAAGAAAACGAGCAGAAATTCTCTGTAAAACCTCTGGCAACAAAATGCAAGCTCGGAATTGAGAATTCTAGGAGGGTCACTGACCCTCTATGTTCTCCTCCCTCCATGTCTCGGACTCCTGGCCGGCTGCATTTCCCCTCCGCCTTTCCTCATCTTCCCACCCAAGCTGCCCCTCACCCCGTGTCCTCAACAGCGAGCTACTGTGGCATCCACTCTGACCAGCAAATGCTTCAAGAGTTACAAACACTCTCATCAGCACCCGACTCTGCATCTCCAAGAGCTGAGGGCTCACAGCTGCCCCCAAGCACATGGCCCTTCAACTTCAAGGTCCAGCTGTCAAGACTAAGAAAGCAGCCTGCCGGGGTTTTGCTGCCTCTAAAAGAAAGACACAGCAGAACGTGACCCGCGTGTGACCCTTTGAAAAGCGTCTGTTTTGGGCTAACTGGACATATAAATGCAGCCTGAGATTTTAAACCAAGTTATTTCATTTTTAAGTTGAAATTGATTCCAACTAGTATCTTAATATTGGTATTTAGTATATGTAATGTTGAATAATATCAAGCATTAATTTGATACTATTACTTTGTATACTATTTACATTTAACTGCTTCATGAAGTAGACAGTTGCTGTGATATTTCCAGTTTGAATCGAGCCCTGAGCACTGAGGGAGCCCATCTCAGAGGCGAATGGCAGCACTGGAATGGCAACTTAGGATCTAATTGCAGGATTCTGGATTACAGTTTTCCTGCATTGAATAACTGTCTACTGAGGACTGCCCAGAAGCCCAGTGGTCAGTCCATGCAAAGCTTCCACACTTCGTCTTCAGGAACAAAGGCGCTGACTCTCAGAACCCCGACACACACTCCCTGCTGCACTCTACGCACACCAGTAGCTATTTCACAGAAAAAATAAGTATGTCACGTAAAGGTATTTTTCGGTTTGTTTTTGGGCTTCTTGATGGTGACTAACATGCCTGATTAAGAAGGACGCCACACAAAAGCAATCTTTCCTGCGGCCTGTCAGGGTACACAGGGCCCTAAGATGTCCCAGGGGCACCACACAGAGATGTCCTGTCACTTCCTGGCCAGCACCCAGCGTGCCTTCGACAGCAGCCTCCCTGAGAAAGCAGTTCCAGGCAGCATCCGCCCCCTGCAGCTGTCCTGAAAGACAGGGAAGCCCTGCTGCCTGCTGCCCCTGCAGGAAGGCCCAGAGCTCTCTGCGTCTCTTGGGCTGTTTCCTTCACCTAAAGGCTCTGCTGCTGCCTGCCCCGACTCCTGAGGGCAGAAAAGCCCCACCCTGTGTGAAGGCCCAGCCCCAGGAGCACTCCCACCCCCTCCCACAGGGCCGCCTCTAGGCCCAGCCTGCGGGCCACACACCCTGCCCCCAAGTGACTGCTACGTGCAGTGGTCATTTGGTTTCTTTCATGTCAAGCACAGTGGCAGGCCAGGTGGAAATCAAGGTCTCTGCTCCGTGACTTACAGCTGGACGATCCTGGCTGCTAATTTACTCACTCTAAGCAGAGACTCAGCGAGAACCAGAGGCCACCGTCCACTCTGCACCTCTGCTCTGAGGATGAGGGCAGCTCCCGCAGGTGAAGCCTCTAGCATGTCCTTTCCGGTATTCAGTGCACGTTGGACGGCAGAGCTTACTAGTCATTAGGGCCCCAGAGCCTGTGCTACCTAGAAACAAGCCCGTAAATGTTGGCGGGAATGGGGGGTCCGCATGTGAGGCCCAGCCCTGCCCATCACAGGAAACGGGAATCCCAGGGGTCCCAGAACATAAGCAGATGCGGGAAACCACCAGAGAGCCCGTTCAAGCCAAGTCATTTGATTTTTGTCTCCATTATCTCAATTTCCTACTTCACTTCGCAGGACGGTGCTTCATCTTCTAGCTGAAATCTTATTACTGCGCAACACCTACCTAAGAGACAACTTATAATTACTGCCCGAAGTGAAAAATTGACCTCCTCACCACCGCCCTGGCTGAGCAAGGCACGCGAGATGCACTCGTCCGCAGAGTCTGGGCACAGGGAGCGGCCGTGCGCATGCCATACGAGCCACCGCTCCCGTCCCACCCAAGAGCTCAGGGGCAGGGCCGGGCCCTGAATTCAGGTCTCTCCTAATTAATGGTCAGGCCATCAGAGAGGCCTGGAAGTGCTGTGCCACCAGGAACAGTAGCACAGCCAAGCCAGGCAGGGGACTCCTCTGCTTGTCCCCTGCATGAACTACATGGATCCGGACCATGGCTCTCGGCTCCTTCTCACTCCCAGGGCAGACACCAGTGTCATGTGGACCAGCCTATCACCCTGGGCCTCCCAAGAGCATGTGAACATCACCACGTGGGGAAAAACTACAACGCGCCAGGTGTAACCACCACATGTCAACGACAGTACAACCCTAGCCACGAAGGCCATCAAAGGAGATACAAGGAAATACAGCCCTGATGCAAAGGTGATGATGCTAACACCTGCCAAGGCCCAGAGGCAACACTGGTTTTCAGTTACATTATCTCTCTTACTTTTCTGTGTTTCAAAAACCTATCAGCGAAGCAAAAGCAAGCTCCATCTCCCAGGCGTTGCACTAACGCAACACGCTGCCACTCCGCACTCTACGCAGGGGCAGACAGAGGCAACGAGCCCCTCCTCACAAGCCTCTTTCCACAGCACTTTGAGGACCCCACTGCAGAGGACCCCCACATTCCCACCACCCCGAGCTCCTGAAAACACTGAGGGAAATGCGTCCCTTTGTTGCAGAGCCTAAGGTCTCGCAAGGACACACCTGGCCCACGGGCTGAATTCTAACCTGATTTCATAAGACCAAAACCCACAAACCCGTAATCTTTTTCCGGAATGAGTCATATGCCAAGATTTGGGGGAACAGCCCCCATGTTCACCAAGCTACCCTCCAGCTACATGGCGTGTGGTTTTCATACCAACCAGGACAAGCTTAGGCTCCTGGAGTCCTCATGCTGCAAAAGGCCTCGGTTTCAAGCTCTTTCCTCCAAGAAGAACCACCTCCTCTTCTGCCCTTGTCCTGACCTCAGGGCTTGACCCCTTGATACCCTGCTCCCCAAGACACAGGCCCTCCCTGCCCAGCTCTCTCGGGCACCGTGCGGCCCCCCACCTTGACGTGGTAGTGGGCATCCAGCAGGATGTTCGCGGGCTTGAGGTCCAGGTGCAGGAGTGGCGGGGCCATGCAGTGCAGGAAGTTCATGCCCACCGCCGTCTCGTGGATGATTCGGAACCGGAGATCCCATGGCAATGGCTCCGAAGCCAGCAGCTTTTCCAGGGAGCCCGTCTCCATGTACTCCATGACCAGGCCGACAGGTTCGCGGCAGATGCCATACACAGGCAGGATGTAGCGAAACTTGGCCATCTCCATCTTCTTGGCTTCTTCCAAAAGCTCCATGCGCTCCCTGAAAAAGTTCAAAGGCATGAAGAATACGCAATGGTCACTCAGCCACAAACATGGAACAGCACCCTGGCCAGAAGACGACCAGCTCCAGAGGGCTGAGCAAATGCCTCAAGTGCACACACATGGGGCACACTTCAATGTCACATCACGAATGCAGGGCTTTCCAGAGTCTCAGTCCTGAGGCTGCTGAAATGTACCTATGCATCACAGGGTTATCACAAGTGAGGAGGAGGGAAATTCTAATCGTTTTACAGGTAGCACTGATAACACATGTGGGGGGTCCACGTGTGTGAATAATTCCACAGGCAGCCATGAGCCAAGGCTTGGGGGTCTCAGAGACTGCAGGTGCAGGCCGATAATCCCTTCTCCTGGGAGGAGGGAAGAGAAGTTGACGTTCCACTCAAGGTTGTAACTAGGCAACTAGGCCGGGCACGGTGGCTCATGCCTGTAATCCCAGCACTTTGACAGGCCAAGGCGGATGGATCACCTGAGGTCAGGAGTTCGAGACCAGCCTGGCCAACATAGTGGAACCCCCGTCTCTACTAAAAATACAAAAATTAGCCGGGCATGGTGGCAGATGCTTATAATCCCAGCTACTCAGGAGGCTGAGGCAGGAAAATCACTTGAACCAGGGAGGCAGAGGTTGCAGTGAGCTGAAATCATGCCACTGCACTCCAGCCTGGGCAACAAAGTAAAACTCCATCTCAAAAAAAAAAAAAAAAAGTTGTAACTAGTTATGTTCAAGGAACCCAACTCACCTTCTCCGTTTAAGCCCAATACCTGAGTTGGCCCAGTTATTCCTGAATCCAACCTCACACTCAAACTAATGAAACAGCATAGGTCCAAAGCATGGGGTTGCCAACAGCCAAATCCAACCAGCCATTTTTTAAAATAAAAAATATAGGCCGGGTGTGATGGCTCATGCCTGTAATCCCAGCACTTTGGGAGGCCGAAACAGGCAGATCACAAGGTCAGGAGTTCGAGACCAGCCTGATCAACATGGTGAAACCCTGTCTCTACGAAAAATACAAAAATTAGCTGGGCGTGGTGGCGCCTGCCTGTAATCCCAGCTACTCAGGAGGCTGAAACAGGAGAATCACTTGAACCTGGGAGGCGGAGGTTACAGTGAGCCGAGATCGCGCCATTGCACTCCAGCCTGGGCGACACAGAGAGACTCCATAACAAAAAAAAAAAAAAAAAAAAAAAATATATATATATATATATATAGAGAGAGAGAGAGAGAGAGAGAGAGAGAGAGAGAAAATGTAGTCAAATAGACATAACATAGTATTTATTATTTTAGCCATTCACAGGTGTACAATTCCCTGACATTACCCACATTCACAATGTGGTACAACCATCACCACTATCTACACCCAAAACTTTTCCATCATCCTCAACAAAAATTCTGCACCCATTAACCAATAACTCCTTCCCTCATCCCCATCCTCAGTAACCTCTTTTCTACATTCTAGGCAAATTCATATAAGCATAAGCATATAAAATTTGCCCTTCTGTGTCTGGCTTATTTCATTAAGCATGTTTTCAGGGTCTATTCACACTGTAACATATATCAAAACTTCCTTTTCATGGCTGAATAATATTCTGCTGCACGAATGTACTGCGTTTTGTTCATCTGTTCGTGGGTGCAGGCCATTTCCACCTTTTGGCTCTCGTGGATAATGCTGCACATCTGCACACATTGGGGGACAAACGCCTGGAGTCGTGGCTTTCAATTCTTTTCGATACATACCTAGGAGCAGAATTGCTTGGTCACAGTCTATGTGTCACATTTTGAGAAACTGCCAAATGGTTGCCCACAGCGTGCCACCACCTTGTTTGTATAAATAAACTTTTACTGGAAGAAAGTCTCACTCATTCATTTAAACACTGGCTGTGGCTGCTTTTGCACTTCAAAGGGGAGAGGAGTCCTTGCAACAGAGGCCCTGCGGCCTGCAAAGCCTAAAATGTTGCCTCTCTAGGCCTTCGTGGAGAAAGCTGACCAACCTCTGGTCTAAGGTCACTTCCCTGGTGCAGCCTGTGTTTTCACAGACTAGAATCCCAGTGCAATGGTCTGTATTGGCATCATGGGTCAAAAGTCTCAGAATGCGTTCAGAGTAAGAGGCTGAATCCCACGGACGCACGCTGGCCATGCAGGATCGAGATCAGCAGCCCCAAACACAGACATGGTAGAAAGCACCCAGGAAGCTGGCTGGAATGCTGGTTCCCAGGCCTCACTCCTTGAGAATGCATTCCAGGTTGGGGCTGGAAAATCTGTTTTTTTGTTTGTTTTTCTTTTTTGAAACAGAGTCTCGCTCTGTTGCCCAGGCTGGAGTGCAGTGGCATGATCCTAGCTCACTGCAACCTCTACCTCCCAGGTTCAAGTGAGTCTCATGCCTCAGCCTCCAGGGTAGCTGGGATTACAGGTGTGCCACACTCAGCTAATTTTTTGTATTTTTAGTAAAGATGGGATTTTGCTGTTTGCCAGGGTGGTCTTGAACTCCTAGGCTCAAGTGATTTGCCTGCCTCAGCTCCCAAAGTGCTAGGATTACAGGCATGAGTCACCGTGCCCAGCCAATCTGCTTTCTAATAATATAATAAGCTCCCTAAAGGAAATGTTCAGAACCACACTAGGAGAGATCCGACCTCCTATAGCAGGAAACCCAGCAGCTCCATGTCCACACACAGGCCACGCAAGGCAGCTGGCTGGGGTGGCCTCCAGACAATTCCCCCAGAATCCAGCGTCCAGCCCAAGTCCCTGCCTATAACCCAGTGTCCGCTGCCACAGCAGGGGGCTCTTCTGGAGCTCGGACACAGGCCTGCTCCTCCCAGTGACAAACCCGGGAGCAGGTGCTGGGAAATCACTCAGTGGCTCCCATTTCCTCGCCTGCTGGTGAATCCAAAACAGTGCCAACAGAACGCATCCATTTCTTAATGATCTGACCGCCCCTGCGAGAGTTCAGCCCCTCCTAGGCTTCCCTTACCATAGTGAAAACACTTTCCCTGCAGGAAAGGCCAGCAGGAACCCCTGGATCCTACTGTTTAGCTCTTGCTGTGGAAATTCCCATACATCGGACAGGTACCAAAGGCTCGGAGATCTCAGCCTGTCTGCCCCCCAACAATGCAAGCCCTGCAGCTAGGGCTCTGCGTCTCAGGACATAGCCCACTGGTTCTCAATTAGAGGCAACTTCACCCCCCAAGAAACACTGGGCAATGTCTGGAGAGATTCTGGCTGTCACAACTAAAGGATGCTACTGAACATCCTACAATGCATAAGACAGCCCCAAGGCTAAGAATTACTCAGCCCCAAATGCCAACGGTGCCAAGTTGAATAACCCCGATGTAAATCAAGTGAGTGCATTTTCAGCCAATAAACTACTACTGTCCAGAATCACCACTTCAGTATTCCCAGCACTCACCTGACCTATATTTTAAGCAGTTCTGTGTATTGGCAAGTGCTCGCTTGAATCCACCATATGTCAGAACTAAGGACAAGAGGTCCCTTTCCCGCCTTCATGGTGTTTACGTGTACCCTCTAAGGAAGAAGATGGCGAACTACCCCCAAAAGAGAAGTGTGGTTGAAAAATCTAAGCCTCTTGAAAGGAAGGTCCAGGGAGCTATGGAGAATCAAGAGAGATCCAAAGTCAGAAGTCAGCATAGGAAAGGGCCCCTGAGAGAATCGGGAAGGCTGAGACCTGCGCAGAGTCCAGGGGCACCCGGGAGGCCAGCAGAGCGGAGCAGTCGCTGTGGATCCCCTTGGGCTTGGCAAAGCAGAGAGGGGAAGCCAGCAGAGCACACACACTCTGTTGGAAGAATCTGCAGGATGGGTCCATTGACTGCATGTGGAGGGGAGAAGCTTGCAGGACCTCTCTGGAGCTGCACCAGGGGTCACTAGGCAGCTCTCTACGGTGGACGCGGGAGCACCCCAGGAGGAGCAGCTGGGGGGTGTGGGGGGTGGGCAGGTCGAGTGTGTCTGAATACACTCAAGGAGCAAAGAATCCCACTGGCCTTGGGAACAAGTGAAGCAAGTATCAGGAATGAACGTGAAATTATTATGAGACAAAACTTAGGGGAGCACGGCCTGCTTTCCTAGCGCTCTGGTTAAATGACCAACTAATGGAAAACAAGATGCCCACCAGTGTGCAGTGCTAGCCTGTGGGGGTCCCTGGGCTGAGCTGAAAGCTGCCCCATCACCAGCATACCATCGGCTGCTTCCTCCCTCTCCAGGGGAAATCCCTCTCCCTGCAGCCACAGGCTTGGGCCAGGCTCTGGGACCCATCAAGGGATGGGGGGTGCAGATCAGATCGTGGGACTCTCAACCCTGTCCCCAGTCTCAGTGAGCATTGGGAAAAAAGGAAGACGAGGACCTGATGCCAACGTCAAGCATCAGCTAAAATGAAACCGGTCACCAAAGAAGGAAAATGACACCTCTCAGCTCCCAGCCTTTCTCCTCCTCTGGGAACACCGGTTGGCTGAGGCCCTCATTTGTTATTTAAAGGAATACCAGCACAACTTCCAACCCGGCAACTGCCACTAACTTCCAAACCATCGGACTGGGACATGGTACCAGCTGCTGCTTCTCTTTTATGTCTTGTTAAGAATCAGAGTTATGATTTGTCTGTTTCCGATTGCTCAAATGTGGCCAGCTTGCCGCCCCTCCCCTACCAGTGTGGCCTCCCTCCTCCGGACACTCTGCCCCGGGGCGCTGGCGAAAGTCCTTCCGTAGGACTCAGACCCACATCCACTGTGCAACCGTGTGAGGCACACCCTCCTCGCCGGAGGGTTTTGAGGAAATGACAATTCGGGTGTTTAGAGGCCAGCCATTCGCAAGGGTCATTTTTCCACATTAAGTAGACATTCTGAGAGTGAACTCTCTAAGCCAAAGCTGACTGATAATAAACACGTATTCTGAGAACAATGTCAATCAAAGGAAGGCTGAGTAGCTTATTAAGTGGAAGCTCTGAGCCACTCCACAAATAGTGTTTTCTTTTATTTGCCCAAAGGGCTTAATACATAAAACCCCGGTGACTTCTGATTGCAGAGTGAGCTCATTGGCGACTCTAACAGCTACGGGCTGGCAGCAGTGCACACCCCTCCCCAGCGCACCGAGTTCAGCAAGTACTTTACTCTCCCTGCCCCGGGCTCTTTCTGCAGAACGGAGACCCCATTTACCTTACTTTAAAAGAAACAACAAACAAACAAAAAAGGGCCACTGCTGCTAGTTGGCTCCTGAAAGCGGATCCCGGCTAGAATCTCCTAACGGAGTCCACCCCAGCTTTGCGCAACTGCCTGAAGGGAGCCCGGCACGACTTCCCCCTTCCATGGGCCACACATTTGAGGGCACTTTCTCGAGGAAAATCAGCTGTCCTGGAAAAAAAAAGTCATTGTTTCCGTGGACAAAAGTGTTGTGACAGCATGATCCAAACTGGCTTGGGGTAGACAGGATTCCAGCTGAGGAAGGGGGTCCCGGGACCGCCCTGTGGGAGATCTGAGGCCCAGGAGTGGGGGTGGGGCGGCTCCCTTGCCTACCAGCCTGGATTTCGCTCAGAAGCACCAGCATGTCCTCAGAAACTTTCCACACTGTTTACCATCCAGTAACCACTGGGCCAAAACCCACACGACCCCGCCTTCCAGCCCCTCTCCAGGTGCTCCCTAGGCGCACATCTGGGAAACTCCAGCGGCTTTAGGAAGCTCCAGCCCTTCTGGGGTCGGGTGTCGCCCGGCGGCATTTGCAATTCAATAAGCCTGAAAGGGCCTCTTTGCAACAAGCTGCAAGAAGAGGCTTTTCTGATCAGGGAGGTTAAGAAGTGCTCAGGTACTCGAAGCACAGAAAGAACCCACCAATTGCTTTTGAGCAATGGCACTATTTTTTTTAATACATTTTTTTCTCCTAAGCAGTGTTTCTGGCTTATTTTAATGATTCTGGCTTATTCTGATGACCACACAAAAGGAACTGTAGATTTATTACTATTATCATTTTAACACGTGGAGAGATGCCGAATCCAGCCTAGGTGCTGGGGTGGCGGCCAGGGAGCACAGAACATCACACAGTCACATTCGCACCGTCTCCAAATCGCATTTCTTACTGTTGACAGTGAAGTCAACGTTTCTGGGTTGACCAGAAGCCCCTCTCGTCGGTGTTAATTAAAACACAACCTAAAAACTGTGCCTTGCTCCAAGCGCAGCTACGCTTAGGCACAGTTCAGAGGGGGTGGCATCCTATTCCCCTCTCCTTCGCTGCTGGTGAAAGCGTTGCTAATTCTGCTTCCACGCAGGAACGGGAAAAGCCCCCCCTCCCCCGCAAAAGTGTCCTGGGTCCTGTTTTGGGTTCCACATGAAAAATCTCTGGGCATTAATTAGGATTAACTTGGGGTTCAACTTTTTAAAGATACGGTGAGTAGCACTTAGATGAATTCGGTTTTCTCCTCATTTAGGGCTAGCCAAAGTGTATTTCGCCCTCCCAGGGAGGCCAATGGAGTAGCGAGAAATACGAGAAATATCATCACACCAATCATCTCTAAAAGGAACTTCTAAAGAAGTCCCAAGGTTCTTCTCCAGGCTCAGAAATTCCAAAGACCTGTGGACCAGGCCAGCTGCGGTTTCCCCTGCAAGCACGCATCCTGGAAAGGGGGAAAGAACTGCCCCGGGACATGGTCTTGTGCAAGCGGAGAAGCAATAAACGAAGGGAAAAGTGAGAAGCAGGGAGGTGGGGGAGACGGTGAGACCGCTCAGGTAACAAAGAGCTCCGAAGGAGAAACCTAGCAACTACCTTCAGGAAAATGCAGCCGGAAAATGTGTTTCATCATCTGTTAGCTGATGCCTCTCAGCGAGGCCTTCTGCACACCAATCCAATTATGTTCCCAGGGAGCCTCGGAGGGGTTCCCACACGGCTATTTTTAAAACTGACAAGAAACGGGCTTGTCCAATCGTCAGCTCTGTTGTTACAAACCTGGGGTTTGCTCAGGCTCGCCCCGACCAGCCAGGGCTGAATGTGGCAGGAGCGTCTCCCAGCCGGCGCCCCGCAGGCACTGGCTTCTTCTGAGCATCCCCTTAGCTGGGGGCTGGTAGGGGAGGAACGGGGCCTTTGGGATCACTTTATTCTCTCCAAACTGGTCACAGCACCCATCCCTACACCCCACCCTAGGCCCTGTGACCCCCACAATGAGGGTCAGCCAGGGAGGCCAGCTGCCTCTCCAAAGCCACCCCACAGGACCCTCCGAGGCACCGAGCCCCATGATGAAGGTAATCTCAGATCAATGGGGTGTCACCTGTGAACTCCCAGGAGGGCCCCCTGGCAGGCACTTCCTGTCCCTGGGAGCCTCGCTAAGTGTCTGGGGGCTGGGCGGCCCCCCAACCTTTCCTGCACAGAAAAGCAAGCTCACATGGCCTGGCGCAGCCTGCTCATCAAACAAGCCCCGAGCAGGTGCTGTGGCCAAGGGCCGGCTGAAGGCCTGGCCCAGGGGAGCTGCAGGGAGCCAGGAGACCCCAGACCACCTTGAGAGGCAAGCAGCGTTGGCCAGTGAAAATCAGCCTCACCTGCACCTGTACCTGTGGTGGCTCCTATGTAACAAGTGGACTAGACCATCACTGACCCCCAGCAGCCTGGAAGAGGCCCAGACCCGTGTGTCAGGGGTGAGAGGGGCTGTCCCTCCGAGAAGAGAAGCAAGACTTAGGCAGAAGGGGTACAGGGCCGGGGGCTGCACACAAAGACCCTAGGAGAATCCTATGCCCCAATTCAGGGAACATCTTGCAAATATGAGGGGCTGGGGTGGGAGGCAGCTCGTCAGAAAAGCACTGAGAAATGTGGCAGGGCAAGTGGCACAGCGACTACTTCAAGGCCTAGGTACAACCTTGTGAGACTGCAATGCAACCAGCTCCTGGAGCACAGTGGGACTGATGTACATTCCTAACAAGAACCTCAGGCTCAATACAGTCAATAATTAACCTAAAGGAATCAGCTTCACAAAGAGCCAGGGTTTGACCAACTTCTCAGAAAGATCAGCCACTGCTGCACATGGCAAAGCCCCAACCTACTCTACCAGGCCCAGCAGAGCACAGGAGGTGAAATGCTTCCTGCTAGGCGATGCTGACCTCGACCTAGCCACCTGACATGCCACCACCTGTCTGCTTTGGGCAGGGTAGGAAAGGCTTCCAGTTAAAGTACAAAACACTTTTCAACCAAGCTATGCAATATCCTAAGTGATCCACCTTAAGTGGAGAAAGCCTCCCTCCAACCAGGCCACCCAAGAAATAAGGGACTGGTCGCTAGAAATAACAGAAGATCCTAAGGATGTGAGCTGGTGAGTCAGTCCAGGTAGGTGCTTGTTTACTTTGCTCTTCCAATATAAGAAAGTGGTGTGAAAATTTTCACTGATGATTAAAGCTCACACACATCCCCAAGAGATAAAACGAATGCCCCTATGGAGAGGGTTCCCTTTCAGAACCTAACCACTGGCTGGTATTCAAAGTGGTTTGGATTTCATCAAAATAACCACAGCACCCCTCCTGGCCTGAGAAGTTCCCAGAATCTGAGGCAGGGGAGAAAAAGTGCACAGCCTGGGCCAGCATCTCACCTTTGAACTAGTGGTGATTTGATGACACTCGTCACCACTCTACTGGTGTTTCCAAGAAACACTGGATTTGAGGGTTACGGCAAAAAGCCACCACTATCTCTGCTGTGTAGTCTCCTAGCCAAGGACGAAAATGCAAAGGGAGAGGACAGGCCTCTCATCCACAGAGGCGTCACAGTCACGGTATGGGGCTGCAGCACGCACTGCCACCCCAGACACAGGCATCACAACGATTCTGCAGAAAAGCTGGGGCTTAGCGGCCCCATCACTCAATCAGCCGAGCATTCGAAACCAGGTCTGCCAGGCAGCAAAGGCTAAATGGTATTTTAAAAAGGTGTCGCTTCTGAGTGTATGTGTTCAAGGAATCTCTAGGTAAAATACAAGCATAGCTTCCATGTAGAAGGTAAGCTTCATTAAAGGATAAATAATTAAAACGTGCTAAATTGAGCCTTACATATGAACCATCAAAATCAACTGTAAACAGTGAAATCTACAACAACAAAGAGGTACTGTTCAAGAACATTCTCCCTACCTCTCAAATTATGCACAGACGACAACCGACCCACCGAATTTAACACGGGCGGCTCTGCGTCCTTCCCATTCGTCTTTGTTACCTTGAACACTCCTGCTAGGTAGGTACAGGCAGGTTCCATTCTGACTTTTGGACTGGGAAACTGGGGTGCAGGAGGGCCCCATGGCACGGCCACAGAACTTGAATGCAAGGCCCTTCCCTAGCGGGTCGGTCTCGAAATTAAGTCAGCTAAAACGAGAGTGTGCGGCGAGGAAGCGCTGGGCGGACGGATCAACACCCCGGGCCCCGTGCCGGACCCCACTGCCAGGCCCGAGCCCCGGAGCTCCACCGCGCAAGCGCCGGGCGCCCGGGAAGCCTCGCCCGAGCCAAGCCGAAGCTTCCGACCGAAATAATTACAGTCTTACACCAATTTGTGTTCCAACGTAAATTACTAAGTAAGTCGAACGGAGGCTAACTCCACTCACAAAGCCCAGAGGCCCACATGGCAATTTTTCTAAGCCCTGCGCAGACCGCAGCGCCCCGGTGGGTCCCGGGCGGGCCGGACGCGCCTCCCAAGGGCGCGGGTCCGAGGCGCAAGGCGAGCTGGAGACCCCGAAAACCAGGGCCACTCGGGGAGTGTCAGGAAGCACGACTGGGCGCCTTAGGACGTCCGGGCAGACGCGGCCCCCGAGGAGCCCCAGAGGAGCCCCAGAGGAGCCGCCTGACCCGGCCCCGACGTGCGCGATCGAGCCCGGGCTCGCCAAAGCCCCCGCGCCCCTCCGGCCCGGACAGGCCGAGTGGACATTGTCGGAGCCCCGCGGCCTCGCCGGCAATTGGTTTCCCCCCCGAAGCTGCTCCGGGGGTGAGTTCGGGAGAGAGAGGCAGGACCCCGGGACCAGAGCACCCCGACCCCGACCCCAGCCCGGGCCCCAGCCGCCCCAGCGCCCCGCCCGGGCCGCTCACCTGTCGTCGACGTGCAGGCTGGGCGAGCACTTGATGGCCAGCCAGGTCTTCCAGTGGACATGGCGCACCTTGTACACCTGCCCGAAGCCGCCCGAGCCCACCTTCTCCCAGCCCGTGAACTCGCCCGCGTCGAAGGTGCGCAGCAGCGCCAGGGCCCATGGGGTCCCGCCGTCGCCCTCCATCGCGCACGTCTAGCCAGCGCCGCGGCGGCTGCCCAGGTGCCCAGGTGCGCGCTCCGCCCTGTTACGTCACTTCCGTAGGTCGTCCCGCCCCCAGGCCCCGCCCACTTACCCGCCCCCCGGGCGCCCTCTCTGCCAGCGCCCGGTGACTGCGGACGGATGAATAGACGCTGCGGGTCACTGCGCTCTCCCCTGGGTGAGCAGAGCTTCTCACGCTTCTCACGGGTCTCGACGTGCGCATCAGCTGCCCTGCTTTTCTTTGCTTTTTTTTTTTCCTTAATTGCGGAGTCACATGCAGTTGTAAGAAATCATTCACTTTGCCTAGTTTCCCCCAGTGTTACCACTTTGCAAAACTTTGCCAAAAAAAAAAGTCCAATCTCACAACCAGGATATTGACTTTGATACAGTCACCGATCTTATTCAGTTTTGCCGTTTTACTCGTCTTCCTTTGCATGTATTAGTTTTACACAATGTAATCATCTGTGTACCTTCCCGTATCCACCCCCACCTGGCCACTCCTGTGGCGATTTTACAGCCGCACCCCGGAGCCCTGGCATCACTAATCTTTCCTCTATTTCTAAAATTGTTTTATTTCAGAAATGTTATGTTTAGATACAGGAATCATACAGCGCCTAATTTTTTGAAATTGGCTTTCTTCACTCGTTAGTCTAATTCCCTGCAGGTTCACGTCTTGCTTTTTTACACGAGTTTCCTCTCAGAAAGTAACTTTTTTTAAAAAATTACCCAACAGCAAATCTAAAGTCCATTTCAAATGCAAGAGTTCCCTCATCCTTTCCTAAATAACAGCCTCTTTTTACAGGTAGAACAGATGGTTTGAAAAGGAAAGATTTTTTTTTCACATATGGGGAAAAAAAATTCCCAGCCTTGGAAGGATATTTGGGTTAGAGGCCGAAGTGCATCACAGATCACGCACGCGTCCACACCTCAGAAAACACTCACTCATTCCTGAGACGCAACGGTGAGTGAAGGCTTATTTTTGGCCACAGGAGATTAATAATGAAGACAGGAGGGCGGAGCTAAAGGAGAGGGTATTTTAACGACATTAACTGTGTTTTTGTGTTAGTAACTCGGAAAGAGAGAGGCTGCCCCAAGTCAGCGCATTGAAAGCCGCAGACCTAGTGTCTCCAGGCTCCCCCTTCCAAACGGGCGCGGACCTTCTTTCATAGCCTGTAGCGGGGAGCCGCGTCTCCCCACTGCCTCCCCACTCCCATCCGGCCGCTCTTTGGAGGGAACTCACACATCCCAACATGACGATGCTTGCTCGGGGGGCCTCCTGGGGGGACCAGGGAGCCACTTCCTTTCCCACATACTCCGGAAATTAAAGTTGGTCTCCTTAAGGCTGGAGTGGCAAATAGTTGTTTTAAGCTTGTCACAAATGTAACTTACATTTGGACTAATGTTTTAAAAAATAATTGGAGTTTTGAATCTACGAAGATACCTTGGAAGTAAACATAGTTATTATTTTGGTGGGAAAAAAATGAATGGACTTGAAAGTGAGTCACCTGTCCTGTTCCCGGGGCTCAGCTCTAGCAAAGTACCTTTCTCCATCTACAGTCTCCGGCACACAGCTCCGCAGCTGGGGGTGACTAAGAGCCCACACCACGCAAGTAATAAAACGCTCCAATTTCATTTATTTAATCATCTGTGTGCTTCATTTGACAAATATTTATGGAGTGTCTGCTGCTAGCTCAGTGCCTGGTGCCTGGGACTGAAGACCAGAGCCCCCTGGAGACCAAAAGAGCCAGCTCCCAGCTGTGAGCAGATCGGGTCCAAAGATCACGGGCTCGGCGGCAGGAACCTGGTTTGGTATCCGGCTCCTCTGCGGACTTTGAAGTGCTTTACCGATTCACATGACAACTGGTAAAACGAAAACAAACACCTTTCCAGGAATTGTGAATTCGAGTTCCAGACCCTCTGGGATTCCGGGAGCGCAGCTGCTATTTATGTTAACAGTCATTGGTCCCAGGCTGGTGAGGTTAGAATTTCCAAGTATAAAAGTAATTTAGTTTCGTTTTAAATACATTTTAGGGCCAAAGAAAAGTGGAACGATTTAAAGAAAAAGATGAAATGAATAATAGGGCAAGTTGGGAGGTGGCTGTCCTGAGGTTTCATGGGACAACATTAATTAACCTCATGAAGTGCCTGCATGGACAACGTGCCCGGTGTGGTTACAAACAAACCAATCAGCACAGATCCTGGGTGGAAAGCAGGGCGCAGCCACGGAGGCACAGTAGGGGTGCAGACTTGAAGGTTTTTAGGAGGTAAGCCCCGAGGGCACGAAGCTCCACGGAGAGACTGTTGACCCGCCTGGGAGTGCAGTGCAGGTGAGGAGGGGAGGGACGACGAGGGGAGACAATGGGGGGTGGGAGGTGGGAAGGAGGAGTTGGGGAAGGGGGCTGTCTGCTGACATTTGCAAGCCCCCACTCCCCCACTACCCTGTGTTCCTCCTGGCCCCTTCCCCAGAAGAATTCCAAGCCAGTTTCCTCCTATACTGGATGTCCTGACAGCGAATCTAAATAGGTGATCCCTTGAGCTCCAGGTCCCCAAGCTGTGCCCTTCTTCATAGGGGGCCATTTAGCACTGACCCACCCAGCAGGCAGCCCAAGGTCCCTGGTCTGGAAGTGCCAGGAAGCTGCCTTTAACATCCTACCGCAGGGAACAATGAAGGTTGCCGGCCAGGGAGAAGACAGGATAGAGACGTCTCTGGGTTTGCAGCCAGCCTGCCTCAGATGGGGTCCCAGGCTGTGACCATGGTGCATTTGCCTGTCCCTGACATGTGGGATAGAGGGACCTGCTTCGAGATGTCGGTGGGGATCCACGCAGATGATAATTATATGTGTGTGGCACATGCCAGGCCATGGGTGAATAGTGAGATTTTCAATTGAGTCATTTTCGTCTTTGTCCTTCTCAGGGTCCTGGAGCAACTCAACCCTTGTAAGTGCATGGCTCAGTGAGATCGTGGAGCTGACATAGGGCTGACCTGGCTCTCAGAGGCCCCAGAATAAAGCTGGAGCCCCTGGGGTCCACCTGCTGGCATGACCATGGGACAGGGGCGTGGAGCTGAGCTGGGTCAGCCACCTGGGAACATAGTCCCCTCCCGCCAGGCCTCTGCACCCAGCCTCCTCCCTGCTTAGTAGGCTCCTCCCTCCCCTACAACAGCCACTCCTGCCACCACTTGCATGGTTGTTTTTGAGAATTCCCTCCGCATTGTGTTATTTTCTAAAAGAACATAACTTGTTCACTGCAGAGATTCTGCCTTCACTAATTCTGACAAAGTGATTTAGGGGAGACATTGAGGGCCTGACTCGCGAGGGCTCCCAGACCACCTCTGGGAGACCCATCTCCACCTGACACCCAACTCCTCGCTCTTACTCAAGCAAATATTTTCTATTTACACAAACACTTCCTTATCAGAGACAGCTCCTCCTTTGACCCATTGGTTCCATGAGTCTTCCTGCAGGATCATACATTCCGTGTCCTGGGAACACAGCATAAAGGGTGCTGTTCAGCAACCTAGGGGCTTGTGTCTGATGGCAGAAGCCATGAAGCAGATGGGGGATGAATTATAATTGTAGTAATGCTACGTTCTAATCTGCTTTGCACCCTCATGCTCCACTCCATAGTCTTTAAATGTGGGGCTTCTTAAAACACCAATTTGGAGCCTCCCTGATCCTCCCCTCTTTCCCCAGGCAGCTCATCCAGGCTCACCTCAGCTTCCATGTATTCTACGAAGATCCCTAAGCTTCTGTCTGCAGGCCAGACCTTTCCTCTGAGCCTCAAACCCCCAAAACTTAACATGGTGCCCACAGTAGGATGTACCTAAGGCACCGCTACCCATTTGAGATAAGCCTATGCTTTTCACCCCCAAACTGGTTCTTTCCAGCATCTCCTGTTTCTGTGAATGAGCCCTTTCCATTCTGAAGGCCAGGACAGAGTAGCCCATGGCCCCCACAGCACACTCAATCCAGTCCTGTGTCCCAGCACCACCCTGACCAGGACAAGAGGCAAACCTGCCCCGGCCCCAAACGTTAAAGGGCTCCAGTCTGCTGTTCCTTGGACCTTCCTGTCTACCCAGTGCCTGGAGTCAATTGGGCCAGGAGACACCCATCCCCATAGATCAAGAAAGCTCTGGGGACCCTGAAATTCCCAGTGCAAATGTCCCTCAGCCATCTCCAGCCCCTGCACATGTTCATTTCCCTGAGAGCAACTGCACGACAGGTGTGAGCACCCGAGCCCCCAAGTGTAGCCAAGAGAAAGCTGCGTGCAAGGGCCATGGGCAGAGCTCGGCCTGAAGCCCGGGATATTCACGCATGTGCCAGTGAGGCTGTTCGTGGGTTAGGACGGAGCTGCAGGCAGAAAGAGCGGGGGACTCTTTGGGGGCCAGAAGCTGAGAATCCTCAGCTGTGCTCTAGGCGTGAGAGTGCATTTGTCAGTCAGAGGATTGAACACACTTCATTTAACCCTTTGTTAGCTTGATGTAGAACTTTCAACAATTCAGACACGTAGCCCCTAGGCCCAGTTATTGTACCTTCCGCTGGGGTCCAGAAGCATCACCACAGGTCTGGTCACCAAGCCTGCACCTCTTCCATCCTGAGCCTCCCTGCCTGTGACTCTGTCCCCTGTGCCAGTGCCTGGACCCCAGTCATGGTCACTCCCATCTGGTCATGACAGCGGTCACCCTATCTCCGGAGGGCTCAGGAGGGTCTCCAGACATCCATGGGACCCTAGCCCCAGCCAGTGTGTCTTGACACGGTCTAGAGAAAGAATTCAGGGGACAAGTGGTCATGGTGCGAAAGGCACCGTTTTGCTTTTATTGCAGAGAAAGTGGGCACCTGAAAGAGAGCTCGGACTTGTGTGGGAGAATGAGTCGCACACAGTGAAGTTTGGGTTTCTGATTTTGTGGGCTTTTCTTTAATTAGGGGGTGGAATAATCATTAAGTATTTTAGAAAAAAGAGGGGATTTCAGGGACCTCCTGATTACCACCCTTTTTCTCCCTCATTTGGGTTTGCCTGGAAGCGTCCTGGACATGTCACCCTGACAGGGGTTTCGGCCGCTTTCTCTCCCTTGTTTGGGTTTTCTATTATCCTGGGGTTTCTTTGCCTGGTACTAGTTTTAGCTATGGTTTGGGTTTTTCCATCCTCCCACGACCACCGAGTGCTGTTCCTATCTCAACCCTGGCCCTCTTGGGCCCATTCTTCACCTGCAGCTGGACATCTGGAAAACACACCCCTGGCCTCGCTTTCACGGTGGAAATGAGCCTGGCCCCTCCAGCTCCGGCCTGCAGCCTTTGCTGCTCCTGGCCCTCCAGCCGCCTGTCCCCTGACTGGGTCCAGCTTGGTGCTGCAGGACCGGTGCACACGCTGTCCTGGGGCCGGGAAATCTCTCTCCTGACACCACTCCCTGATGCCTGCCTGGTCTCCCCCACTCAGCCCATCATGGGTGTCTCCCCCAGCCCCAGGCTTCGTCACATTCCTCTGTTACAAGCTCAGGAGCCTGTGCACAAGTTGCCCTGCCTCCCCCACTCTCGGCTTCATGGGGCGGAGCAATCTCTGCCCCTTCCCCCACCAGGCAGAGGCTCTCCACGACCCACCCCTGCCCACCTCTACTGGCCGGCCTCTGCTACCCCCACTGTCTCTGCTGCAGCCACACTGACCCTCCTTGCTTTCTTCCCCAAACCAGCGCCCTCCTCCCCAGGCCCTCTGCACTGCTGCTGCTTCTTCCTGGGGGGCTGTGTCGTCCCTCTGCCCTCACTGCTTCCAGTTTCATGTGACCTCTCACAGCTGCCCTCCTGGATGACCCGTCTAAGACAGCGCTGGTCCCCTCCCGCTGGCCACCATCCTTCTGGGAGCCACTCAAGAGTTTAGGGGTTACCTCTCTGCTGACACTCACCCTAAAATGCGTGGTACTATTAACTTGAGTAAATATTTTGGTTACTCAAGGGTGAGCCCCACTTAGAGTCCCTCCAGAGTGCCCCCCACAGTGCCTCCTGAGAAGTACAGCAAATGCCGCTAAAATCAGAGGTTCTCTGCACACGGCACTTTTAGTACATCAGTAATCTTTTTATGGCATCCCTAGACCAAGGAAACGTCCAGCGGTTTCATTTATTCAGTGGTTAGGATCCAATAATTTAAAAAATATTGATGGAAAAATAGTCTAGCAGTTTCTCCAAAAGTTAAATATAGAATTGCCCTATGGAATTGAAAACAGGCATTCACACATAAACTTGTACATTCATGGCAGCAGTATTCATAATAGCAACAGGCGGAAACAACCCAAGTGTCCATCCATGGATGAATGGATAAACAAAATGCAGTCTCTGCATGCTGCGAAAATTCACTGGATCCCTAAAGGAAGTTCTGATACATGCTGTATTGTGGATGAACCTTAAATAGGTTCATATGTATTATACAGTTGTATGATACATTTCTATCAAATATTGTATATGGATGTTAGGTATATATACATTCGTACGGTCCATTTATATCAAATATTCAGAACAGGCAAATCCACAGAGGCAGCAAGTAGATGGGTGGTTCCAGGAGCTGAGGGACAGAGGGAATAGGGAGTTAATGGGTAGGAGTGTCCTTTCCGATAATGACAATGTTTTTGAATTGGATGGTGGTGATGATGGTTGCACATCATTGTGAATGCACTGCACTAAACGAATTGTACATTTTTATTTTTTAATTTTTTTTAGAGGTGGAGATCTTGTTATGTTGCCTAGGCTGGCCTTGAACTCTTGGGCTCGAGCAACCCTCCTTGCCTCAGCTTCCCACGTAGCTACGGGTGCACATCATCCTACGCAGTTGAACTGTACATTTTTAGATGGTTAGTTTTATGTGATGTGAATTTTATCTCAACTTTAAAACAAAGTTATATCTTAACAACTTAGTAGCTTTTTAAAAATGATATGCATAAATTAAAAGAAAAAAATTTGTATCTCATTCTTAACAATCGTTACATACTTATGGGATGGTTTCCCCTGTCCGACACTATACAACTTCTCAAACCTGGAAATGTCCTGTGCTGCGCTAATTTTCACTTACTGCTTTTAGTCACAGCAACCTCCAAAAACCCAACTTTGCAAAGATATGGCATCGTCAGAAGAAATGGGGTGCAATCTAATGTTGACAGTGTAAGTAGTCCGGAGTGAGCAGCTCACGTGGTTTCTCAGAGACTTTGCGGGTTCCTCCCAAACTTTAAAATATCCTGGTGCACCTGCAGGAGTTCCCTGTGCTGCCCCACAGTGCCACAGCACCCAGTCTGAGAACTGTAATAATACATATATGCTGGATTAAATATTATAAAGTTAATTCTTAAATACATCCTTAAGATGTCCATCCATTGCTTCTTTTCCCTCTCTCTTTTTGTTTTGTAATCAACCTTACCTTTCAAATAATTTTGTAAATATGGGCCAATTCCTTCCTTAAAACACCCACTTCTGGAAGAAATATTACACGCCCTGGAGAATTTCTTTGCACTTACTGACTCCCTCTCTCAACACAGGTGGATGAGAGTGGGACACCTGCCAGTTGTTTGCATCAGCAGACACTCAGAGTCCATGGAAAAAATGAGCCTAGAGGTTTTTAAACCACAACACAAGCAAAAGGCACCTGGTCCCGTTCCTCTTAAGACAGAAGAAAGAGGCGTAAAACCAGCTCCAGGTGCCACCCTTAAGAAATGTTACAGTGCCGGATGGGAAGAGTAAACCCTGAACATCTCTTCTTAATACTTTACAGACTTCAAGTGTATTTTATGGTGACAAAGCATATTGAAGACAAATGAAACTCTACAACCCTGAAAACCAGCCTGAATTATTTTGAGAGACAGACAGTGGCTGCAAGGAGAAGCGTCGGGATTTTCTGGGCTGGCCATCTCCAGTGTCACTGACCCCGGTCTACCCCTGCATGTTTGTTTACGGGAAAGGAGTTGAGGAGGAGGATGTATGGCTGAGAGCCTGAAAATAATCCAGGGCAGGTGGAGCGAGGAGAGGACTTTACTCCTCACACTCATGTAGGCATCCTGAAAAGCCACTTTTCTTTCCAAGGTGGGCACGGGCCTTGAGCTTGGAGTGGAGCCAGTTAAAGTTGTCCGCTCTGGGTCGTCAGATGGAGATCTTATCTTGGGTCATGAATTGTGGTTTTAGGAGAAAGGCAGAAGCTAAACCCATCTTCTGTCTGGTGGGGAGGCCCAGCAAAGGGCTCAGAAACACAGCCACAGGCCTCTTGCAGCAGCTGGATGCACATTTCAGGAGGTTGCCTGAAAGCAGAATTGACTTCAGAGAGTAGGGCAGCAGAGCCCAGCCACAGAGTGGTCCCAGGAGCCAGGAAGTGCCACACAGCCCCTCGCTTATTTTTACTCAGTATGCCACAGAAGTCCTGACCTGTTAAAAGTGCCCTTTAAGAATGGCTGGCCCACCCTCTCTCAGAGGGTTCATGCTGGGGAGAGGGTTCCTGCATGCCCGCTAAGCTCCAAATGACAACCCAGGTGTAGAAAGGGCTTAGACTTTAGGGTTCAAACCCATCCTAGAGTCCGGTCCAAGGCCAGTTACAGCCAATGGGCAGTGGTAGGTGCAGCCCAGCCCATTAGCTCATTCTTGAGCCTCAGAGGGACAGAGCAGCACTAATGGGTGCACAAATGGCTAGAATGTTCACCAACTCCTCGAGAGTGGCATTGGACATTTGGGCAAGGGTCTTATGGAGGCTGAGAGTTGACTGTGGGCTCATCACAGCTATTTTGAGGGTCTTGACAGCCCAACTAGCAAACAATTCTGCAGGGATGAGAGGTCAGGGCAAAGGGAAATGGCATTGTCAAGTGGACAGCCAAAAAGTCCAGGATGCCCCCAGGTCCTGGGGAACGGCGGGGGAGGAACTCAGGGACTGGATTACCCACAGGACCTGGTGAGACCCACAGCCACGGGCTGACTTGTGTCCACTCAGAAGCGTATGTTAAAATCCTAACCCCCAGTACTTTGGAATGTGACCTTATTTGGAAATAGAGACTTTGAAGATGATCAAGTTAAGATGAAGTCATGGGGCCGAGAGCGGTGGCTCACGCCCGTAATCGCAGCACTTCGGGAGGCTGAGGCGGGCAGATCACGAGGTCAGGAGATCGAGATCATACTGGCTAACACGGTGAAACCCCTTCTCTACTAAAAATACAAAAAAAAAAAAATTAGCCGGGCATGGTGGCGGGCACCTGTAGTCCCAGCTACTCAGGAGGCTGAGGCAGGAGAATGGCATGAACCCTGGAGGTGGAGCTTGCAGTGAGCCGAGATCGTGCCACTGCACTCCAGCCTGGGAGACAGAGCGAGACTCCATCTCAAATAAATAAATAAATAAATAAAGATGAAGTCATTAGGGTAGACCCTAAAGCAACAGAGCTAGTGTCCTTGTAAAGAGGGGAAGTCTGGACACAGACACACACCTGCACTAAGGGAAGTGGGTGGGAAACACTGGGAAGATGCCACATGACTGCAGTGACGCAGCTGCACGCCAAGTGATGCCTGGGGCACTGGAAGCCGGGGAGGGTTCCTGCCTGGCCCCTAAGCTCCAAATGACAACCCAGGCATAGGAAGGGCCTACACTTTGGGGTTCAAACCTATCCTGGAGTCTGGTCCGGGGCCAGTTACAGCTAATGGGCAGTGCTGGGTGCAGCCCAGCCCGTAAGCTCATTCTTGAGCCCCAGAGGGACAGAGCAGCTCTAATGGGTGCAAAAATGGCTGGAATATTTCACCAACTCCTTGGGTGGGTGGGTGGGGGGGGGGCATTGGACATTTTGGGCAAGGGTCTTCTTGAGGCTGAGAGAGGCCAGGAAGGAGCTTCCCCTGGAGTTGTCTGGGAGTGGGACCCTGCTGACACCGACCTCAACTTTTGACTTCTGGCCTCTAGAGCTGTGAGAGACTAAACACCTGTGGTTTTAAGCCACCTGGTTTGTGTCACTTTGCTGTGGCAGCCACTAGAAACTAATACACCCAACTAGATACGTATCTTTGTCACAGTTACAGGAATCTTTATTTTATCCAAAAGCAAAAGACACTGAACTTTTGTGTACATTCCAGGCCTGCTGATTGTAGCTGGTCTATAAGCTCGTGTCGGAGTCTATGGTGGTTGATTTTTGTGTCCCTTTGACTGAGCCACGAGGTATTTGATCAAACATTATTCCAGGTGTTTCTGTGAGGCTGCTTTTGGATGAGATTAACATGTAAATCAATAGAGTCAAGCAAATCGTTCTCCCCAATGCAGATGGGTTTCGTCCATGCAGCTAGAGGCCTGAAAAGAAGGAAAAGCTGATCATCCTCGTGTAAGAGAGAATCTCTCCTACCCAACGGCCTTCCAGCTGGGATACTGGCTTTTTCTTGCCTTTAGACTTGAACTGAACAATTGGCTCTTCCTGGCCTCAGGCTTTGGGACTCAGAAGCACACATTGACTGTCCTGGGGCTCCAGCTTATGGACTACCCTGCAGAAAGACTGTGGGACTCGTCAGCCATCATCATCCTGTGAGCCAGTTTTACACAGACACACACACACACAGTCGCACTCTCATGCTCACACATACACACTCACACACAATCACACACTTGCACACACACAGACACTCTTACACACTCATTCACACACTCACATGTGCACACACACAGTCTCTCACACACATCACACACACACACACACACACACACACACACACACACTATTGGTTCTGTTTCTCTGTATAACCCTGATGAATTCAGGATCTTAAAGGTTACCTATTTCATTGTAATGCTGTTTTCTAGCACCAGGCTAGTCCTTTTGTCGGCAGAACTGGTAGGCTCACTTTTTTTTTTTTCAGACTGTTTTGTGTTTTATTTTCTTCCATTTACAAAAAAGCATTTCTAAGCCAGGGCAGTGAAGCCTGACGCTACCGTTCACGGTCAGTGAAATGAGCATTCGAGGATGGGACTCAGCCTGTCTGGACAGGTCCCCAGACAAAAAACACAGAGAATCAAGAACGCAGGCGCTCCCTGTCGGACGCCAGGCCGGGCCCTGTGACAAGGATCTCAGCGCTGGCGGTGGGGCTGCCCTGCGGGTTCGAGGCCTGGCTCTTCCTGCCCCACTGCCTGGTGTGTAGCCCAGGGGCCGGGCCGCCTGCGCCCCCCGCCGGGGGGCACGCCCGGCCCAGGGTTGGGGGTGTCCGGCTTGCCCCCAGGGGGCCAGCGGGGCCTCTGTTATCTCGCTCCAGAACCGACATCGCCAGCCAAGACCTTCCTCGTGGAGCCCTCGGTCTGGCCAAGGACGCTCCTTGGAGTCTGCTTAGACGCACAGCGGGCTCAGCTTTGCCAAATTCTCCAAGGAGACTTTCCATGAGGCGCCTCCTGCCATCTGTGGGCGGCGTTGGGAACTGCGGCCACCGCTGCTTGGGAATCAGGACGTCCCAGCTCCCAACCGGCGGTCATTCATTCCCTCAACACACACTCTGGGCCGCCCGCCTGGCTCCAGGCAGGCCCTCCGGGGACTCGGGAAATAGGAGTTGTTAAACATTTCTGAAACATTCCTCTTCCATTTATTCTGTGATTTTCTTCAGAAACACAAGGCGTGCACGAGTCAGCTTATCAGCTTATCCTTCACCCACACGTAGGCTCTTCTTTCCAATCAATTTTATCTTTGTTTTTTTCTAAGAAAATTTTAGGGATTTTACTTGTTTTTGTTTTGTTTTTGGGTTTTTTTGTGTGTTTTGTTGTTGTTATTTTGTTTTTTTTTTTTTTTGGTGGGGGGTTGGCTTGGTTTGGTTTTTGCTTCATTTTTTAATTTTAGGGATTTTTAAAAAGCCAGCATTCCTTAATCTTCTGATTGTTGTGTGACTGTTGTATAATATTGAGAAATACATTCCTGTCATCCACAACTAACAACCATTAATAATGTGTCGTATTGTTTACTTTTTTGTTTTTAACTAAATTTTGCTTTGGGGAAGTATCCATGACGATACAATATAGCTGTGAGATATTTCCTGTACCTGCTACGTAACACCCCTTCATGTAAAACGCAGAGCATTTGGTTTATCCACATCCCCCCGCCCCCCGCCCATGCATATTAGTGGTTTCCAGTGCTAAAGGGACAGCGCCCCCCACGTGCATTTCTCCAGGTACTGAGGCAGGAGAATAGGGGCTGGAGGCAGGGGACCAAAGGCTGTTTCACTCAGACTTCCTACAACTAAATTGAAAGGAAAACCCTAACTTTCCACTCCTAAGTAACAAAAGGACCAGAGGCTATTCCCTTTCTAAACCCCCCCACCTTTTCCTCGAGGCAAATGGGAAATTGGCTGTCCGCAACCAATCAGACTGATTGTGGGTGGAGTCTTCGTTTGCACCTCTGTACCTTCGCTCCAGTCTCTGAACGGTTGCTGTCCACAACGAATCAGACTGATTGCGGGCTCAGCCTTCGTTTGCATAGAAGTATAACTTTGTAACTTCACCCTAGCCTCTGACTGGTTGCTTTTGGCACCTTCATTTACATGAGGTGAGCATGATGTGGCCAATTGGAAACTTCTAGGGGATATTTGGACCCAAGAAGATCCTGTATCCAGGCCCTTGAGCCGCTGCTCGGGTCCGCTCCCATACTGTGGAGTGTACTTTGGTTTTCAATAAATTCCTGCTTTCGTTCTTTTGCTGCTTCATTCTTTCTTTGCTTTGTTGGGCGTTTTGTCCAATTCTTTGTTCAAAATGCCAAGAACCTGGACAAGTTGCAGTTATGACCCTCGACCGGTGATAGTAGCACTCGCTCCTAACAGCTTGGCTGCAGTAAGCCTAGGCTTCCAGGGAGAGCCTCTGCACCTGCTGCTGTGCTGCTTGAGTTCTCTCAGACAAGGAAGCATGAAAAGGGCTGCCTTTTTCAAACAGCAGGGGAAGGAAAACACAGTGATAACAAATCCAAATATTATTTCAATTGAGATCTTATCATATACATCATATACACAGCCATTTAAAAAGTGAAAACAAATATAATAAAATCAAATTATATTCAATAAAAAAAGCAAGGCGCAGGCATTTACATAATGAGACCCACTTCTCTTAATGTATTATATAGTCTGTAAAAGCAAAAGATGTGAAGCACCCCAAATCCCCATGGATGGGCGATGGTTGAATTATTATCACTCATCCATAGGAAAGACTGCCGTGCAATTGTGAAAATGGGAGGAGGACTGTGTCTACACGTGCCTCTGGAGTGATTGCACAGACCACTCTGAACAGAGCAAGGTGGAGGAAATCTTCCATTTTTCCAGTACAGGCAGGAAATAGGGACCCATCCCTCTGTCTATCTATTTACTATCTTTATTCCCATCCATCTATTATCTATCTATGTTTCTACCATTCATCATCTATGTACTACCTAACTACTTGCCTACCTGTTCTCTATCATCTATCTACCATCAATCAATCTATCTCTCCCTATCTGCTTCCATTCTAAAAATAAACAGTGTGAGCACAGTCCACAGGGAGGGGGCTGGAAGTCTCTGGGGGAAGACACAAGTCCTTGTTGCACATGCCCTGTTTTCTAGATTTGACTATGAAACCATGCAAATATTTTACATCCTTATAAAACACAATTAACTTTAAAAAGCAATGTCTAAATACCAAAAATAAAATAAGACAAATGAACCAAATGTGTATCCATTTGGTAGCCTGACTAACCAGAGGGGAGCTATTCCAATTGACTTTAAAACGTAGGAATTTAAAAGTAACTACTAGTGGAAAATGCACTAAGGGCAAAAAGAACAGAGAAAGAAAGGAAAGGAAGAAAGGAAGGAAAGGAAGAAAGAAAGAAAGGAGGGAGGGAGGGAGAGAGAGAAAGAGAGAGAAAGAGAAAGAAAGCAAGAGAGGGAGGGAGAAAGAAAGAGAGAGGAGAGGAGGAAAGAAAGAAAGGAAGGAAGGAGGGGAGGGAGGAGAGGGAGGAAAGGAAGGAAGGAAGGAAGGAAGGAAGGAAGGGAGGGAGGGAGGGAGGGAGGGAAGGAGGGAGGGAGGCATCTTAACCCCTTTCCCACAATCACACTATTGGCTGAGTGTTGATGTTATCCTGAGACTGCCCTGTGTGTGTTGAAGCATAAAGGAAATGTGATATAGAAACTCTATCATTAGCTCTATGGTAAAGAACTGAGATTTTTGGCATGAGAAAATAAAAGTTAAGAAGCTGTAATTTAAAAGAAAAATATTGGCCAGACACAGTGCCTCATGCCTGTAATCCCAGCACTCTGGAAAGTGGGAGGATCACTCAAGCCCAGGAGTTCAAGACTAACCTGGGCAACAGAGTGAGACCCCGTCTCCCCCCAAAATAAACAAAATTAGCGAACATGGTGGCATGCACTTGTGATCCTGGATATTTTGGAGGCTGAGGTGGGAGGATTGCTCGAGCCCAGGAGTTTGAGGCTGCAGTCAGCCATGATCACAACACTGCACTCCAGCCTGGGCAACAAAGTGAAACCTTGTCTCAAAAAAATAAAAAATCATAAAAGACAAGGAAAATATCAGCACGAAATAATAATTAAAATCAATAAAAATGGATAATGCAAGCATTCTATTAATTAGGCTCATTATCATAATGTAAATACATATTTGGGGAACTTGTTCCTCCAAACAGCAATGCTCTCTCTTCCTCCTCTACACTTTATGCCAACTAATTTTACATAAATGGGAAACTGTCATTTCTACCAAAGCGAGCTGCACTGTGTTTCTTGGGGTGAACCTTTAGGGAGACAGCCATTGTGAGAATGAAAGGGGAAATATATTATTGAAAGTTTACTTACAGTTTTTAAAAATGCCTATTTCCTCCCTGTTTTCTCCCACCCTCCAAGTTTATTAGTTACCTCTATCCACTAGCAATGGACAGATTTTCATGATTTAATTATTTTTACTATCAATTTTAAAAGTCAGCAAAACATATTTACTTTTTAACAATATATCATTTTAAAAGGGTACAGAGTTGCAGTTACATAGGACGACTAAGTCTAGAGGTCCAGTGCAGAGCCTGAGGACTGTACTTAACAATTCTGTGCTGTACCCCGGAAATTTACCAAGAGAGATTTCAGGTGCTGTCACCACACAAACACACAAAACGCAACCGTGGGGAGGTGGACATGTTCATATGCTTGACCGTAGTAACTTTGCTGTGAGTATCTCTATCAACACATCATGTTACACAATGTAAATATATGCCTTTTTTTTTTTTTTTTTTTTTTTTGAGATGGAGTCTTGCCCTTGTCGCCCAGGCTGGAGTGCAATGGCATGATCTCCGCTCACTGCAACCTCCGCCTCCCAGGTTCAAGCAATTCTCCTGCCTCAGCCTCCCACATAGCTGGGATTACAGGCGCCTGCCACCACGACCAGCTAATTTTTGTATTTTTAGTAGAGACAGGGTTTCACCATGTTGGCCAGGCTGGTCTCGAACTCCTGACCTGGTGATCTGCCCACCTCGGCCTCACAAAGTGCTGGGATTACAGGCGTGAGCCACCATGCCTGGCCACCATTTTTATTTTTAAAATGATAAAACAAAACACATTGCTGAACCAAGAAAAGAATTGAGATGATCGTGCAAATAATGATGCATACTATATTTGGGAAAAATAAAAGTTATGAAACAGTAGCAGGTCCAAGTTATATACGCAACTGTGTAAAATGTGTTCTTTAAAAATCAGGGTTTCTGTGCTTTCAGCAACCTACACATGTTCTGACTTGTGATCTCAAGGTCTGGGAGACATGTGTGGTGAAATCACACACACCTGCCCCAGCAGAGGGGTCACTGGACGTCTTCATGCGCTGCAGGGAACTCAGATGAAAGGGACCTTAAGTAATGTAACCTTTACGTTAGATTCAAACATGCCTTTATGACTGCTCATCTGATTTGTAATTTAAAGCTTAAGCAAAGTATGGCATTATTTAAATGCTCATTTTTAATTTGTTGAAAGAAAAGTCAATATTTATCATGAAGACTGCGGCTCAAGCCTAAGACCTATCTAGTGGGAAGCAGGACCAGAGCAAAGGTCTGACTGTACGTGAACATTTTAAATTTTTTTTTTTGTTTTTTTTTTTTTTGAGACAGAGTCTCACTCTGTTGCCCAGGCTGGAGTGCAGTGCTGTGGTGCGATCTTGGCTCATTGCAACCTCCACCCCCTGGATTCAAGCAATTCTCCTGCCTCAGCCTCCCTGGTAACTGGGATTACAGGCATGTGCCACCACGCCCGGCTAATTGTTTTGTATTTTTAGTACAGACGGTGTTTCACCATGTTGGCCAGGCTGGCCTCGAACTCCTGACCTCAGGTGATCTGCCCACCTCGGCCTCCCAAAGTGCTGGGATTACAGGCGTGAGCCACTGCACCTGGCCAAAATTTTAATTTTTTAAATAAAATGTTATCCTTAGACTGCCTTTCCTCCTCTGTTTACTCTTCTTTACACTGTGTGTGTACATGCACTGGTTCACATGTGTGCATGTGTGAGCATGCACTGCGCTCATGGGTGTGTGTTGAAGGCCGAAAGAACGAGGGTCGTGACCAGCTCAGCACACCGCTGGAGGCTGTATGAGCAAACAGCAAACTGTTCTCATGAATGCAGGTTGTTGGCAAACTGACAAACCGCCACCAGAAGGAACCCTGAGGGCAGTCACGCCCCAGGCGCAGTGTTTCTTGTGATTATCTACAGCCACATCTGAAGCCTGTTGTATAAAGAAAGCAATTATGTGAACCTGTCATAAATCAAGCAGCTGACCAATCGTTACCTTTTGCTCCCTGTTGATTCTGCCTAGTAAATACGAAGGGCTTTAGAGGCTCAGGGCCCTTGCTCACTAGAAGCAAGGAGCCCCCGACCCCTTCTTTAAAACAGATCTTTTTGTCTTTGTCTTCATTTCTGCGTTCATCCCCCTTCGTTCAGTCCTGTAGTAACCGTCATAGGTGTGCATGCACAAGTATGTGTGTGTGTGTATGCACATGAGACTGAACCTGAGAAGCTCCACACTCAGCTACATCAGGGGCAGCCCAAGACCTGCGGAACTTTCCAGCATGACTCACGTCTCCCCGTCCTGCCCCTATCTTCCAGAACACTGCCAGCCAGATGTATCTTATGTAACGCCATCCCTCATGCAGAGGACCTGCAGGTTCTACACACTGGCATTTGGGGGCCCCTTGGGAAAGTGACCAGTGAGGCTGAGAGGTCCACAAGCCCTACCCATACCCCAAGAACCTTCAGGCTTGCAGAGATTTGAGGAAACCTCCAGTACAAGAGGTAGGAAACAAACAGAAAAGAAACAGACAGTTCAGAGATTGGTGGCAGAGGGAGAGCTTCAAATCTTCAGAGAAGATGTGTCACCCATGAAACTAGAACACAGTGAGTAGGGGACAAGGAGGACCAGATAACCAGAAAGAACGCTTAGAAATTAAAACATGAAGGCCAAGACTAAACATTAAAGAGTCAAGAAGATCGTCCAGAAATTACCACAAAAGGGGCCGGGCAGGGTGGCTCCTGCCTGTAATCCCAGCACTTTCGGAGGCTGAAGCAGGTGGATCACCTGAGGTCAGGAGTCCGAGACCAGCCTGGCCAACACAGTGAAAACCCAACTCTACTAAAAAAAAAAAAAAAAATGCAAAAAAATTAGCCAGACCTGGTGGCGGGCGCCTGTAATCCCAGCTACTCGGGAGGCTGAGGCGGGAGAATCACTTGAACCTGGGAGGCGGAGGTTGCAGTGAGCCGAGATCGTGCCATTGCACTCCCGCCTGGGCAACAAAAGCGAAACTCTGTCTCAAAAACAAAACACACAAACAAAAACAAACAAAAAAACAAGAGAAAAAAGAAAAGAAAAACGAAATTCCCACAGCACTACATCTGCAGTAGGCACTGAAAGCCTCCTGTCCTGGGAGACTCCCCTCCTGCCTCCTGGACAGTCCCACTCTGCCTTTGTCTCCCTTCTCTCCTCTTAGAATTCCCACTAGCCGGATGCCTCTGCCAACTGAAGCTACTATGAACATTGTGTGTAAGTCTTTTGTGGATATATGTTTTCATTTATCTTAGGTATTAGGTTGGTGCAAAAGTAATTGTGTTTTTTGCTGCAAATTTCTGAGTTAAGCCTACTGAGCCGAGATCGCACCACTGCACTCCAGCCTGGGCAACAGAGCGAGACTCTGCCTCAAAAAAAAAAAAAAAAAAAAAAAAGAAGAAGAAAGCACAGAATTCTCACCCACACTCTCTGCTCCTGCATCCCCGCCAGATCTGTATTGGTGTGGTGCATTCATTACAGCTGATGAACCAAAACGGATCATTATTATTAACTAATTATTTAAAATTAACATTTAGGGCTGGGCGCAGTGGCTCACACCTGTAATCCCAGCACTTTGAGAACCCGAGGTGGGCGGATCACTTGAGGTCAGGAGTTTGAGATGAGCCTGGCTAACATGGTGAAACCCCGTCTCTACAAAAAACACAAAAATTAGCCAGGCGTGGTGGCACATGAGACTACAAGTCCCAGCTACTCGAAAGGCTGAGGCAGGAAAATCGCTTGAACCCAGAAGGTGGAGTTTGCAGTGAGCCGAGATTGCGCCATTGCACTCCAGCCTGGGCGACAGTGTGAGACTCCATCTCAAAATAAAAAAAGAGACTCCATCTCAAAAAAAAAAAAAAAAGAAAAGAAAAGAAAAGAAAAAGTCATGGAAAGCAGCTCAGGTGCTTCTTTGTTTTATCACTCCCAGGAAAGTGAGGCTTTTTAAAAGGTCCTACTCTCAGTGATGTTCCACAAACTTTATCATCAAAGACAGACAACACTCAATACACTCTAGAAAATCTCCATGTGCTTAAAGTCAGGTGTAATTGAAGTTAAATGGGGGCCAGTCGCAGTGGCTCACACCTATAATCCCAGCACTTTGGGAGGCCAAGGTGGGAGGATTGCTTGAGCCTAAGAATTCAAGACCAGCCCGGGCAACATAGTGAGACTCTGTCTCTACAAAAAAAAAAAAAAATTAGCTGGCATGATGGTTCATGCCTGTAGTCTCAGCTACTTGGGAAGCTGAGGTGGGAGGATGGCTCGAACCCGTGAGGTCGAGGCTGCAGTGAGCCATGATCACACCACTGCACTCCAGTCTGGGCCACAGAGGGAAATCCTGTCTCAAAAAAAAAAAAAAAAAAAAAAAAAAAAAGAAAGAAAGAAAAGAAAAGAAAAAGAAATGGTAAATTTCAGAGACTCTTCAAGGAGAATATGTCAAATAGTACTTAAAGCTGTTAAGGCTTCCAACCAATTCTTGAAGTCCTTGAAGGTTCGTAGGAAAGTCAAAGAGGGGAGAAATTGCCTGGAGAAAACGGTTAACGACGCAGGGCTGGATGAGGAGTTAGTCTGTGGATTGAAGAAGTGAAAGGTTATTAGACATAAGGCTATCATTACCTCTACTTGATCTTTAGAAGAACAGAACGGGAGGAAATATCCTAAAGAATCCAACACAAGGAAGTTTGTGGACAGGAATGCTGTTGGATGATTGCGTGAAGTTGGGAAATCTCTCCAACTTGTTTCATTAATAAGAAAATAAATCATGTCTGGGGTAGTTTAGCCATGTTCTTGCTCTTGGCTTGAAACAATGGTTGTCAAGTTGCTGCCGGGGGCTATAAAACTTGATTTGGTCCCGAGTTGAGGAAAAGGACGCTCGGCTCAGCTGTGAGTCACTGGAGCCTGGAGCCACTTGTCCACCCATCAGAAGTTCTCACAGCAATTTGCACGGAAAACCAAAGCTGAGGTTAAGCCTCGTCGAGTCAGAAGTCTGACTCTGGCTGGTGAATAACCAGTTAAAATATTTCAGCTTTGACGCCACCTGAAGGCAGGTGTGGGTTGGGGGTGGCTAATTACATCCAGAGTGGGACAAAGTTCCCCGGGCAGCTGTGTTTGCAGCCGTGACAGCAAACATCGCAAACAGCAGTCAGGAGCCAGGAAAGCGATTGAGCGTTTTGCTGTTACCTTTTAAATTAAAAAAAAAAAAAAATGAGCTGGGCGCAGTGGCTCATGCCTGTAATCCCAGCACTTTGGGAGGCCAAGGCGGCTGGATCACCTGAGGTCGGGAGTTCGAGACCAGCCTGACCAACATGGAGAAACCCCATCTCTACTAAAAATACAAAATTAGCTGGGCGTGGTGGTGGGCACCTGTAATCGCAGCTATCCGGGAGGCTAAGGCAGGAGAGTCACTTGAACCCGGGAGGTGGAGGTTGCAGTGAGCCGAGATCGCACCATTGCACTCCAGCCTGGGCAAAAAGAGCAAAACTCCATCTTGAAACACACACACACACACACACACACACACACACACACACACACACACAAATAGGTCCCTGGTTTTAAAAACAAAAGTCTCTGCACTGTTTGGTGACACATTTGCTTGCTGGTTGTTTTGGGAATGTTCCACTGAATCTTGGAGGGATGCTCTTCATTAGGGCCCATGCATTTCCGCCTAGTGTGCGCCATCCACGTTCTCATTGTTCTTCTCCTTAAAAGAATTATTCGGCCTGAGTAAGGGCCTAGCAGCCTCTCACAATTCCCAATTTCTCCCAAAGTACTGACAGTGATCCAAAAACAAAGAAAAGAACCCCAGTTCCACAAACATCAAATTAAAGATTCATTCAGACAATATTTTGTAATGATATTTTACTGAGGCCAGGTGTGGTGGTGTATGCCTGTCATCTCAGCGTTTTGGGAGGCTGAAGCGGGCAGATCGCTTGAGTCCTGGGGTTAGAGACCAGTCTGGGCAACATGGTGAAACCCTGTCTCAACAAAGATATACCAAAAAAAGAAATTACCTGGGCATGGTGGTGCACACCTGTAGTCCCAGCTACTCGGGAATCTGAGGTAAGAGAATCACCCAAACCCAGGAAGTTGAGGCTGCAGTGAGCCGTGATCGCACCACTGCACTCCAGTCTGAGTGACATAAGTCAGACTCTCCCTCAAAAAACTAATAGTAATGAATGATTCAGTTTTACTGACAATGAATTCTTTTTATTGAGAAACCTAAATCATCTAATAATGAGATAACAATTATTTCAGGGGGTGACTGAGCCGATGTTAGTAGAATGACTGAGTATAGCACATCGGGCTATTCCTCTTATCCTAAATTGATGAGCTGGATATTTGAATAGAATTCTTTTCAATTTTATATTTTTACTGATGCTTTCAAGACCCATATAGTAACTGAAAATCTAGGAACACATTTTAGCTCTGTTTCTAAAGCTCTGGACACTAAACAAATCAGTGTCCAATCTACCAAGTGGAGAACCACCTGCAGTAAAAAGATCTTAGCTTGGGAGACTAAGATACGAAGATACTTAGAGCATGTGACATGGGTATTTTTTTCACTGTGGTATTTACTGGGAGTTTCCACTGTTTTTTAATTTTATCTATCAAGCCTCTCTAATAGACTGTCCCAAGCTGGGCACCAGAAGGTTATATAGGAATGGTTGGGATGTATGGGGACAGTCCAGGGAATATGATTGTTTAAAACCAAATAAGGCACAGTAATACACCGCTAGCTTCTATATTTAAATGCCAACATGTACCCAGGGGGCATCAGAATGTACTACAATTTTAGACATGAGATTTACATAATGATGTCAGATAAATGCCTTTTTCATTTGCTATTTCCATTATGTAATCATCGAGCATAATAAAGATCACTTGTCATAAAGAACCATTTTCTACTGGACAGTTACATTCCATTAATCATTAAGGTAGCATGGAGAATTAAAAGGCTTGAATAATCATGTTTTACCATTTGCTGAAAAGGGACAACAAATATAACTTAATGAACAAAGTTGAAGAATTCATTAGTGATCTTATTAATAAGAGTGAATCATTGGAGATGAGGATTTTCGAGGCTCATGAAGACTTGAAAATTTCAAGTGATAATTCAAACTGGATAGAACACTTTCAGCTATTGGTTTGAAGCTTCAAAGCTTTGATGGCTAAGGAAGTATGTCTTCCAACAACACCTAGACCCAGAAAAAACATGGTTAACAGTAAAAGATGTTGGGAGCCTTTTCTCCCCATGGTTCATCCGAACTGGGCAAATTCTTTCTCTTATCTCTCCAAATTATGATCTTAATTGTTAAATTTTTCTCTTAGAATACAGCATGAATAATTTGTACAACCCGTACTACACAATACTAGTTACATGGAAAATACAAACCACATTTTAAATGATTTAACATTGGTTATAAGGCAGTTCCACAATTATTCCCCAGAAACCTATACACTGATCTTCAATTCTGTAATCTGACTCCTGGGCATTTATTCCAGAGAAATGAAAACTCATGTACACAAAAATATTCACACAAATATTCATAGCAACTTTGATTCAGAATAGCTGCAAACTGGAAACAACCCAAAATTGTCCTTCAATGGGCTACTGCCTAAATAAACCATAGTGTACCCGCATAATGGTCTCAGCAATGAAAAGGAATGAACTGTTGACACACCCAGCAACTTGGGAGCATCTCCAGGGTGGAGATGCTGAGTGGAAAATCACAAGGTCAGAAGATTGAGACCACCCTGGCCAACATGGTGAAACCCAGTCTCTACTAAAAAAATACAAAATTAGACGGGCATGGTGGCGCACACCTGTAATCCCAGCTACTCAGGAGGCTGAGGCAGGAGAATCGCTTGAACCCGGGAGGTGGAGGTTGCAGTGAGCTGAGATTGAGCCACTGCACTCCAGCCTGGGTGACAGAGGGAGACTCTGTCTCAAAAACAAACACAAAAGAAAAAAAGGAAAAACCAATCTCAAAAAGTGATACATTTGGTATCTTGACGTGGGGCAGATAAACAGACCAACACAATGATACACCAGCATTGTATAGAATCTAATACACACACAAACACACACACAGGGTATAAATGAAATCTGAATAAGACCAGTGGATTATATCAAAGTCAAATCTAACTGTGATCTAGTACAATAGTTTTTCAAACTGTTACCGCTGGGGGAAACCAGACAAAGTATAAGAGATCTCTCTGAATGATTTTCGATAACTGTATGTGAATCTACTATCTCAGTAAAAGTTGGTTTTATGTGATCTGCTATCTCAATAAAAGTTTCCATTAAAAAATCATGGTTTTGGGAGGCCAAGGTGGACGGATCACCTGAGGTCAGAAGTTCGAGACCAGGCTAGCCAACATGGTGAGACCCAGTCTCTCCTGAAAATACACAAATCAGCCGGTGTGGTGGCACGCACTTGTAATCCTAGCTACTCGGGAGGCTGAGGCAGGAGAATCGCTTGAAGCTGGGAGGTGGAGGTTGCAGTGAGCCAGCATTGTGCCACTGCACTCCAGCTTGGGCAATGGAGTGAGACTGTCTCAGAAAAAAAAAAAAAAAAAAAAGCATGGTTAACATGTAAAGAATAATACCTTGATAGACAAATATACCATATTTTTTAAAGTTATAGAATGTATGATTCCATTTTATATAACATTCTTGAAATGACAAAATTATAGAGGTAGAGAGCAGATGGTGATTGCCTGAGGCTAGGGAATGGGGGAGGGATTGGGGAGGGTAGGGAATGGGGAGGGATCAGGGAGGCTAGGGAATGGGGGAGGGATGGGGAGGGGAGGGAATGGGGGAGGGATTGGGGAGGGTAGGGAATTGGGGAGGGATCAGGGAGGCTAGGGAATGGGGGAGGGTAGGGAATGGGGGAGGGATCAGGGAGGGTAGGGAATCGGGGAGGGATGGGGGAGGCTAGGGAATGGGGAGGGATCAGGGAGGCTAGGGAATGGGGGAGGGATGGGGGAGGGGAGGGAATGGGGAGGGATGGGGAGACTAGAGAATTGGGGAGGGATGGGGAGGCTAGGAAATGGGGGAGGGATCGGGGGCTAGGGAATGGGGTAGGGATGGGAGAGGCTGGAGTGCAGTGGCACAATCATCGCCTACTGCAGCCTTGATCTGCCAGGTTCAAGTGATCCTCCCACCTCAGCCTCCTGAATAGCTGGAACTACAGGCACATACTACACACCAGCTATTTTTTTTGTTTGTTTTATTTTTTTTTGTGGAAATAGGGTCTCACTATGTTGCCCAGCCTGGTTTCAAACTCCTGGCCTCAAGTGATCCTCCTGCCTCAGCCTCCCAAAATGCTGGTATTACAAGTGTGAGCCATCACACATGGCCTCTCGTACATTTTATAGGTCTCTATATTATAAGTCCCATAATACATCATCTTTACTTTTGCTTGACTTTTAAATATATTTAACTGATAAGATAATAAAGTATTTGAATCTACCCACATTGTTACCATTTCCATTGTTCTCTGTGTCCTTGGACAGGTCCAGATTCCCACCTGCTATCACCTTCGCTCTGCGTGGAAGACTTCCTTAAAGAGAACTCGCACTGCAGGCTACTGACACTGAACTCCTTCAGCCTTGTGTGTCTGGAAAAGTCTTTAATTGGGGAGCTGATTATAATCCCCAAAAACACAATCCCAAACACCATAACCCCAAACGCTGAAATCCCAGAAGATCAAACCTGAAAATCACAACCCCAAAAGATCAAAATCCTGAAAATATAATTCTGGAAAAAATAATTTTTAAAAACATTTAAAAGATATTGCAGTTCAGAAACATATCAAAACAGGACTGCACACTTCATAGACCACTTTATACAACAAAATAGGTGATAATAATAACATATACTTTGCAAGCGTAAACACTCAGGTAAACTAATGACAGTCGCACAGGTTATGAGCAGATGAACCACATTCTTTTTTTTTTGAGATGGAGTCTCGCTCTTGTTGCCCAGGCTGGAGTGCAATGGTGCGATCTCAGCTCACTGCAATCTCTGCCTTCTGGGTTCAAGCAATTCTCCTGCCTGAGCCTCCTGAGTAGCTGGAATTACAGGCACATGCCACCACGCCTGGCTAATTTTTGTACTTTTAGTAGAGACGAGGTTTCGTCATGTTGGCCAGGCTGGTCTTGAACTCCTGGCCTCAGGTGATCTGCCCGCCTCAGCCTCCCAAAGTGCTGGGATTACAGGCGTGAGCCACTGCGCCTGGCCAGATGAACCACATTCATAAAGAAATAGGTCAAAACGGAAAGGTAAAAACACATGTCACTATCGGTAATTGCGCACACCCAGCTTTCTAACTGTGGTCATCTGAAATACCAAACGAACAAAGTGTCTTTCAACAAGATCAATCAAAACCCCCGACGGGTCACCACTGCATGTAGTTGCCCAAAGAGCCGAAATCTGGATAAATTTTATCTTTCACAAATGCAAATGTACAAAAAGAACATCTCTTCATTTACTGAGGAAGTTTCAACATTTTCTGATGTCCAAGGCAGCAGAAGAAACGTCTGTCCAAGCTCTCAGAGATAGACCAACTTGCCTTCTGTATTTGTTCTCTCGGGCACCCCAGCTGATTGGATGGTGCCTGCCAGCATTGAGGGCAGATCTTGCTCACCTCGTCCACTCAGACTTGCACAATAATTTCCCCAGGAGACTCACAGACACACCCGAAAGAATACTTTACCAGGTTTCTAGGTATTCTTCAATCCAGGTAAGTTGACATCTAAAATTCAGTCCACATGTGCCAACCCTGGTCAACTTGGCACACATAGGTATCTCATTTGACCATACTTAATTTCCAAATAAAGACAATAAGCTGATAGTTTTACTTAACATGATGCAACTATGCTATGATTGTGATTTTCAGGATTTTACCCTTTAGGGATTTTGATCTTCTGAGATTTCAACATTCGGGAATATTGTGTTCAGGGTTGTGTCTTTCAGGATTATTATCTAAACCCCTTTATTTGGCCTTCTTTTTTGAAAGATATTTTTGCTGGGTATAGAATTTATCCTGACAGTTGCTTTCAATGCTTTCCCTATGTTGCTCCAGTGTCTTCTGGCTTGCATCTCCTTGATGTGAATTTGACGTGTCATCATTATCTTTGTTCCTCTGTATGTGATATGTCTTTCCTCTGGATTCTTCCGGGTTTTTGTCCTTATTACTGGTTTTCAGCAATTTGATTAGTAAATGCCTTAACATAGTTTTCTTCATGATTCTTGTGCTTGGTGATCACTGAGCTTCTCAGATATGTAGTTTTATGGCTTTCGGCAAATTTGACAACATTTTGCTCATTCTTTTTTTTTTTTTTTGAGACAGAGTCTGGCTCTGTTGCCCAGGCTGGAGTGCAGTGGCGCGATCTCGGCTCACTGCCACCTCCACCTCCCGGGTTCAAGCAATTCTCCTGCCTCAGCCTCCCGAGTAGCTGGGACTACAGGCGTGCACCACCACACCGGGATAACTTTTGTATTTTTAGTAGAGACAGGGTTTTACCATGTTGGCCAGGATGGTCTCGATCTCTTGACCTCGTGATCCGCCCGCCTCGGCCTCCCAAAGTGCTGGGATTACAGGCATGAGCCACTGCACCCGGCTTCACTATTTCTTCAGATATTTTTTTCCATCTCTTTCCCTTTTCTTCCAAGGACTCTTCAAAAACTCTAATAACATATATTAGGCTGCTTGAAGTTATCTCAAAGCTCGCTGATGCTCTGTTCATTTTCTCCCTCTTCTTTTTCTGTGCATTTTATTTTGAATAGTTTTTTTTTTATTGCCCTAGCTTCACTGATCTTTTCTTCTGCAATATCTGACCTGCTGTGAATACTATCCAGTATGTTTGTCATGTCATCACTGAAATTTTCATCTCTGGAAGTTCAATTCATTTTGTTTTTAAAAAACTACATCTTTCATGCCTTTAACAGGTTTAATTATTTAATTATTCCTCTAGCTTTTAGAACATCTGAAAAACAGTCATAATTTCTCTTATCTTTGTCTACCAATTCTGTCATTTCCAAGAAGATTTGATGGGTTAATTTTGCTCCTTATCATGAGTTGTATTTTCCTGATTCTTTGCATGCGTGGTCATTTTTGATTGGGTGCTGTCCTGATTTTGCATTGCTGGGTGTGAGGTGTTCTTGTATCTCTATAAAATATCCTTGAGCATTGTTCTGGGATTCAGTGAAGCGTCTTGGAAACACTTTGATCTTTTCCACGTTTTGCTATGAAGCTTTGTTCAGTGGGACCAGAGTAAGGTTTAGGGGTCATTTCTCCTCATTTTTAGGCAAAATGCTTCTGAGAACTCTGCCCAAATTTCCCTAAATTAGAGAATTTTTTCTCTCTGCATGCTGGGAACAGGTCACTTCCTCACATGCGTGCTTGTCCGTACTCAGCTGAGAGTCATGGGGTCCTCTGTTGAGCTCTGGCGCTGTCTCTGCACAGCCCTCTCCTCCCCCATACCCTGCCCTGAGAACTCTGGCTACCTTGTCCGTCCTGGACCTTACCTTTGTCTCATCAGTTCAGGGACTGCTGTGCCCTGCCTTGTCTCCCTCTCTGCACTGTGGCCTGGGAAGTCTCTCCAGTCCATATGCTGGGCAGTCATGGGATTCACCTGGCTTGTTTTTCATCTCTCAGGGACCACTGTCTTCACTCCTGATGGCCATATATTGTGTCTGGGCTTTTTTTTTTTTTTTTTTTTGAGACGAGTCTCACTCTGTCACCCAGGCAGGAGCGCAGTGGTGCGATGTCAGCTCACTGCAACCTCTGCCTGCTGGGTTTAAGCAATTCTCGTGCCTCACCTCCCAAGTAGCTGGGATCACAGACGCCCACCACCACGCCCGGCTAATGTTTGTATTTTCAGTAGAGGCGGTGTTTCACCATGTTGGCCAGGCTGGTCTCAAACTCCTGACCTCAAGTGATCTGCCCACCTCGACCACTCAAAGTGCTGGGATTACAGGCATGAGCCACCACGCCCGGCCGTGTCTGGGCTTTTTAGCTGGTTCAAGCAGAAGAGTTAAGTCTAGTTCCTACCCCATCAGGGTCAGAAGCAGAAATGTTTAGATCAGACAATTGAATTGCCTGTGTGAGCCCCTCCATACAGTATGAATGGCAGATGCAAGACCCTGGTGAGGGGTGGTGGCGGGTGAGAAGGAAGACTGGCTGGCAGGAAGCAGGGCCAGGCCCTACAGACCTGGAGGCTGCAGAAAGGATCTGTGGGTATTCAGAGAGCTCTCAGGATCCAAGGGAGGACGCTGGGCTTGGTGTGTGGGCCACACTGTAGAATGTACACCTTCAAGGGTTACTGAGGTGACGGCACGGAGAATAGACTTCCTGGGACAAGAGTGGAAGCTGACAGGCACTTAGGAGGTGTCAGCTGGAAACCTGGAGTCGGGGAATAGTGGAGGACATGGTGAAATATGGACATTTTCTTTTTCTTCCTTTAAGAGATGGGGTCTCACTATGTTGTTCAGGCTGGTCTTGAACATCTGACCTCAAGTGATCCTCCTGCCTTGGCATCCAAAATGTTAGGATTACAGGCATGAGGCACCACACCTGGTCTTAAAACCTGGACATTTTTGCAAACACTTGGATGTCAAGGTGGGAAGCAGGGCAAGTCCAGGATGAAGCTGGGCTCTGAGCTTGTGTGTTTAGTGATGACAGGGCTGTTGGCTGAGCATAGGGTCAGTGGGGAAGGGCCAGGTTTGGGGCCGGGCCGGGGAAAGGGCGTGTGAACTCTATGAGCTGGACGTGCTGAGCTTGATGATCCGGTGAGACCCGCAGGTAGAGAGGAATTGTACGCTTTAATTCAAGGAAAAAATGGCAAAATACAAAGGACACATAGGACTCTCCTGAGGCCAGCATGCCTCTTCCAGACGGTTTTAGATAAGCAGCAAGGGCAGCCTCTGGGTTTCTAGAGGCTGTTTCCTACAACATGGAGGCAGGTGCCTCTCTTTCCTTCATTACCTTGCTGTAAGATTTTGTGACTAAAACTCAAGAGAGAAGAAAACAGCTAGTGTTCAGGTCAAGCCCCAAATTGTGATGCAAATGTGGTGACGTGAAGGAAGTAATGTATGCAGTGGTCCATCTCCAAGACAAACTGCCTTGAATTGGCTTAGGTCAGCAAACTACCTAAGAAACAGGATACACTAGACCTCTGCTTGGATCATCAATGCCTGCTTGTCAGCCTCCCCCTTCCCCCTTTCTCCCCTCCCCCTTCGTTGCCCTCACCCAAACCAAAGAAATTTAGTCTAAGATGAAAGTTTACTAGCCTGCAAAATAGCTCATTTTATCTATTCGTATCAGCGTGCCCAGCTACTTAGGTCATAAGTCAAATGCTTGAAGAGCCCCTGGGCTGACTAGGATTGCAAAGCATTGTGGGCTGCAACAAAATGCAGCAGGAAAACCCTAAAAAGACACCTAAGACCCCTGCCCAACAACCAATAGGTGATGTCTGGGAAGGTTGTGAGCCCATAGTGCTCAGCCTATGAGGAACTCGGGGAGGGACCTGCACACTAGGGGATACATTGTTTGTTGAAACTGCACTGGGTGTGCCTGCCCATCAGACACCCAATCTTGCAAGACCATCATTAAAAGTCTCACTTCTGCTGTTCTTCGGGTCTCTGAGTCCGTTCTTTGGGTTTGGACGGATGAGTCTGTTTCTCACAGATGCACCAGTGTTCAGGAGGAACTGAATGTCTCACTCGGGGAACAGGCTATATTGGCAGGAGTGAAGTCTTGGGTCTGGTCCTCCCTCTACCCAGAGGTGTGCTGAGCAGTGGTGTGTCTCTAGACAGGTAGGTCCACATTCCAATGAAGGGTGCCTTCCCCATGGTCTCCCTCTTTATAAAACACATAGAAGGCAAGCCTGTCAGTGGGGAAAGAACGGGCTACTTGGCTCCAAGACAGTCTGGATGTGGCTGCCATGCTTCGAGGACACGGAATGCGAGCTGCCTGCACTTGGGAACCCTGGGCTCAGGGGAGCCACATTCCCCGGCTAAGGGAGGAGAAGCTCTCAGCTTCACTGGAAGCAAGGCTTGGGTGGAAGGGGAGGCCCCGGCCAGCTTTGTCCGGGCAACCCAGCGCCACTTCCAGATGATTCTGATGATTGCACCGCCATACAGGCAAGGTCACTCATCCCTGTCAGGCCAGAACGAGGACCCCTGTGAGAATACACTCACACCAGATGTACAACCTGATGGGGAAGAAGCCAATGGCCCGCTCTGTTCCCCTCTCTACGGAGCTTGTGCCTAATGCTTGTGAAAAGGCCGTATTCAGACTGTGTGCTTGTCAGTTTTCCACCACACTGCATGGCTTTTAGCAGAGCAAATCACTAGGTGGTAATTTGCACCCTGAAAGAAACATGGGGGCACTGATGAATCGAATGTGCATGCTAACATGCTAACAACATCACCACCGTTTCTCCCTGCAGTGTTCTGAAAGGCTGAAAGTCTGCCTTTGTGTGCAATGAGAACCACACAGGGCTGGCACACACAAGGACTTGCTCACAGGTGGCCAAACGTGAAATGAATGAATCCTACTTCCTGGCAGAATTCATTGCTGGCAGATGCTACCTAAAATACAACAAAAATATCCAAGGCTTGGTTCTCACAGGTTAAATCCTCAGAAGACTGGATATGTAAGGTGTTTCCTAACTTTAAAATGACCTAGCAGGCCGAGTGCAGTGGCTCATGCCTGTAATCCCAGCACTTTGGGAGACTGAGGTGGGTGGATCGTTTGAGGCCAGGAGTTCGAGACCAGCCTGGCCAGCATGGCGAAACCCTGTCTATACTAAAAATACAAAAATTAGCCAGGCATGGTGGTAGGCACCTGTAATCTCAGCTACTTGGGAGGCTGAGGCAGGAGAATCACGGGAACCTGGGAGGCGGAGGCTGCAGGGAGTCGAGATCTCACCACTGCACTCCAGCCTGGGTGACAGAGCGAGACACTGTCTCAAAAAAAAAAAAAAAAAAAAAAAACCTAGCAAATTAGAATACATCATTCAATATTTGATCAAAAGATCAATAAGATAAGGGGTCATTCCAGACCATCTGCCCAAAGAAACTCCTGCTGAAGTATTCGCCTCTTTCTAGCTGTCAATCTTTTTGGTGCCTGTTCTCTCTCAATCTAAGCTTTACAAAAAATGCTACATGCACCCTCTTGGTGGCTTTTTTTTTTTTTTGGCAATCCCTGTGAAAGCTTCTGATACCTCAATATCTCAGGGAACATTTCAAATAATCCAAACATTTTATGAGTTCTGGACCTGAGAGGAATCAAGATGTGGCTGACGGCAGGAATCGTGAGCGTTCTCAAAGTATATGAACTGCACCACCTTCCCTAACAGGCAGCGGGAGCAGAAGGCCAGCAATTGAAAACACGGGTCACAGCACCTTTTATTCGTCATCATACAACCTGATGTGACAGGAAATACAGCCAACATCTCCAAACAGTCTTAATGCCTTTCACAATCCAATGGGAAAGCCCAAGACGCCGCCTCTAGTGGGGAAGCCATGAGCCTTCCGCCTTTGGATGCCACAAATGGGAACGATAGAGGTACAGGAGGTCTGCCTTCCACGCCGGACCCTCCAGCGCAGTCCCATGCCGGACACAGCGAGGCGGCACTTGGCACAGAACGTTTTCCTGAGAACACGTCACACGCTAGAGCATTCCAGAGGCCCGAGCCCCTTCTCAACCCACAGACCAGGATTCACGGGGAGCAGCTGTACCTGTGGCCTCCCCGCAAGACTCACACCAGTGGATGGCACTCGAGTCCACAGCTGCACGGAGCCACGGGTCCAAAACGAATTCTCCACTGAGATGGGTCCACAGAGCCTGGTGGCCACAATGGCTGGATCTAATGTCTTCCTTTATGAATACATCTGTGCACCTGGGATCAGTTAAAAAACGAAATACTTCCTGTCATGATGATCAATATGCAGAACTGCGTATAGGTGAGGACTCTTCTGCCTGGGTGGTACATGGTTGTTGTATTTTGCTATCTAGTTTCTTTGATGCAAATTTGTAGCAATTGCTTTAAGACAACCCATTTTGCCTCAGACAGTGACCCTATTAAGACCACGTATGTTTACAGAAAACTTGGGAGTTTGATTTTTCTTTAGAGTTCTCACTTATAACAAGAAGTAAGAGGTGTCTGTGTATTGAGATAAACAGTGGTATATACCACACAATCTAAATTAGGTTCTTTAACAACATTTGATGCGGTCTTACTCTAGGCACTAAAACAACTTCTTTAAAAAAATAAAATTGTGATTTCCAAGGCCTTTATTTTATAGGGAAGAGGAATAAAAGATCAATGCTAGTGGGTGTTTCGTCATGAGCCCAAAGCCCGTTGGGAGTCTCTGCGAGGTCATTTGCCCTTTAGATTCTGCAAAGGCAAAAAGAAATCGATACTGATTTTTAAAAATATATCTTAGGAGCCCTGGTCTCCTGCTGATTCCATGGATGCCTGGAGCACTTGTATCTGGAGAATGGAGACAATATCACCCCAAGCCCGAATTCATTTGATGAGACTACTATGTATAAAACAGTTAATTATATACATAAATAACATAAAATAATTCTCATAAATTAAAAGTCAAATGATCTCCCACTATTCATTCAACTGAGAGGTGAGAGCTAGGCGCGAGTGATGGTGGGTAAGGTGAGGAGGTGAGCCCCACAGACCCTCCTGCATGCTGCCTGGGGATGAACATTCCTTAGTTCATGAAGGCATATATTGCACAAAACAAATTCCAGCCCTGTCCTCAAAAGTCTGCTGTTTGGAGTGAAGTGCTGAGAAAGTTGCGTTTTGAAAAACACAATCATCCTTTGTTCTGCTGGCAACATCAGGACTGCTCCTGATCAATTACTCAGCCATGCCAGTGTTTCCTCAAGATGGACTCCCAGTGAGTGCAGGATCTGGGATAACTGGCAAAGCAGGACACCTTAAGGCAGGTTTGTCCTCTCACTGTGGCCACAAACAGAGTACCAGGAAAGTTAAGAGCAAACTTCTCCCCACACCTCTCAGTGTTTCTTGTCGTGGGCAGCAGGAGGGCTGGGTGCCTCCCCCAACCCTGGCCCCTGCCCCCGAAACTGGTACACAGACGTGACAGCACGTGTCCCCGCACACGCAGACCTGGCTGTTCACCGCACATTCAGTTTTAGGGGCAATTAATGCTTCTATTAGTGAACTAACCTCTCTGCTTTCATTACCACCTGGCAGGAAATAGCATTTTCTCTGTGTTTCAGAAATACCTACACTTTTCCATTGTAAAGAGCCAAACTCATTCAATATTTTTATAGAAAACTGGTCATGAAATACACCAACCTTTGGAATTGAAGTTTAAACAGAAGGAAAATATGACTTTTCCCCCGTTTCTTCCACTCGGGATTCTGGCTGGGCTTCAGCCAGAATGGATACATTTGGATTGCAGAGAATCCTGAGACAACCCGGAGGAGCCCCTGGGGGCAGCAGGGAGGCTCACTCCTCACACACAGCCGCGCGACCCTCTGCATCTGGGCAGCTGTGAAGGGTGGACAGGGACAGATGGTCCTACAGTGCACATGACTTTATCATGTTAACATAAAACTAAAACACAATATTGGCCATAACAGTCTTGAACACATAATGTATGTTTGAAATAAAGTTAAAAAAAAAAAAGGAAAAAAACTCTATTGGAAATCGATTCATGGATATTACTAAGATGCGTTTTGAGCTGGAGTCAGTGACCTCACGTGACCCCTTGCACATGATGACCGTGATGACCTCGAAGGTTGCAGGATCAGGTGCGGCTCAGCACGCCTCATGGTTTCAGCCCATAGTTGTATAAGAACCGACTCCACTCCTAGTTCAAAGAGAATACACGTTACTTTAACTTCTATGTGCTCGCTTGCAAAAAAATCCAGAAGTGAGGAGAAAATGTTCCCTGCTGCCTGCTGCCACCTGTGAATACTGTCTGTGTTCTCATAGGAACCGAGCTCTAAAAGAAAAAAGAAAATGAACCATTTGTGTTCCTAATAACTTATCTCCTGCCTCTTAAAATCCTGCTTCTCTCTCAGCTTCACTTTCCCGAACCCTGTGTCGGGCGAACACTGGTTCTGTAAGGGGAGGCAGATGCGGCCCCGGCCCAGGACTTACTGCCTTGGTAAGGCATGGTGTGGAGCCCCATCCAGTTTAAAACTCTGGCCTGCCAGAGGTCCCTTCTAGAGTTAAGCTGACAGACCGTAATGGTTGCTGGCGGGGGATCTGGAGATACTCTGCAAAGCTAAGTCAACCTTACATTGCAATGTATGACTTTTTGTTTGTTTGGTATCCAGCAAACACATCTAAACAAATCCCAAACATCCCTCTGCAGTTCTTGCCCCGAGTCTCCCGGAACGCAGCTCAGTAGCTGTACATCTGCTGCTGCTGCTGCTCCGCCTGCACCTGGGGCTGGGCCGCCTGCTGTGGGGGTGCCTGCGGCTGCGAGGGTGGCAAGACGTCAGTCTGGGGCACTGCCCGCCACGTGAGCGGGTGCTGGTCACTAAGCTGGCTCCCCAGGGGCGTGATGGAGTTGACCAGGGTCGTCAGGTTGATGAAATGGGCCACAGACTGTGGGTTCGAGGCTTCCGGCTGGGGGTGGATCTGGACGTCATTTTGGCGGTTGTGCAACATGGCAGAGCCGCTGACGGTATCAAAGGTCACGGTCAGGATTGAGTTGTCCAGCTGTAACTGGCGTTCAGGGGTGGTAAGGTGCCCCACGGCCACCGGCTGGAGATTGGTAAACTGAGTCGCGGCCGCAGTGGTGATGGGGGTCACGGTGATGTTGGTTAAGCCGACTGAGCTCGATGGTGTGGTCACATTTGGGTCACCCAGGGTCACCACTACCTGGAAGATTCACACACAACAAAAATCCGTTCATTTTTGCAAAATGGGGAACGCAAGGACCTCCCCAGGATGCGCTCTGTGTTACCACACCAAAGAAGCACGACATTCTTTGGTGAAAGAGGAAACCGAGTTAATTTTGTTCTGGAAAAATTCCAGCGAGAAACAAAAACAAGAAACAGACACAATCATGAAAGCAATGAGAAGGAACTAAGAAACAAATTAATTTCACTGGCTAGAAAAAAATAGAAAAAAGTAAGCACGAAAAAGACGGAAAACAGATGCTTCCTTTTCTATCCATTCCTCTGAAGTGCCCTGCTGTTGGTAAATGAAAATCCCACCACAAAGCTACAAAGAGCAATAAAGGTATTTGCAGTACCAATCGCTAATAAGAGAAAGCATTCTCTTTCATGGAGAGGGATGAAAGGCCAAATAAATGAGGAACTTTTGCAGTCAAGATTACCATCCCCCAAAACAAGAGAGAGAAGTGCAGTATTAGACACAGACTGATCAAACACTCAGAGGCTTCAAAAGCAAAAGTGACGAAGGCTGAGCAAGACAGAAGGTTCCACTCGAGAAAGTGGGATTGTGGGATTGTCTTCACCTTCCAGACTGAGGGATCCTTGCTCTCCGGCTAGTCAGCAAATGCACAGGGCTGAGCTTTCACCATAAGGGCACTTGGGTAGGCCACCCGTGACCTCCCCAAACTGCAAACAGCCTACCTAATTGCCACCCGGGCAGGGATATCTCTCTTCAACATGCTAGAATATATGTTGCTACTAACAATGACAAGCATGATTTGTAGGTCAGAACTCAGAAATGCTTACATGAAACATGCTTAAGTGAAAAACAGAATGTCTGCTGCCTTCAACCACATGAAGTCCACATGTACACTGTGTATAGTAAAAAGAGATGGAGTCACACACACGTAAGGCTCTCATGCTTAGGGAAAGTGACCGGCACCTAATCAGAACATAAAGCAGCAAACTGACCTGCTGAATGCTCTGTACTGCGGAATTGGTCTCGTCGCCTACACTGCCTGTGAACTCCGTCTCTTTCTCTGAGTATTCGCTGAAGGTGGCGTCCTCGGGCACCGGAGCACCCGCCTCCTCTTCTGGCTTCTGCTTTCTCTTGTGACTTCGCTTGGCAGCTTTCCCGTGCTTCCCTTCGGCCAAATCCTCCTGCTCCAGAGTCAGCTCAGGCTGCAGAAAAATCGGTTTCAGCCGAGAACCAGGTTAGTCGGTCACGTCAGGCAGCGGCCAGGGCAGCCCCAGCACTGCCCTGGACACACTCTCCAATCAGTGGGGACGCTTGTGGGCCACCGAGCTGCCACAAGAAACAGTGACCACAGCTGGGTCTTGTATTTCTAAGGATCGGGGCAAGTTCCTTTAGTTGCAGATTTAAAAAAAAAATACATGCAAGTCATATTTTTAAAAGTTGTATTTTATGCTAAAATGTAAACACTTCTTAGAAACTTAACGTTTTAAGCCACTGGGTATTTCCAAAGGGAAATGTTTCTGCCCGGGTGAGCTGCTAGAGCAAGGCTGAAAATGCTTTCAAATCAGGGCTCTCTCTTCCCCAGGGCTGAGACGAATCCACCATAAAAAACAATTTTGAATTAAAACAGATTTGACCACAAAACCTGCAGGGACAGGGAACGAGGGCCCAGCTGCAGTGGTGAGCCCAGTGGGCCCCTCCCCGCACGATTCCCTGCAAGTGTCCAGGACACTGCTGGGCTGTGACCACATCCTCTGAACCGGGCCGGCTCACCAGGCTCGCTCAGGCTCACAGAGGCCGCGGGGCAGTGGTGGCCGGTGAGTGGTCACCTGCCACTCCTCTTGGGCTTCCTGTGCCATTCCACACAACCTGATCCTAACCCAGTGGCAGACAGACCCAGCGTGGGCCTACACCGCTGTCATGGTGGGACGACCCGTCCCCCCCATGCCTGTGACTTGCCAAGGGTAGAAATGGCCTGTGGGTTCTGGGGCTGGGGCTGGAGCCGCCGTACGTCACTCAGCCGGACCCAGTGCCCTTCATGAAGACTGCACTCTAAAGCGCTGTTTCAGAACGAGAGGCATACATGTGATCTTAGACCACTGAGAGCATGGCACGTTCTCTTTGAAATAAAAAAAAATTTTGCTAACTGAAAGTTTAGTATTAACTAAAAATTTCTTTAAAAACTAAGTTCATCTAATTGGTATGTTTAAACTTATTTTGCTTAGAACATTTTAATGATTGTTCTGATTTTTTTTTTTTTTTTTTTCAGACACAGTCTCGCTCTGTTGCCTGGGCTGGAGCGCAGTGGCACAATCTCGGCTCATTGCAACCTCCGCCCCTGGGTTCAAGCAATTCTCCTGCCTCAGCCTCCTGAGTAGCTGGGATTACAGGCGTGCACTACCACATTTGGCTAATTTTTGTACTTTTAGTAGAGACAGGGTTTTGCCACGTTGGCCAGGCTGGTCTTGAACTCCTGACCTCAAGTGATCTGCCCGCCTTGGCCTCCCAAATTGCTGGGATTACAGGCGTGAGCCACCGCGCCCAGCCAATTGTTCTAATTTCTATTTTTTTCTGGAAAACATCTGTTTTCCAAAGTGAGATACACCAGTATTCAACAAACTGAGGTCACAGAAACTACAGAAACGAGGAGATGATCTAAGAGGTTCTGAGGGGAAGAGAAGCCAAGAAAACAGGGTAACCTGGCCACAGGCTTGCCCAGAGCTGCTCCCTCCCGGCCTGTCCAAGCCCCTCTGGTCCCTTCTGCAGGTGTCCACTTACCCCAAAGTTTCTGAGCCCCTGGGGCCCCATGCTGCTCACCTGGACGATGCCAATGGAGGAGGCGTCGATGGTGGTGGTCTCCGGGAGGTGGTCCAGGTCATCGATCCTCACCGCGAGCACCTATGAGGAGCACAGGGCATGAGCTGGGGGTCAGGGTGCTGCTGATGCAGGTGGGAACCCAGAAGCCACACACGCCTTGGGACCACCTCCACCACTCCTGCCCTTCCCTCCCAGGCATCCCCCGCACTTCCCAGTCTCCTCTGTTCAGCTCTGACTTTGAAACTCTGTGTCCAGAAGCCCAGGGCTTATCCTCACCCCTTATTTCATGCTCCCACAATGGTCTTGCCCCTGTATCATCTCACGTCCACTCCCCCAGTGGGGAGACTATGTCCTCCCTTTTTGGCCCCCCACCAAAGGGGTGAGGTTTCAGTGGCGCTTCTGTTATTTCCAAGGGAGACCACAGCAAGGTAAAGATACAGTAGAGTAAACTTGTTCTATGAGCAATCACCAAAAATGAGACATTTGTGCCTTACACATCGTACTTTTCAGTTGAATCCATACACAAGTGCTTTCATTTGTTGGTTTTGTGATGAAGTGACGCCCTGCCCCTACCTTCCCTCCAATGGCCCCACTGAACGGGGTCCTCAGCACGCCCCATGTGTCCACAGGGGCCCTCCCACCAGCTCAGTGCGTCCTGCCCAAAAGTGAGTGACCTTCACCGCCCACACCCTGCTTACAGCAGTTGCGTTTGTTCCTGTGATGACCTAATTAGATCATAAGAAAGACAACGGACAACGAGTACAGAGACAGCCGAACGTGATAAAGGGGAGGGGCTGCAAAACAAAATTAGCAAGAGTCTGCCTGTAAGGGTGCTTCACCCAAACAGCTTTGCAAACATCTTTAAATTTCTGATCAACTAAAGGAAGTTAAAATGAAAAAGCAGACTATGCTTTGTGGATGTAACTCATTTAAAAAAGGAGAGAAGTGCATCATTAAATTTACATTCCATGACTAGGTCTGGGCCCCTTCCTGGAAAAGATGGCAAACAAAGGCTGGTCTGTAAGTGTTTTAAGTTAACATAAATCCTGCAATGGCTTTGAAGACTCCAGTGTAACTCTCATTGACACTGAGCACAGATCTATACTGTGACACTCGCAAAGGACCCTGAGCAAAAGCAACCAGACTGCTGTGGACGCACTCTCTACCGTCACCACCATCACCACCATAAGCACCACCACCACCATCATCATTACCACCTCTATCATCAGTATCATCACCATCAACACCAACACCACCACCACCAACACAACCACCTCCATCACCATTACCAACACCATCACCACCAACACAACCACCTCCATCACCATTAACAACACCATCACCACCCCCTCCATCACTATCATTACCCTCATCACCACCAACACTGTCACCACCATCATCAGTACCACTACCACCACGTGGCATCACCACCACTGCCATTCCTATCACCACTATCACCACCACCACCACCATCACCACCACCATCACCACCACCACCATCACCACCACCATCACCACCACCACCATCACCATCACCACCACCATCACCACCACCACCATCACCACCACCATCACCACCACCACCACCACCATCACCACCACCATCACCACCACCACCACCATCACCATCACCACCACCATCACCACCACCACCATCACCACCACCACCATCACCATCACCATCACCATCACCACCATCACTACCACCATCACCACCACCACCATCACCACCACCCATCACCACCACCACCATCACCATCACCACCACCATCACCACCACCACCATCACCACCACCACCATCACCATCACCACCACCATCACCACCACCACCATCACTACCACCATCACCACCACCACCATCACCACCACCACCACCATCACCACCACCACCATCACCACCACCACCATCACCACCACCCATCACCATCACCACCAGCACCACCCATTACTACCACCACCATCACCACCATCACCATCACCACCACCATCACCACCACCATCACTACCACCAACATCACCACCATCACCATCACCATACCACCACCATCACCACCACCACCATTACTACCACCACCATCATCACCACCATCATCACCACCACCACCATCACCACCACCATCACCACCACCACCATCACCATCACCACCACCATCACCACCACCACCCATCACTACCACCAACATCACCACCATCACCATCACCATACCACCACCATCACCACCGCCACCACCATCACTACCACTTCCATCACCATTACCACCATCACCGCCTCCTCCATCACTATCATTACCATCATCACCACCACGACTGTCACCACCATCACCACTACCACCGCCATCACCATCAGCACCACTACCACCATGTGGCATCACCACTACCATCCCTATCACCACTATCACCATCACCACCACCATCTCCACCACCATCATCACCACCATCAACACCACCACCTCCCCCATCACCTCTACCACCACCATCACCAACACCACCATCACCAACACCAGGTCCCCCATCACCACCATCACCTTTACCACCATCTCCACCACTACCTCCACCACCATCACATCAATATCATCAGTATCCTAGTCACACAGTCTGAAAGCTGACGCCATCAAAGAACCACCATAGAAGCATTAGCTTCACTCTTCTTAGGATATAAGAAAAAAGTGAAAATTGCTTTCTGTGTTTTGTTTTTAATGTAACATTCATTCAAAGTAAAGAGAAAAACCATAGCTTGGAGTCATAAAATAGTATCAATCCTAAAAGATTCTGAATCTCTGTAAGTAGTTTATGCCTGTTTAACTAGTCCAACAGTTAAACTATAACTAGTTTAACTTAACTAGTTAAATTAGTGTGACTCCAACGAACACCTTCTTCCTCCTGAATCTGTGGCATCACCAACGGGGACAGGCTCGGGGGACCGTTATCCCACTCTCAGACAGCCAGGCCTCACTGCGGTACACACACAGCTACACAAAGCTGACCCGAGTCCCCTTCCTTCCCCTCACACTGCTGTCTAGGGTCATCTCTTCCATATCCTCTATTCTAGTTTGTAATCACTTTGCCTCTGTCTACTTCTTATTTTTCTGTCTCCTACCCAGACCGTAAAGTCCAGGAGGGCAGGGATGGACCCTGGCTGGCCGGCCCATCACATCACTGGTAGGCATTTGTTTGAGTTAATGTAGAGGGAAACAACTGTGAGATGATCAAAAGGAATGACACAAAGAGAGCACAGGATAAAAGGCTGGAGAAACAAATTGGTTCGAGAACAAAGACGGACAAAATCCCCCCGCACCACCTTCCCTGGGTCTGGAAGGCTTTCCTCTTGAGTCACTTGGTTCTGTCCGGGTTGGGCTTGAGGGGAGTGGGGATGGGCAACACACAGCCCAGTTGAAGGAGCAGAGCACAGAAGGCGAACTTGCAGTTGGGCCACCTTAGGAAGTGGTTTAATCCTGGTGAGAGGACTCTGCCTGACAGTGTTTGTGGGAGATGTCTTTATCAGTAAGGCCTCTCCACCCAGCTATGTATATCAAAACTCCGGTGTACAAAAGTGATGTGCACCGTCTTTATCAATACGCGGAAGTCTAGAAACCCACACGTCATGGAGAGGAACCGCTCAAACGCCAGCCTTGCTCACGGGCTGCTGGGTGGGCTGCAGGGCCTGCCCTGCCCCTGGGGTGCCAAGGTGGTCCTGGCGCTTCGGGTTCCTACTCCCCCGACTCTGTTTTCTAGGTAAAAACACCAGCTGGCCACTACATGAGAAGGGAGGCAATGGAGCTCAGTTAGAGGGATCCAAGCTCCCCGCTGAGTGGGGCACAGGGCAGAGTATGCAGCCACGGTCCCCTGGCTTCCCGGACTGGAGAGCAGGTTGAGTCCCTGCATCTCCCTGGGAGCCTGATCGGGCTGCAGAGGAACAGCAACACGGCGACGTCCCGGGTCACCCCCAAACTAGGGAGCCACCAGACTGACACCTGAGGCAGACGGTGCTTTCCCAATTCCAAAAGGAAGTCACTTTCATTACAGGACATTGGAAAATGGAGAAAAATGTGAAGACAAGAAATTACCCATCACTTCAAGAACAAGAGAGAAATCACTGTGGGATGTTTTGCTCCCTTCTTTACCTACCTCATTTATATAAGTGAGTATTATATATACACACAATGTATGTGACGTGTATTGTGTATACACACATTATATATGTGCACAACGTATACTGCTCTTTCACGTACGTAATGAGCATTTCACAATTTCAGATCCGTGTAAGCATGTGTGTCAGGCAAACACACTGCTAAACTATCACTAATTGAATCACGTTCTTATTGTAGGGTTGGAATAGGGGTTGGAATAACCATTTATTAAACACTCGAGAAATGCTGTGATGCTGCCTTCAAGAAAAACATCCAACGGTGAGAGCGGCAACTCGTGCCAGCCGGCCAGTGTGGTCACTCTGAATCTAAAACCCCCCGCCCCCGCAAGAGGCGAAGGATGCCATCCTCCGCCGCTACCGTTTGCTTTTCTGGGATGCGCGGTGAGCTGAACGCCTTTCCGTGTGTTTTTCACCACGGCTGTTCTTCCCGCATGAGCTCCCTCTCCGTGTACACCCTGAGTGCGCTTCGCGTGTTTCTCAGTGAGTGCTTGTTATCACTAATGTTAACAGGCTCTATCTGTCTAACACAGCCATGGCCTATGCAAATTTTTTCTTTTTTTTTTTTTTTTGAGATGGAATCTCGTTCTGTCACCCAGGCTGGAGTGCAGTGGCGCAATCTCGGCTCACTGCAACCTCCGCCGCCTGGGTTCAAGCGATTCTGCTGCCTCAGCCTCCCGAGTAGCTGGGACTACAGGCGCCCACCACCATGCCCAGCTAATTTTTATATTTTTAGTAGAGACGGGGTTTCACCATGTTGGCCAGGCTGGTCTCAAACTCTTAACCTCGTGATCCACTCGCCTCTGCCTCCCAAAGTGCTGGGATTACAAGCATGAGCCACCGTGCCCGGCCCAGATTTTTCATTTTTCCTTTGGCCTGTATTTGTTCTGAGTGCTTATGGAGTCAAACCTGTGTTCACAACTCCTTTTGCTGCTTTTACGCTTAGAGAGTCTACTCTTTTCTGTGACCTGACAACTAAGTTTTCCTCTGGTTTTGTCTTTCAGGGTGCTCCTTCTTAAAGCACATTTAATTACGGAACATCCTGGCCCTTCCTGTGGAGCAGGCTTTCAGAGCAGTTGGGCTCTGCCTGCGTCTGTACAACTTCCCCCTCCCCATCCTCGGTGTCATACTTTACTTGGCCCCAACACCACGTGGAGCCCCCATTTTGCACATTAGTTCCATGAGTGGGAAGAATGGGGGGAGTGGCAGGGCTGTGCTTCCATCTTGCCATAATTTCAGGGAGGACGTAATTTATAACCTTAGCAAAGGTCCGCCTGAGGCTCTCCTAACCTCTCGCAGCCACTCACTCAGTGCCTCCTGTGTGGCAGGCAGTGCCAGTCACAGACGCACCTAAGACTCAGGGCCTGCCTCCAGTACTGGGGGTCTGCAGAGGGAGGTGGGCCATGTGCCAGCATGGGGGTGTCCGGTGCGCGGCCCGCTGGCGGGGCACGGAGGGGGCACAGCCACCAGCTCACCTCGGGGTGCTTGCGCCGCATGTGTCGGCTCATGGAGGCCCTGGTGGACACCTTGGTCCCGCACAGCTGGCAGCTCTGCGCCTCCACCTTGTCGTGTGTGAGCTGAACGTGCTTCTGCAGCATGTACTCGGTCACGTACTTCTTGTCGCACACGGAGCACGTCCACTGCTTGCCCACTTTTCACACACACGCAGACACACATGCGCGTGGAAAGGAAGAGACACGCAGGTCACTAGTGCAGCCATCCCAATGACCCTGGCCTGCTGGACGAGGCAAGAAGCCTGTCACGCCCCGCCCATCCTGAGAGGGCCGGTGCTGGTCCCCGAGCACACATGAGCACAGAGCCTCTGTCCCTTGGGGAGCACTGCCAGCAGCAGCTGCATCACGGAACCAATATGAGAAAATTCAAGAAGGGATACTTGAAAGCTGTGGCGGGTTGACCTTCAGAGGCCAAGGGGCCACCATGAAGCCAAGACAACACTAAATGTGCTGGAACCGTCTAGATAATAGAATAGTCGTTTCCACCCCAGCAGGCACTCAGACAGCCCCGGCAGCCTGCCGCGTGCGCCCCGAAGGCTCCTTCAGGCTGCGCCGCTCACCTGTGTGGATGAGCTTGTGGGTCTCCATGGTGTTCCTCTCGCTGAATGTCTTCCCACACAATTCACACATGAAATCTTTAATCCCTGCAGAGAAAGGCGCACATAACTTCCTACGTTTAATGAGTGTTGTAAGTCCACATCAGGGCATGTCTTCTCCCTGACACGTTCCAGGCACTGTAGGGCCTTCAGGAGAAGGTGAATTGCAAGAAGACAGCAGACAATGAACGCTCATCCCCAGCCTCGGCCAGCAAAGTGTGGCTTGGAAAGTTTATGCTTCCATAGTGACATTTCATATCAAAAAAACATGAGATGTGGGAAAGGCTGTCTGAAAACACAGACAGAAAGTGGAACCCACATGTGGACAAGCAGAAAAACGATAGGAATTTCTTTAAAGCATTAATGTATCCACACCTCCCTTAGTCCAGGAAGCTCTTAGGCAGCACATGTGATATTACAATGAGAGAGGAAATGGTAACTGAAATCAGGACCAATGGCAAGGAGGACACAGACGAGCCAAGCGTAAAAGACAACAGAACTGCCGTGCTCGGACAAAATGAGTGTGATTCTTCAAAACTTGACTAATTCAAATGAGAGCTGATGCCAGGCACGGTGGCTCATGCCTGTGATCCCAGCACTTTGGGAGGCCGAAGGAAGATCGCTCGAGTCCAGGAGTTCAAGACCAGCCTGGGCAACATGGCGAGACCCTGTCTCTACAAAAATAAAATAAAATAAAATAAAATAAAATAACCAGCCGGGCATGATGGTGTGTGCCTGTAGTCCCAGCTACTCGAGAAGCTGAGGTGGGAGGATCACTTGAGCCCAGGACTTCAAGGCCGCAATGAGCTGTGATCACATCACTGCACTCCAGCATGAGCAACAGAGAGACCCCATCTCTAACAACAGAAAGGTAAATTAGAGCTTACCTGACTTTTTTTTTTTTTTTTTTTTTGAGACAGCGTCTCACTCTGTTGCCCAGGTTGGAGTGCAGCGGCGCGATCTCGGCTCACTGCAAGCTCCGCTTCCCGGGTTCAGGCCATTCTCCTGCCTCAGCCTCTCTGAGTAGCTGGGACTACAGGCACCCGCCACCACGCCCAGCTAATTTTTTGTATTTTTAGTAGAGACGGGCTTTCACCGTGGTCTCGATCTCCTGACCTCGTGATCCGCCCGCCTCGGCCTCCCAAAGTGCTGGGATTACAAGCGTGAGCCACTGCGACCGGCCTTGACTTTTTAAAATATTTGATAAGTACTCAGTCAGTCCTGGCTCATGGATTGGCCTCACGGGAGCCAGAAGCGGATGCTTTAATAGACCAACACCAGAGGTGGCAATTGCTCCCGCACGGCCACTCGTGCCCACGGATTCTAAGACTCCACCTTCCAAGGGAGGGGCCTTAACCCCCCAGAGCCTCCCAGAGTAGGGAGGGTCCCTCCCCAGGTCCAGGGACAAGACCAGGAAGTGTCACTGTTTTGTTGCTTATTTTAAGGACACTTTTGATTGACATCAAACTCATAGACAGAAAAACACAAATTGTAAGTGAGTGCGGGCTCAACAAATTTCCACAAAGTGCATGAACAAAATAACCAGTTCCCTGATTACTAGGGAAAAAGAACCAGCATAGCCATCATCGTGACATTCCCAGGATCAGGAGGTGCACGGTAGGTGGCCTTGTGGTGGAAACAGGTTTAATTAGAGCCCGGGGGGAGGCGTACAGATAATCCTGTTAAAATCTGTTATTTTATGTATGAGGAGGCTGAATCTCCCAGGACAGTCTGTGGAACTTGAGAGGGTGAAGACGAAAAGGCCGGCCCTTAGCGACTCTGATTGAGAGAGTCTGGGAAAGAAAACCCAAGCCTGGTCTTTAGACAAAGCCTCTCAGATGATTCAGGACATCCAAGAGCAAGCATCCCCAACAGACGGCCACGTGAGGAAAGTTGAGAGGACATTCCTCAGAAGCTAAAGGACCCCAAAATGCTTAGAGAAATAAGACAAGCTGTGGGCCACTGCCCTGAGGAACGGCCACCGCCTTGGGAACAGCCACTGCCCTAGGGAACGGCCACTGTGGGGGATGATCGCCAGGGGAGAACTGGGGAGTGTGTTTGTTTCACCAGCCCAGACACCTTGCTCTGACGGCTGTCAGCGCCCCACCAGGCGGCACAGGACCCGTGTTCCCCGGAGCGAAGGGAAACGTGTGGCACGTAATTATGTATGTGGTCCACAGAGAGGGAGACAGGGAGGAGGCCAAAGGGGGACCAGCTTCCTCCTGGTGCAAGTGCTCACATCAGCTCACGTCTGGGGGGCTCTGGGGGGTCAGGGGCAAGCAAGAATAGAGTCCACGGTCTGTTTCACCCCAAAAACTGATGGGGAGGTGGACCCTATGAATGCCCTTTAAACAAAGGTTGCCCCTCAAAATGGGAACAAGACAAGTAATTTTTAAAGGCACTTAACTCAGTCCTGAGGGCTCACTGTGGAGCATGGGACAGAGGCCACCACAGCCCAGCGAGTTGGTGGGCGGCAGGCAGAGTGTGGGGTGTTCTGAGAACCCAGATGAGGGCATGTGGCCCAGTCTTGGGGAGCAAGAGTATCCCAAAAATGGTAAAGCATATACTGGACAGAGATTCCCCAGGAAAGAGATGGACAGTACACTTCTGCAGTCCAGGGGCAGAGGAGGCTGGCACGCCCGGCCAACCCAAAGCAGACCCGTGTGGCAACCCGCGCCACTCTGGGGAGCAGGGGAGGAAGGTAGGCAGGTGACGTGGGCTGGATAAAGGCAGGACCCAACGTGCAGTTGAGGGGCCCCCAGGGGGCACTGAACAGGCTCACGCCAGGGAACTTCACGCTGAGACACAACTCCACCACTCAGGGACAACCTCTCAATTCTGATGTCTCAATTTTCTCTCCACAAGCACAAAAACACTCGCCCATACAGAAGGGTTTTATGAGAATGGCCTTGTATTGGCATTGCGCAGGGTGCTTTAGTGTTTTATAACAATGCTTTGTGTTAGTGATTGCGCAGGGTGCTCTAGTGTTTTCTAAGATCTTGGCCTTGTGTTAGTGATTGCGCAGGCTGCTCTAGAGTTTTATGAGAACGCCTTGTGTTAGTGATTGTGCAGGGTGCTCTAGTGTTTTATGAGAATGCCTTGTGTTAGTGATTGTGCAGGGTGCTCTAGTGTTTTATAAGATCTTGGCCTCGTGTTAGTGATTGCGCAGGGTGCTCTAGTGTTTTATGAGAACGACTTGTGTTAGTGATTGCGCAGGGTGCTCTAGTGTTTTATGAGAATGCCTCGTGTTAGTGATTGCGCAGGGTGCTCTAGTGTGTTATGAGAATGCCTCGTGTTAGTGATTGCGCAGGGTGCTCTAGTGTGTTATGAGAATGCCTCGTGTTAGTGATTGCGCAGGGTGCTCTAGTGTTTTATGAGAATGCCTCGTGTTAGTGATTGCGCAGGGTGCTCTAGTGTTTTATGAGAATGCCTCGTGTTAGTGATTGCGCAGGGTGCCCTAGTGTTTTATGAGAATGCCTCGTGTTACTGATTGCGCAGGGTGCTCTAGTGTTTTATGAGAATGCCTCGTGTTAGTGATTGCGCAGGGTGCTCTAGTGTGTTATGAGAATGCCTCGTGTTAGTGATTGCGCAGGGTGCTCTAGTGTTTTGAGAATGCCTTGTGTTAGTGATTGCACAGGGTGCTCTAGTGTTTTATGAGAACGACTTGTGTTAGTGATTGCGCAGGGTGCTCTAGTGTGTTATGAGAATGCCTCGTGTTAGTGATTGCGCAGGGTGCTCTAGTGTTTTATGAGAACGACTTGTGTTAGTGATTGCGCAGCGTGCTCTAGTGTTTTATGAGAATGCCTCGTGTTACTGATTGCGCAGGGTGCTCTAGTGTTTTATGAGAATGCCTTGTGTTAGTGATTGCGCAGGGTGCTCTAGTGTTTTATGAGAATGCCTTGTGTTAGTGATTGCGCAGGGTGCTCTAGTGTTTTATGAGAACGACTTGTGTTAGTGATTGCGCAGGGTGCTCTAGTGTTTTATGAGAATGCCTCATGTTAGTGATTGCGCAGCGTGCTCTAGTGTTTTATGAGAATGGCTGTGTGTTAGTGATTGCGCACGGTGCTCTAGTGTTTTATGAGAATGCCTTGTGTTAGTGATTGCGCAGGGTGCTCTAGTGTTTTATAAGATCTTGGCCTTGTGTTAGTGATTGCGCAGGGTGCTCTAGTGTTTTATGAGAACGACTTGTGTTAGTGATTGCGCAGGGTGCTCTAGTGTTTTATGAGAATGCCTCGTGTTAGTGATTGCGCAGGGTGCTCTAGTGTTTTCTAAGATCTTGGCCTTGTGTTAGAGATGGCGCAGGCTGCTGTAGTGTTTTATAAGAATGTCTTGTGTTAGAGATGGCGCAGGCTGCTCTAGTGTTTTCTAAGATCTTGGCCTTGTGTTAGAGATGGCACAGGCTGCTCTTTGACCTGTCGCGTCACCGACTCCTTTCTATGCACATCAGCGTAGTACACACATCACCCGAGCGGACACCTTGCTCTTTTCTGGATTCACCATGGCTTAGCCAGTGCCCTACCGAGGCCACGTCTGACCTTCCAGCGCCTTCCCTAACTCAAAAGATGACAAGCAACCTTGCATGCACATCCCTGGCCCTTGTCTGGTCGCTATTTCTTGTGCACATTCCTGAGGGGGAAACAGCTGAACGGGAGGAACATTTAAAGACTGACCAGTCTCCCAATGCCGGAAGTGAGCTGTGCAGCATGCTCTCCGGTGACGAGGCCCCTGTGGGAGGGGGACCTTTTGAGATATGCAGCTGCTCACCCCGGCCCCAGGAAGCTCTCTTGGGGAACCCGGCACTCAGTGGGAATCACAAAGAGGAATCGTCTCAAGGCGGCTCTCTCTTCTCCCACGGCCCACCTGGCTTCCCTACACAGTGAGCGCCGTGGCTGGCGCGGCCCGGGCCTCGGACTCACCCGTGTGCCGCTTGCAGTGCTTGAGCATGTTGACCTTCTGCGCGAACCTGCGGTGGCACTCCTTGCACTCGTACTCCTTGATGCCCTTGTGCAGCTTCATGTGGTGGCGCAGCGCGTGCTTGGTCTTCATGCCTTCAAGGACACAGCGAGTCAGAGGCGGCCACACCCCCACGCAGCCCACCTGGGGGCCCATGCCCGAGACCCTGGGGCAGGCACAGGCAGCGGCCCGTGCGGTACTGGTGAGGGTGTGGGCCGGCCCCCGAGGATCCCGGTCAGTCCACCAGCGGTGAGACCTGGGAAGTGACTGTGCCCAGAGGCCGGGAGGGACTGACTGCAACATCAGGTTCACTCACTCCTGCCAGGGCCTGGCCGAGCCCTGACCACGCGAGCAACGCCGGGGCGGTGGGTAAACTTCCCTGCGTGCCCATGGCAACCCGGCGGGAGAATTCGGTGAGAGATAGATTAATACAAGCATGACTAAAGGTTCCCTTCAACCTTGACAATATGAGTGGTGATTGGGATTCGGACGCGAGATGGTTTCAATCTACCTGTAATTTAAGAAGCCAATCTTAAGAAGCTGAAATACTCCAAAGCCTCACTCACACAGCCAGTGGAGAGAGGGTGGCCCTGGCATAGGGGCTGAGTCAGAGGTTGTGGTGCGCTGGCAGGGACAGCACTGTACAAGGCCCTCCGCAGGGGGCACAGGCATGTGCGGCTTGGTACACCTGACCGTGAGGCTGACACGCACCAGGGAACAGGGCGACCCAGCCCAAAGGCAGCCTCCCCAGCCCCGAAGAGGCGCCTTCACTGTGCCTGCCCAGGGCGGTGGGCAGCCTGCACTCCCAGGCCACCGTGTTCCCTCCACATTTGGGGAAGAACTACTGAGCCTGAACACAGCTCTGTAGTAAGCTGGTCAACGGTTCCCCTGTGATTCCACCCTCACCAGATGCAGGGGTGACCATCCACCAGCTCCTGCCAGAATTCTAAAGGCCGGGCCAGAAGACCTCCCTGGCTACGAGAAAACTGCGCGGCTGGGCCAGCAGGGGGAGCAAAGGCCCCACGATGAAGCCCGCTGCCTGCACACACAGCTGCACAACTCCTGGCCTCGGGTGGGGACGGCACCTGCAGGCCTATTACCAATGACCGAAGAGTGATTCCACCTGAAAAAGTTACTGTCAATCCTTTTGATTAAAAAAAAAAAAAAGAGTGCCGGTCACTGCTGACACGCCCAGACCCCAGCACTTCCCTCTTCCTGCTTCTAAAATGAACATATTCCAAATTTCAAAACTAATACACAGTCACAGAAAACCCAGAAAATACAGAAGAGATGGCATCTCCACATTCTGACCTCCCCACCACAGCCAGCATTGGTGACAGTAATGTTTTTTCTTCCATTTAACAAAGAAAATCTGCCAACAGTTTCAAAATAAACACAACTGCCAGACAGAGGAAATTTTAAAGCTTGCTCTACTGGGATTGTGAGTCAATCCATTTACAAATTACCGTGGGGAAAACTGATGTTTTTTAAATACTTATAATTTCTAATCCCGAACAGGGGATGCCTTTTTTATAGCTTTCAATACCTGGTGTCATATTCTTACTGGCCACAGTAAGTTCTTGTAGATCATTCCTGAGTAGTTCAAGGCCCATGATGTGATTCTGAACAAGACGTTTTCCTCCACACACACAGAAAACCTACTGGCTGGGCCCCTGCCTCCACCTGCTGGTGACAGGCTCTCACGACTACTAACAGCCTCCCACTTGGTCCCTGACACTGACTAATTCCCTGGTCAGGGCTAGAATTTCTGGAAAAAAATGTAAAGTAATAATATGCAACAGTGTTTCTTGCAACACTGTAATAATAAATGACTATAACAAAACAACCAGAAACTTTATAAAATAAAGGGTCTGGTTATATGAATCGTACGAAGGGCTTGAAAGATAAAACCAGGCAATATTTACATGTTCCGATATAAAAAGATCTCCAAGACGTATTTTCAAGTAAAAAAAAAATAGCAAAGTATCAAAAAAACAAATGAGCACAAGCATGCGCTGGTATGTACTAGCAACTGTTGCGTGATAGCACGATGACAATACTGGAATTTGGTATTCTGTAAAATAAATCTGGCAACTGATGTATTAATGCCAGCATTTTATTTCAGCTATTCAGAATTCATTTTAAAAAACGATGCAACTAAATAATTAATACATTTCAAACACTAAAATGTCTACAACATTATAAAATGTGGCTTTACCCCACACCCCTTGCCTCCCAGGGCATCTGGTGGCATTTGGGGACCTGCAGGGGACCCAGGTGTGGCTCCTCTCTGCCTGCCTAAGAGGCCCGGCCCTGAATAAGCCCCCACCCCTGCCCCTCCTGTCTCTACGCGCTACTCAGGACCCCTCCAGCCAGGCTCACCACACTGTCTTAAACATTTTACTTCTTGGGGGCATTGGGGAGGAAAGGGGAGGAGCAGGTGGTGAAAGGGGCTGGGAGCTTAAGGCAGACGCGGATAAAGAGCAAGCCAGCCTGTCCCGCTAAGGCAGGCAGACACTGCTACCGACATTCTGTTCAGAGAAACCACCTGTCCCGCTAAGGCAGGCAGACATTGCTACTGACATTCCGTTCAGAGAAACCACCGCAGTGGCTCTGCGAGGACCGGCTGGGGTTTGAGGGGAGAGTAACTATGCCACCTTCCAGACCTGTTTGTATTGTTTAAAAAATATGTCTTGGCGAGGTGCATGCGCTGCTTTTTTAATAACCACCCATGTGCCGTCCTTGCGCAAAGTTACCCTGGAGGAGGGGCAAGAGCCTGTGCTGGCCTCTGAGGTGAGGAACAGAGGGCCAGGAAGTGGGGAAAGGAAAGACCCCCTTTCTGGCCTTTTCTGCAGGCAGTTCTTTTAGGCTTTGACACGCAGCGTTATTCTACGGGTGCTCATAGGGGTCACCCGGCGAGTGCAGTTCATGCAGCTCCTGTGTTTCCAACACACTGTCACCGGGACAGCATGAGCAGGGTCGCTTGAAACAGCCCAAGACAAACCTGCTGCTCCAAAACTTTTAGGAAGTTGTTTTAAAAAAAAAATAAAAACAGGAATGGGTTAAAATTATGATGTGTACTGGAATTATCTTTGTATTTTGCTTACTAAGTTGAGACATCTTATTACTAGGTTTGTTATTAATGAATGTTCTGTCGTTACAATGAAGATTCCTCGGCCGTGGTGAGTTTCTCTCTCACCACGCAGCCGATTCTAGTCTGCGTAGTGAATACGCTGAGGGTTTTGCATCTACTGTCAGACCCCGTGGTGGCTTTGGGAATCATTCTATACTTTAAACAATTAGATCCTGCATTATTTTCCTACTTTTAAAACGATTTGTTTGTGCCTTTAAATTTATCACATCTTTCTGCTTTCTGGACTACTTGATTTTTCTTGCAGATTCCTGATTTAAATGCTGCCTCGAGTCCTTCTTTCCTTAAGTAAGCGACTGAAGCCTATGGGCTTCCAGGGCCACACTCTGGCAATGCCTCTCGCACTATGGTAGATACCTTGGTCACATCCCCTTCCAGAGCCCTGCAGCTGGGCGGCCTGGCTGAGCCTGGCCCGTGGCCCCCAGCACCCACACCCACCTTTCCCACACTCCCAGTTCTCGCTCACATCCCCTCCCAGCGCCCTGCAGCAGCTGAGCGGCCTGGCTGAGCCTGGCCCGTGGCCCTGGCGCCTGTACCCACCTTTCCCACACTCGGCCCGTGGCCCCGGCCCCCGCCCCCGCCACACCCACCTTCCCCACACTCCCAGTTCTCGCTCATGTCCCCTTCCAGCACCCTGCAGCAGGGTGGCCTGGCTGAGCCTGGCCCATGTCCCCAGCACCCGTACCCACCTTTCCCACACTCGGCACACAGGTACTCGCGGACATTGTCGTGCACACGCATGTGCTCCTTCAGCATGTCCTTCCTGGCAAAGGACTTCCCACACTGCTCGCAGGCGTGGCTCTTCACACCTGAGAACACAGGCATCTGCCACTCAGAGCCGAGCAGCTCCGACCTGCAGTGGCTGCAAAGAGGATGCACCAAGGAGAGGGGCCCAGCCTCCCCAGCAGCTAGAAGCGCAGTAACAGGGGTGGGGTCGCCTCTTCAGCGGCCTCCACAGAGCCCTCCCGGGGATCCTGTGACTCCAGTAGATCCCTGAGGACCTGGAGGGGTGAGGGGGCTGGGGGCGCTGGGCTGTGAGTGGCAGGGCTGATAAGGACGGGAAAAGCTGGAGAAACAGAGGAAGGCATGGGGGAGGCAAGGTGCGACGGCTCTGTGTGTAGAATACGCGGAGACCCCCAGCATCCCTCCCTGCCAGCCCCCTCCAGCGAGGGCCGGGACCCCAAATGCTGACAGACACGCACCTGTGTGGATGAGCTTGTGGCGCTCCAGGTTCCCGATGCTGTTGAAGATCCGCCCGCAGATCTCGCAGGGGTGGATGTACCTGAAACCAGAGACAAGCTCAGGATGGCCGCACAGCCTCGGGGCTCCACGGCAGCGAGGGCACTTTCCCCAGCACCTTCATCTGCAAAGGTGAGGCAACAAGGTGCCACGGGGATGATAAAAGAAGCAGATATTTGAGCCTCTGCCACGGGCTCAATCGTAACCCCCCGAATTCCTACATCGAAGTCTTAACCCCGGCACTTCACAATGTGACTATGTTTGGAGATGGGGTCTTTGCAGAGGTGATTACATGGAAAAGAGGCCATCAGGGTGGTCCCTGACCAATCTGACCAGTGTCCTTATAAGAAGATGAGATTGGGCACAGACACGCACAGTGGAACGGCCCTATGAGGACACAGGGAGAAGACGGCATTTAAGGGCCAAGGAGAGAAGTGTCAGAGGAGGCGGCCCTGCCGCCACCGTGACCCCTGAGCTCCCGCCTCCAGGACTGAAGATGGTAAGTGTCTGTTGTTTAGGCTGTGCCGGCTGTGGTTCTTTGTTAGCGCCCCTGCACGGGACTGTTTAGTCACTCACTCAGCAGACCGCGCAGATTATGGCCTGTATGTCAGATGTGGCCTGGCATTAATGAAATCTAATTGTTGCAGGAAAAAGCATTTTGGGTCATTCTGTAGGCAGGGCAGGAACCCCGCTATTTTCCTGTAACATGGCCAGCTGGTGCCAGGAGACTATGCGGAAGCACAGGATAAACCCCAGCCCTGCTGCCCCTAGCCCAGCTGCCCCCGAGCCCTGCTGCGCCCCCAGCTCTGGCCCTGAGACCCAGAGGACATCACTTGTTGGAAGCTACAAATGGCTCCTTATAGCATGTGTCTCTTTGCAAGGAAGCATGTCCCCTCTCTCCTGACACAACCCGGGAGCCCCCGACCAGGCCTCACTTCTGCACGTTGGGGTCCGGCAGGTTTTCACGGTGGATGACCATGTGGGCGTGGTAGGTGGCCTTCAGTGCAAAGCGCCGGTTGCAGATGCTGCAGCCATAGCCCTTCTCCTTGTGCACCTCCATGATGTGCTTCAGGTACTCCTTCCCCCGGCCGAAGGTGAGCTGCGGGCCAGGTGGACAGGGCACTGCTGACACCCGCATGAGGTCCCTGGTCCTCTTAGCTAATGAGGTCGTGTCCACAAACCAGGGCACCCGACACGCCCTGAGAGCCCATGACTCATGCCAGGGTGGAAGGGACTCTCAGAGGCTTGATGGGGAACTTTTCCGAAGCCATAAGGCCTCATGCCCAAAACTCAAGAGCACGGGTGTCCTCGGAAACAAACCACCCTCCTTTTTGGAGAGCCCCTTCCATGCACAGGGGAGGCCTCGTGAGGGCTTCAGGCCTCAGCAGGGAGGAGGAGGGGGAGGAGAGAAGGGGAGGGGAAAAGGGGAGGAGAGAGGCGCCCCAGCCTGCAGCCAGCACAGCCACCTTCTAGGAGGCCGACCCCCACACTTCATGTGTGTTCCTGAACCGTGTCACAAGGCAAGTTCCTGGAGGGCGCCTGTGAGACCCACACAGACCGTCCCTGAGCACCAAGGTGACACAGGCTGGCCTTCCCAGGCACAAGTGATGGACAGGCACCCAGTCTGCAGTAGGACCACTGGCCGGAGCCTTTGGGGAGGGAGGGCTGCTTCCGAGATGCATGAAGGTGCCTGCTGTGTGGGGCCCACAGCCTTGAAACGACCACCTTCCTCTCCAGACCACCCAGGCACCGCGGGGCAAACCCGCCATACCTGGCACCGCTTGCAGCTGTACTTGTGAGGCTCCGAGTCTGCGCTCTCGTCAGAATTGTCATCGTTTTCTTCCGAGGAGATCCCGATCTTGCCGATAAACTCTTCCCTCTGGTGGTCATCCATCAACGCGATGTCCTGGAAAACAGCCACCACTTCCGGTTTCTAACAGCGCAGCAGACGCTTCACTCAGTTATCTACACCGCAGGGACGACCAATCATTTCCCCAGATGCAGAAGAAAATGCCTCTCTGATGCCCGTGGCGCCCTAACGAGCTACACTTGTGCCCTAGCCCATCCCAGCTTGTCCCCAGAGGTCCCCACCTAAACGCTAAAGCTGCCCTTGCTCTCCACGCCGCCCGCGGCTTCCTCTCACATGCGCCCAGCAAGATCCCAATCTGTGCCCAGGGCCAGGCACTGCTGGGAAGTCCCCCTAGTGAGTCTCCCATACCACCTGTTACTTTTTCAGTTCTTGATCAGCGCTTCTCCCAGCCTTTATCACACCCCAAGTCCTCCCTGCTCCCGGGGCTTCTGCTCCGTTCCTCTCTTTCCTCAAAGGTGGGGAGGGACACAGATGCCAGCACCGGGCTGAGAAGCAGCCACGGTGGGAGAGCAGTACTTCAAGCCTGGCAGTTGGGCCACAGGAGGTGAGGCCAATGCAGTCACAGAATTCATTTTGGAGAGATAAAATGCGACCAGTTGTCAACTATTTGAGGACGCTGCTGTGGTCTGAATACTTGAACCCTCCCAAATTCCCATGTTGAATCCTAACTCACCAGGAAATGGTATCAGGAAGCAGGGCCTCTGGGAGGCCATTAGGTCATGAGGCTGGAGCCCTCAAGATTGGGATTTGGGGTGGGGCATGGTGGCTCACGCCTGTAATCGCAGCACTTTGGGAGGCTGAGGCAGGCGGATCACTTGAGGTCAGGAGTTCAAGACCAGCCGGGCCAACAAGGTGAAACCCTGTCTCTACCAAAAATACAAAAATTAGCTGGACATTATGGTGGATGCTTATAGTTCCAGCTACTTGGGAGGCTGAGGCGGGAGAATCACTTGAACCCAGGAGGTGGAGGATGCAGTAAGATCTTGCCATTGTACTCCAGCCTGGGCGACAGAACGAGACTCCGTCTCAAAAAAAAAAAAAAAAAAAGAATGGGATTTGGGCCCTTATAGAAGAGATCCCTACCCTTCTACCATGTGAGGACACAGTGAGAAGGCGCCGTCTACGAACCAGGAAGTGAGCCTCGCCAGACACCGAATCTATGGGGGCTTTGGGGTCTAGCCTCCAGAACCGTGAGCAGCACATGTCTGCCCAGAAGCTGCCCTGCCCACAGAACTCTGCTATGGCTGACTGTGACAGACGCTGGCCTGGGGGCCTGCCGTGAGCATGCCTGGGTGAGGGCAGCACGCGATCGACACCTTGAAGTGGACATGGATGTGGTCCCTGAGCACATCCACGCGGAAGAACTTGCGCCCGCAGATCTCGCAGGTGTACTTCTTGTCGCCGTGGGTGAGCAGGTGCTTGTTCATATTGCTCCGGCAGGAGAACACCTGTGGCAGAGGAGCCGCATGGTGAGGGGCTGCGGCGTCTCGTGACGGGAAGGAGCCTCTCCATCAGGCTCCTCTGGGGAAACCACAACCCGGGACGGAAACACAGCACTGTGCTCCAGGCCTTGCATCTCCAGTTCCTCAGTGTGTGAGAGACACAAATAATCACTGATGCCGGAATAAGGGTTACTTGCTGAATTGTGTAAACAGGTGCTTACGTTACAATAGAAAATTGACCATTTCCTAGTCTTTATTATAAATGTTAGTTCAGCTCCATTTTTTTAAGCCCATTTAAATATTTCCCTAGGATGGACTACCAAGGAACCAGCAAACCACAGAAGTACCTGCAATTTTCTGAAAGGAGATATCAAAAAAGAAAGCTAGTTACCCCCTTGGCTTTTATACTGTGTTTAATGCACATTCCCAATGTCTCTGATTTCCTGCTCTTTCCAGCCTGGCATGATGGGTGTGGAGATGCACCCATTCATCCAATACGCATCCAAGGGGGTCACCTCTGTGACCAGGGCTGGGGTTGGCGCTGGGTGGTCCACATGACAGATGTGGCCCCACTGGCACAGAGCAGTGGACAAGGCTGGAAGCTGAGACCACTGCTAGGGCCCTAGAAACCCCAGCGCTCCACAGAACTCTGCGGGTCTCTATCTGGATGGCTATTCCCAGCGGCCACGTAATCCGGGGTGTGACCTCCTAAAGTTCGCCTGATGCCCACATTGTCAAGAAGAGAACAGATGAATGAAAAGAAATGAGTGATTCGCTAGGGAGAGGATGCCGGCATCTCCAGGCGACATCTCTTTCCAAGATGTGCAGATGACTTGGGCTGACAGCGCTGTGCCCCATCCCAGGGATGCTAGGTGGGGCAATGCGACAGGGTGAAAGGTGAGCAGGAGAGGACAGAGTCTGCAGATGTCATGGTCTTTACAGGGAAGACTGGGCTGAAGACAACTAATAACTGGAAACAACAAAGAATTCAGTCACCCAAACTACAGGCTATTTCACACCTGCCTCAACCCTCAGTGTTTATTCAATAAACACTGCACAGAATAAAAACCTGTTTGGATGTCAGGCACAGATTGTTTGCACAAACAATCTCTCAACAGCATGGAAGGCACTTGGAGCCGGTACCCCCCAAGGGGCAGAGGTCAGTGGACAGAAAGACTGGGGACGGGGGATAAGGGGCACAGGCTTCGCCCACCTCTGCCCTGTGCATAGCTGGCCCAGCTCGCAAAGTCACTCCAACTCACCTGCTCTACCCCAGCCCTGCCCCTCCAGCCCACAGTCCGGAGCCTCACCTGGACCCCCAGCCACACCTCCCTGCTCACTCATTTGCTCAGGCTTGCTCTGTGGTTTGAAAAAAATCAGGAAATTTCATATAAACACTGAGATTTCCATTTTCTCTTTAAAAGGTCAAAAGCTCGGTGATGGTGCTGCATGCTGGAAGGCAGGACGGCGGGGACGGTGACAGCGGGCCTCCTGCGGGGGCCTGTGCTCCCAGCTGCTGAAACGCTGGATGAGCGTCACTCCGGGGCTCACGTGAGCTGTGTGTGGCTGGGGCACCCTCCCCTCGGCGGCTCCTAAAGCCACTTGAGCGACGTGCTGGAGCTGCTGGGCCCAGAGCCCGCTTGGGAGCTGCTCAGAACCCTTACTCTGCAGCATGAGCTTTGCATCCTGTGAGGGACAGTTCCTAGGCCTCCGAGGACAGATGACATCTTACAGTCACCTGAGTGAAAGCTAAGTAACGAAGAAGTGATGCCACCTCCAGTCACAACCAAGGTGCTTCTGCACAGAACTTGGGGCCATGGCAGCCTGACAGCTGTGAGGACCACGGCATGGACCCCAGGCTCTCCCGGGACGCGCAGCGTGTTTGCTGGATGTTTAGGATCCAGCATCTCTGCCAAGCAGCCAGGTGTCTGAATCCTGAGCTAGTGCCAGGATGGCCCCCTCACCGTGCAGCCCTCGGATGGATGTGCTCCCATGGATGACATCACCCTTTCCTCTCTTGGGCAGCGCCGGGCATCCACTGAACGTGCCTGGGAGCACCTGCCATGGGATCGGCCATGCTCTAACTTACAGAACGCCAGCCATCCACTGCACGGAGGAGACCGGCACTGACAGGCAAAATAAAGCCACTGGGTCCCCCTGCGTCCTCATTCATTGTGCCCCAGTCCTGACCACAAGGTCACTGTCTCAACGATGCTATACAGGAGAGTGGGAGCCAGGGAGCAGCTCAGGAGGAAAATCATGGCAAAGAGGAAAAGAGGCTGTCCAGGAAGAATCCTTCTTTCTCAGCCCACTCACTGGAAACCCATCTTAAGTACCAAAGAAATCCAAATGGCAAGTGTTTAAAATGGGTGGACACCAGTTTAAGACAACCTGAGCACCCATCGTTACCCCCCAAATCTTCCCTGCAATATTCTATAAGTACAGCTCATAGAGTCTTAACTGAAGAAAATGATGTGCTTTCCATCTCAGCGTCCGACGTGGACTGCGAGCATTACCTTGCCACACACCGGGCACCCGGAAGGCTCCTTCTTGTAACGGACCAGGTTCTCCCCACCGGCCTCCAGGTCCTCTCGCTTCACTCGCCGCACTCCTGAAATTGCCAACCCCACCAGCAAGACAGTGAATACACATAGAACACGCGAAGGTCCATCAGATTCCACTTCAGCCAGCATCCTTTCCAGCGCACGGGAGGACAGGGCTGCCCACAGTGGGGACAGAAGCGTGGCAGTTTAAGTAACATCACTTGCACACTGTTTGGCATCAGCACTAACCACCATTCCTGAAGCAGCCCCAGGGAAGGAAGGGAGATGGCACAACGTATGTGGGATCTGCCGAGACAGTTCTCGCATCTGAAACATTTGGAAATATAATGGCATCGAGTGCTAAATGTTCCTAGGTGGCAGAGCTATGATGAGCTCCTATGGAAGAAGGCACTTCTAACTCCATCTAAAGGCTCAAAGCCAAGTTATGATTCTTATAGATAGTGAAATAGGCAGGCATTTTTTATTTAAAAGATACTAATATTCATCTCTCGCAAATTAACATTAGTCAAATCAACATCAGGCTGGTAAATACAACCTTTATGGTTTTGAGGCATATTGTTCCAAATTGGGATCAAGACAGACTTTTAAATGTTCATGCAAAACAGGTAAGTTTTGACCAAAAGAGAGAAACCCACTTCTCAGGATCTCTTTCTACACTGCCGACCCATTCTGGGAGCATTCCTGCCTGGCCAGGTGTAAGTGCAGAGTTGGATTTAAAAATGCTCAGCAAACTGGACGTTGGACAAACGGACCGTTCTCCAAAGGCTCCCAGCATGACAGACACAGGAGTCTGAGGCGCAGCTTAGACTAAGCTCCAGTATGAGGGACAAACCCATAAAACAGTCACAAAAACATGAGTTTACTCCCACAGAAGACGACCCGAGTTACATTAAACTGTAAAATGCAACCCAGCTACACTGTGTCCCTGGAAACAGCTGACTTCTGGCAGCATCCACAGTTACTGGCATTTATGGGCGCTTGCCATGTGCGGGGTCCTGTGTGAGAAGTTTCAAGAGCAGGGTCTGGTGCAACCATCACAGCAATGCTAGGGATTCAGGTCTGAGTACTGTCTCCCCTGCATAGGTGAGAAAACTGAGGCACAGTAGCTTGCTAAGGCTACCCAGTCACTAAGTGGAGTCCAGGTTTGATTCGAGAGGCCCTAAGTATACCACCCAAGGAACCACAAAGAAAAACGTTGTCGGTCTTTATGAATCAACATGAAGAAAAGAGTTGAGCAAAAAAGGAAAGTGCTAAAAGGTACACAGGATGCAATTCCAGCCTTGTTTTTTTAAAAAAGGGACGAAGGCACATGCGTATGCCTATTTGGACGGACATGGTTATACTTCATTTTTTATTTTTGTATATATTTTTTGAGATAGGGTCTTGCTCTGGAAAGCAGTGATGCAAGCACAGCTCACTGCAGCCTCGACCTCCCAGCCTCAAGCAATCCTCCTGCCTCAGCCTCCTGAGTAGCTGGCACTACAAGTATGTGCCACCATGCCCAGCTAATTTTTTGTAGAAGCAGAGCCTCGCTATGTTGCCTGGGCTGGTCCCGAACTGCTGGCCTCAAGCGATCCTCCAGCTGCAGCCTCTCAAAGTGCTGGGATTCCAGGCGTGAGCCACCATGCCCAGGAGGGTTCTACTTTACACAGGACTTTGTGGTCTCACATCTTCTTTTCAACAAGCATATGCTTCATTTGTAATTATAAAATAATTTTTTCCAAATTTTAATGAAAAGGTGTATGAAGGGCTGCTGCTCTTAGTTGCTCTTATACTGGTTTTTCCCACTTTCTGTCATATTGAAAGCATTTTTCACAATATCTAGTATCTTTGAAAAAACACTTCTAATGACAGTGAAACACTGGACCCCACAAATCGTCCAGTTTTCTTAGCTCCTTCCCCAGTGTGGAACATTTAGGGTATTTCCAGCTGTTTCTCCTTGCGCACAGCAGGTCTGACACCTGTGTCTCAGCAACTTACTCTCCTGAGACAGGTTCTCAGAAGAGGATGAGCCCATCGGATGGCGGGCGTTTCCAGGCAAAGGAGCAGGCGGCACCGAACTGCTCCCCAAAGGCCCTGCTGACTGCTCCATGCCGCCCTGCCCCACCCCGCAGGAGCTGCCTCTCCCCGCCCGCAGCAGGTGCGCAGGCGGCCTCACCTTCCAGGTGCCGGCGCTGGTGGTCCAGCATGACGTCCTTGCGGTAGAACATCTTGCTGCAGACCTCACAGGCAAACTTCTTGTCGCCGTGCTTCTTCTTGTGCTTGGAGAGGTTGCTGTTGGTGGAGAAGAATCTGAAACACATCTCACATTGGAACGTCTTGTCATCTGTCCAGAGAGCAAACAAACACACAACGATTTTGAGGTAAATAACATCTCACGCAGGCACGCACGTGTGGCCTGAACGTCAATAAAGCGCGGGTGACGGGCATGAGAGTCACGGGGATGCGTGGCCAGGAAGAAAACAGCACCTGTGTGTCATACACTGTCTACCCCAGGAACTCACGATGCAGAGACGGGAACCCCGGTGCTTGAAAAGCAGACACGGAGCTCACCTTTCATCACCAAGCAACGCCAGCCGCCTCCCTCCCGGGCCACCCTGCCCCACAGCACCTGGGGACGATGACTCCACTTCCGTCAGGAAAGCTGCCCAGTCCAAAGCTTCCCCTGGGCCTGCACCCTCCACCCAGCATGACTGACTGACAGATAGAATGACCTACCTACCAACCAACCAACCAACCACCCGAGCAACTGACCACCCGACCAATGTGGCCGCCCCTGCCCCCAGGATCCCTGGTGTTGGCCCCTCCCAACTCCTTCCCCGTGGGCGGGCATCAATGTGCCCATATTCCCCCCTTCACCCAAATCCTCCTCAGCACACACACAATCACACACCACACAAATACAAACACACTCAACACACACCCCCCACACAAATACACAATCACACACACCACATACACACACCACGCACACATGCCCCACACAAATACACAACCACACACACCACATACACACTACACACACACGCCCCACCCAAATGCACAATCACACACACCATACACACACCACACACACACGCCCCACAGAAATACACAATCACACACACCACACTCAACATACCACACACACATGCCCCACACAAATACACAAATACACAATCACACACACCACATACACACACCACACACACATACACATACATGTCACACACACCATCACACACTATGCAAATACATACACACCCAACACACATCACACACACACACATGCCCCACACAAATACACAATCACATACCACACAAATAATATACTCAACACACCACACAAAAACACATGCCCCACAAATACACAATCACACACACCACAAATACACACATATTCAACATAAACTACACACACAATACACAAATAACACCACACACAGAAGCCACAAATACTCAACACACCACAGATGCAAGCCCCACACAAATGCACAATTACACCACATACACATTCAACACATCACACACATATAATCACACACCACACAGATACACTCAACATACACCACATACACAACCCACAAACAGACATTCAACACACACCACATACACTATCACACACCACACAAATACACCTGCACTCAATACACACCACAAATACATTCAACACATACCACACATACACCCCAAATATACACACACCACAMAAATGTACTCATACCACACACACGAGCCCCACATAAATGCACTATACCACATACACACACATTCAACACACCACACACATATAATCACACCACACAGATACACTCAACATACACCACACACACCCCACATACACACATTCAACACACACCATATACATTATCACATACCACATACACACACACTCAACACACACCACACACAAATATACATTCAACACACACCACTCACCCCAAATACCCAATCACATACTACACAAATACACAGTCAACACACACCACATAAACATACACTCAACACATACTACACAAACACACATACTCAACACACCACAGAAATATACAATCATACAACGTACACCCACACATTCAACACACACACCACATACATACTCAACATACACCACAAACTCAACACACACCACACACAAAAATACACATTCAACACACACCCCACACAAATACACACACAACACACACATTCAACATACCCCCAACACAAATACACACATTCAACACAAACCACAATCACACCACACACTCAAMACACACCACACACACACCCCCCACACAAATACACACTCAACACACACATCCACATACATGCCCCACACAACACATACTCAACACATACACCACACACAACCCACACACAAATACACACACAACATACAAACACATACGCTCAGCACACCAAATACACACACCACACATAAATACACAATCACATATCACACACACCAAATACACACTGAACACATACCACACACATACACCACACACACACTGAACACATACCACACACACATAATACRCCACACCAAATACACACCACACACGAATACACACAAATCACACATACCACAAATACACTCAACACACACACCACACACCTCATATTCAACACACACCACATACACACAAACACACCACAGAAATACTCAACACACACACCACACAAATACTAAACACACACCACACAAATACATCCACATACCACACAAATACATCCACACACCACAGAAACACACAGCCACACACAGTCCATGAAGCTTCCAGAAACACCTATATCCCTGCATCCCAGACCTCATCTCCAGCCCCTCCTGGAAGGTAGCCAGTCAAACTGTGGTTTCGGCTCCGCCCAGGACACTGACAGCCCCCCAGTGCCATCTGTCCCTCTGACTCTCACACAGGCACCTCGGGGGTCCTCACTGCCCAGTCCCTCACCCTGCAGCAGCAGCCCCAGGTCCCCTCGCCCTGCCCCCATCCATCAGATGTCTCACCAGTTGACGGCGACCCCGGGGCCCAGCAGAGCTGCATTCTCCTCCCTGTGTCGCCAACGTGGGAGGACATGACAGCTGGGTGACCCAGGAGCGGGGCACCAGAGCAGACTGCACTTCTGGGCCCCTGGGCTCTCACCCATGGACCAGCTCCCAGGCTCAGTGTTTGCCAAATATACAAATCCCCAAAACTGCACTGAAAGCTGCCATTTGTGCAAAGCAGCCGCCCTGCGCCTGTCCCTCTCTGCTGCCCGAGGGAGCCGCCACAGAGTGTCTCAGGGTCCCCCTGTCTAGGGTTTCCCTGCCTCAGCGTTTTGGGCCAGATCCTTTGTTGTGGGCCACCCTGTGCACCGTGGGATGCTGAGCAGATACCGGGCTTCCACCCAGTAGGTGCCAGGAGCACCCCTCCCCACCAAGGTGTCTGCAGACATTGCCGACAGCGTCCCTTGGGGCAAACGCCCTCCACTCTCCACCCCCGCCAGGTAGAGATTCACTGGCCAGGGCTCACAAAATGAGACTCTCTGGGGTGGGCCTTGGGCCTCCGCATGTGTCTGGCCTCACTCAGGTGATCCCAATGTGCAGCCCAGGTTGGGGGTGAGGGAAGCAGACAACCTCCCCCGGGAGAGCCAGGCGCTCTCAACTCCTCCCAGCTGGGAATGGACAAGGCATGGCCGACAGCGAAGACAGGAGACAGCAGTGGGGAAATCTATGCCCCATGGGTGCCACCCTCAGGACAGGGGAAGCGCTGGGAGGGGACAGTCCCCTCCCACAGCTCCAACCACGGCAGGACAGTGGGAGGTGGCCTCTGCCAGGGCTGAACACAGTAGAGGTGGCCCTGTGCGAGGCTTCTCTGCCCACATCCCACCCCACCTGCAGCGTGACCTCAGCCCAGAGCCAGCCTCACCTGGGCCATAAGAGGAGCACCGTGACAGATGCTACGCTGAGTCCCAGCCTAACATACTGCTTGCCTTCCTTCTATAAAGTGAAACATTATCCATACAGCCACTGCCCTCAGTTTCGTTTTGGCTTAAGATTTGATGGGCTCTGTCCGGATCCACACGACCGCATGGTATGTGTCCTTCACACACTGCGTCTGAGGCGTGCGTGTTTACAGTGCTGGACGTTTTCATGATCACTTTAATGGCTACGTGATATTCCATCCAGCTCACTTCTCAAAACTCACTTTGCTATTTTTGACACTGTAGATAATTTAGTGATGGAATCTTTAGTAATGCAGATTTTTTTCTTCTGTCAAATCTCTTTATCATGAATTCTTAGGAATGGGACCACTAGAGCCAAGCGCTTTGTGAAAGGCCACACCTTACAGCGCTGTGGCATCAGATTGCCACAGGCCACACCTTACAGCACTGTGGCATCGGATCACCACAGGCCACACCTTTACAGCACTGTGGCATCAGATCACCAGAGGCCACACCTTACAGCGCTGTGGCATCGGATCACCACAGGCCACACCTTACAGCACTGTGGCATCAGATCACCACAGGCCACACCTTTACAGTGCTGTGGCAACGGATCACCATAGGCCACACCTTTACAGTGCTGTGGCATTGGATTGCCACACTCCCCTCAACCTGGGCCTCCTGAACAGCATAGGTGAGCCTCCCTCCCAGCCAGGCACTAAAGAGCACAGGTGAGCCTCCCTCCCGGGCAGGTGCTAAAGAGCACAGGTGAGCCTCCTTCCCAGGCAGGTACCAACCAATACAAGTGAGCCCCCCTCCCAGGCAGGTGCAAATCAGCACCCATGAGCACCCCCTCCTGGGCAGGTGGCTCCACTAGTCCTGCCGCCCCGTGGAAGGCAATGGTGCTGCCAAGAGCTTCAGCTTTCTCCCTCACAAGCCCCTCGTGACCATGGAAAGAGAACCTACTTCAGGCCACTCCCCAGCTGTCCCGGACAACTCTGCCAAGCCGAGGGTGGCTTCTCCCGCAGCCACCCACTCACTGCCAGTTCAGGAACCCACAGGGGCACTGGGTCCCAACAATGCTTCTCCCTCCAATAACCCTGCGCCGAGGGGATCTAGGTTTATGTCTGAATAAATGAGCCACTGAGAACAGCTGCCTACTGGGGTCTGACGAAGGGAGAGGGGTGCAGGGCACCTGGGGATGGAGAGGGGATTATTGGGGGAGGCTGGTGGGCCGCATTTTGCCTGAGGGCCTGGACGTGAGCCTTTGCTATTCCGTAGCACAGTACTTATGGTCAGACACAGCACAAGGAACACGAAGATGAGTTACACCAGCACCTGGTCACACCACAAGGGACAGGCACCACAACAGGTCCCATGGAGGGAGCTTCAGAAAAACCCACAAGACTGTAACATTTTAAAACTGCCCCCCACACCCCTCTCCAGGGTGTGCTATGAGTCCTCGAGAGAGGGTGACACAAAGGCAACAGTGACCCATCCCTCTGTGCCCCGCTGGGGACCCCCACTGCTTGGGCCTCCAGTGCCACCCACCACTGGGAATGGGGAAGGCGTGACTCCCACATTCTTGGTTTAATTCTTGGTACAAATTCTTGGTTTAATTGTCTAAGGAAGATACACATTCTCTTAACTTCAATACTATAAATAAGTATAAGAGCATGCAAATCATATATTATGCAAACAAGCTCCATTTCAAGGTTTTTATCCTTTCTGTTCAGTCTAAAACGGGTAACCTTTGAAACTAGAACATCTCAGGGGAAGAGGTGGTGCGATGCAGGTCCCTGGCGCTCTGCGGGTTCTAGGTGACTAACAAAGGCCAGCACCTGGCCTAACAGCACCTCTGGCTGACAGGAAGCTGCTGCTGCCTTAGCCGCTTCTAGTACTTTGTTTTATTTGGGTCCAGAGAAATAGTTGAAAATATCAGAGGGCAATGCCTCTTCCTCAACCTTGAGTCTGCCTCACCAGAGCGCCTTAGCTGGTAGCATCACTCTTGGGAACCCCGAAACCCTCGCCTGCTACACTCCTGCAGGACTGCGGGGACCCCAAGGGGAGGTTCGCAAACAAGATGAAGGTTCATCTGTCTGGCCGGGGCTGCGTTAAGTGGAAGTCTTCAGGGGACTGTGCCCCAGGTTTCTTGGGAATTCTTGTGATAGGAGGGCTTAAAATGCAGGAGGTGCGGCACACTGGAAATTCATCCAGAAGCTTCTGGAGGCCACCTCATGCCAGACATGGATCCTTCAGAGCTGCTAAAGCTTAGGCAAAACATGACTCATTCCTGCCCCTCAGAACAGTCCAACCCCAGGAAGAAGGCATCAGGGAGGAAGAACCAAACCCTGGTTTCAAATAGGAGCCCTCAGAGTAGAACTAGCCAACCCCACCAAGGGCCCCCCGCGCCCAGCAGCTACGGCAAGGGAGCAGGGCCTCTCACATGGCCCATGTGCGACAGCCCTGGTCAGAGCCCCTGGGAGTCCGCTGCTGCAGGTGCCCTGTTCTCAACACAGGGGCGGGTGGCACCTTAACAAGAACAACACAGAGATGCAAGTGACAGACACAGAGCAGGCGGACAAGGACGGGGTGGGCGTCGAAGGCTAACCTGGTAGGTCTCTAAGCCGACTGCCGCCGGGCCCCCCCTCTCCAGGGTGTGCTATGAGTCCTAGAGAGAGGGGGACACAAAGGCAACAGTGACTCACCCCTCTGTGCCCCGCTGGGGACCCCCACTGCTTGGGCCTCCAGTGCCACCCACCACTGGGAATGGGGAAGGTGTGACTCCCACATCCCAGAGGGTGCACGTCATCACTGCAGAATACAGGGGCGTCCTCGGGCCACGTGGAGAAGCGCAGCCGGCAGGACGGCCTTGGCTTTCCTTTGGTCTGTTTACTTGCCAGCAGCAAATTCGGCCAGAGAGACAGGGGCCTCAGACGCCCCCCAGGCCCGAAGAGGCCACCTCTCCACTACAGGCTGGTCCAGGCACACCCGGCTTCAGGCCTCACACAAGGAAAATGCTTTATTTTTGGAAGCTGGTGCACACAAGCAGGCTCAGAACAAAAAGAATGCGTGCAGGGGCAACCCCGTTCCACCCTGGACGCCGCAGGAGATGTGGATGGAGGAGGGCTCGCGGTTAGGAACAACCTTTGCAAGCAAGCGAGGAGCGCTCACACTCCTCCAGCCATTATCCTGATCTTTTCCTTTCTTCCTCAGACGGCCCTAGAAAACATTGGACACTGCTGCTCCCTGTTTTTAGCCAGAACGGACCCCGGCTTTACAATGCTCTCAGTGTGGGGCCATACGCAGCTCGGCTGACAAATGCAGGAAGAAAATCAATCCCTTTTTACTGGAAAGTTTCCATCTGTGTATCTTTAGGGTAACAACTGCTTTGAAGCAAAATGGACAGAGGGAAATGTTAAAAGTGAGGCTGTCTATTCATGAAAACAATCTTTACTTTGGCCTAAAGTTCCACGGTCTCCGCGGCGTATCTAGAATCCGTACCGCACAGCGGCCGAGGGGAGACGTGACCGGCGCCCTCACCTGTCCTGCAGTTGTGGAACTCCAGCGCGCTCTCGATGCGGAAGGTCTTCTCACAAGTGCCGCAGCGGTACCTGTACTCGCCGTCCACCTGGTCAGAGGGACACGCCGTGAGTGAGATGGCCCAGCGCAGAGTCCACAGATGCCGAGCCCCCGACGTGCTGCCCGGGCGACTCCACGCCTGTGTCTGTTATGACTCTGACCTCCACCACCCTCCCGCTCTATTTAGGAACACAAAGGATGTTTGCTCTTGCTGTTCACCTGCCCTAGAAAGGGAACTCCACACTCAGGGAGCCCCACTCCAAGCACCAAACACCCCCATTCTCCTGACTCTTCCTGCTGCGCTTGTGGGCATCTGACCAGGACGAGGGGCTGACAGGTGGCCCAGGGACGCCAGGACACCCACAGCCTTCACCCGCTCTCATCCCTCCTGGGACTCTCCCTTCTCAGGGACACCTGGGCACCCACAGCCCTCGCCCACTCTCCTCCCTCCCCCACAGGGTTTGGCCGCTCTCCTCCCTCCCCCACAGCCCCCGCCCACTCTCCTCCCTCCCCCACAGCCCCCGCCCACTCTCCTCCCTCCTGGGATTCTTTCTTCTCATTACAACATGGTGATTTGGTCAGTTGTCTGTGTTGTCCACACAACTGGGAAGAGAACCCTGGGCTTGTTTCCACCCACCTCGTTCCTGCTGTGCTTGTAGGAAACGTGCTGCTTTAGGCTCTCTTTGCGGCTGAACAATTTTGCACACTCTTCGCACTTAAACAGCTTGTCACCTGAGGAACCAACCAACAGAGAGCTCATTCACTACTTAGAGCATTTACCGAGAGAAGCATGCCCACCGGGGAAATGCCCCACAAGCCGCCTCGCTCCCACCATGCGAAGGAGCTGCAGAGATGATCGCCCACAAATGCAGCCTCTCACTGGCGCAGCTCGTGGGAGACGACCCAAGGAGGGGAGACTCCGTGCTGTCCTCCCACCCCCAGCCCCAGTCCTGGCCCTGGCCCCGGGCGCCAGCCGGGCCTCGCGGACTCACCATGCGAGCGCACGTGCCTGCTCAGGTTGCTGCTGTTCTGGAAGATCTTGCTGCAGATATTGCACTGGTAAACCCGCTTGTGCTCCCCGAGCTGTTTGATGAGCTTGCGCCGGATGCCGTGTCTGCTTGAGAGAATTAAGCTCCTCTTGAGCGTGATGGTGTTATTCTGATGATGGGTGAACCTGCCCAGGGACGTCAATAAGTTGGGAAAAGACAGGTGGGAAAAAAGTTCCAGGTTACAAGCAGCATGAAAACGGCCTCCTTCCAAAACTTCCCAGCTAATCCCGAGCCTGTATGCGAGAAAGGAGGGAATGCGCCCGGGCGTCACTCCCAGCTTCCAGGGCATCTGAAAGGGACACCTTGAATATATAATGACATTAGGCAGCTTTAGCTGCAACAGCCACACACCTGACTCTGTTCTAACTCTGGCCACCAGAAAGCCTGGAGGTCAATTTGTGCCTCAATTAGAATAACCACACCTGTTTTCTGCTCCTGTCACTCTGTCTTAACTCTTCTCTGTTTTACATATTATCTGAACCTGATTTTCAAAACTTCTTTTCCCTGTTAAATGTATTTTTGATGGTAAGCCACCTGAACTCTTCTGGGCAATAAGATAAAGTATAAATAAATAAACAGGTAACATCATTTCTGATATTACTTTTGCCAACTATAAGAGGTGATCCGAAAAGGGCCAAAAAGAAGTGACCACCAACTTACTCAACTCCATGGTAAAAATGACCCAAGAATCGTAACTAAAACACAGGGCAAGCTGTTATATTTACTGAAATTCAAATAGCAAAGTATTTTACCACAGCAGCGTCACGAAAGCTAGAAGCAACCCAACTGTCCATCAATGGATGCATGGAAACACAAAATATGGGGCATATGCATGATGGTATATTACTCAGTGTTGAAGGAAATTCTGACACAGGCTACACATGGATGAGCCGGGGTAGAATAAGCCAGTCACATAAGGACAAATCCTGTCTGATTCCACTTATAAGACATCTCTAGAGTCATCAAATCCACAGAGACAGAAAGTAGAATGGTGGGTGCCAGGGGCTGGGGGAGGGGGCTGGAGCGGGTGCTTAGTGCGGACAGCGTTTCAGCTTGGGAAGACGGGAAAGTTCCACAGATGGATGGGGGAGATGATTGCCCAACAGTGTGAACATCCTGAATGCCACTAAATTGTGCACTTAAACATGGTTAAAATGGTTAAATTTATGCATATTTAACCAAAATAAAGCATTTTTCTAAAGCTGTTTTCACAGTGGATGCACCATTAAACTCCTGAGCTCCAGAACATTCCTGAGCTCCAGAACATTCCTGCTGCCTCCTCAGCAGGTCTGTTTCCATCTCCTTCCCTGGGGCTTTCCTGCTGGGAAGGTGCCTTCCCTCCAGAATGGCCTGGCTGCTGCCAGCATTGTCTGTCCACAGGACGGCCCCAGGTGCCAGGCAGGACTTACTTTGGAACCGAGCTGGTGTCAGTGGTGGTGGTGGCCAGCTTCCCCAGAACCAGCTCCATGATCCGCTCATCTGGCGTTGCACTCACAGGCTCATCCGGAGGGACCTCGGTAATGATCTCTGCCACTTGCTCTGTACGAAGGGGATGTGACAAGCTAAGTAACCACAAGAGCAGGGGACAAACACAGTCAAACCATGGTGACACACTGCCCCATGGGAACCACAGCCAGGCCAGAATGGTAGGCACAAATGTTGAGGTTTACAGAGGGGAAAAAAAAAACTGTCAATATTTTGGGATCCACACATTTACTAGTACAAACAGAAAAGCAAAATGTTTTTCTTAGCCTAAACTGAAGTTATAATTTGTTATTCTTTTTAAAAACCACAACATCATAACATTACTTCAATCCCTCTTCATACCAACCAAAAACATTTTGGATATATAGCAGAAACTTCGAACTTACTACATCAATTCTGACAGAGTTTTAGAAATGTTAATGTTTCTAATTAAATGTGCCAACATTAGTAAAACCATTTTAGCTAACCATTTTGTATAAGAGTTAAAGATCACATCATCGCCAATACTGGAGACCCTGGCCAGAAACCCAAGATAAATGAAATAGGGGAAGATTACACAAAAAAATTCAACCACTGGTTTCTACCACTTTGCCTACTAAATGTCTTCTCAACACAAGTAAGAATTAGTGAAATATCTACCTGACACGCTTTCCCCCGCCCCCATCTTCTCTGCCTATTCACAGAGACCTGGGGAAACTGGCCAGGGGGCTTTCAGGCGCTCCTAAATCAGCGCCCAACAGTGCACAGCCTAGAAGCTGCAGACCCACAGCAGAAAAGGGGAGGCTCAGAATATTCCACAATGGCTGCTCTTCCCAATTGTCTCTAATTAATAGAAGCAATAAGGACTCCTTTTCACTCTCATAAAAGAAATCCTGGTGTATCCCAGACAGTAAAAAGAAAAACTGCCCAGTGTCAGTAACAAATGTGAAGGGGCCAGTGGCTGAGCATCAGATCTCATCCTCACTGTGAGGCCCACGAGGCGTGTGCTGCAGGTGGCTTGGATGGGGGCTGTGTGAGGACCACAGGGACAAGAGCCTTACAGAGACCACACACCCTGGAAGAGGGTCAAATGCCTCTTCAAACCCAACTGAGGATACTGCACAATCAAAGGATGAGCCCTAGACAGGTCCTGGGAGCAACTCAGTGCCCACCCACAGGTGATGGACCAAGCACTGTTCAGCAATCCAGGAGAAGGAGCCACAGATAAACCACGTGGGCGGGTCTCGAGGCTGTAAGCTGCCTGAAGGAGGCAGACAGAGTCCATTCGTGAGAAATTCCAGGATGGGTGGAATGAACTCGTACAGAAGACAGTCAGGAAAGTGGCTAACGAGACAGAAATGTCCTCTACCCTGACGGGGGTGCTGGTTTCACAGCTGTATCCATTTGTCAAAATTCACACCCTGTATCCTTTTTAGTGTGACATGTATTACATGGAAATTGTACTTTACTAGAGTTGATTGAGAGAAAAACAGACGGGCTTAGAGTCTACCTTCCACGAGGCCTTTCTACACTGAGTTTTCCCGCCCCGCCCTCTGCCCCCTGCCCCGCCAGCCCTCGGGCGCCAGGAGGGCTGCGCCCCACGCAGGCACTCATCCCCGGGACCCGCTCATCACCTGTGGGTTCCTTGTCTTCCACGATGACTAGAGGCTGCTCAGCTTTGGACACTTTGGGTTTTCTCCCCCTTCGAGGCTTTTTCTTCTGTTCTTTGGTGGCAACATTCTCGCTCTCGGGCACTGCAGGGGGTTCCCCCCGGGGTGTGTCCTGCTCCTTCTCGGGAGCTGCTGCCTCGCTTTGGCTGCCTGGAGGAAGGCTTTTGGCTTGTTCTAAGTGGCCCAACAGATGTTCTGCAAAGAGAGACGCGAATGCACCACACAATTAGGAAGCCTGCCACCGTCCACACCCACCCTGGCCTCTGGTTCCTATGTGTGTGTGTTTTCAATCTTGTTTGCCAACCTTTGTATAGGCAAGTGAACTTTATTTCTACTGTTTTATTTCCTCTGCATCAAACACAACTGCTATTTTGAAAAGTAAATTAAGTGGTAAAAGCAAGGGTAGGTTCACCATGAGGGCAGTTTAGTGAAAAAAGCAGACATACACACACACATATGTCTGCAAAGCAAAAACCTGAGAAGGAGATATCAAAATATGAATGTGTCCAGGCACAGTGGCTCATGCCTGTAATCCCAGCACTTTGGGAGGCTGAGGCAGGTGGATCACATGAGGTCAGGAGTTCAAGACCAGCCTGGCAAACATGGTGAAAACCCATCTCTAATAAAAATACAAAAAGTTAGCCGGGTGTGGTGGTGTGTGCCTGTAGTCCCAGCCACTGGGGAGGCTGAGGCAGAAGAACTGCTTGAACCCGGGAGGCGGAGCTTGCAGTGAACTGAGATAGCACCACTGCACTCCAACCAGGTGACAGAGCAAGACTGTCTCAAAAAAAAAAAAAAAAAAAAGAATTGCACCCTAGACCTGTGAAAGCTCTGGGAGACGTAGCAGAAGCAAAATCAAAACACTATGTAACAATCCAGAGTGCATGGAAGGACCACTGTAGGGGCAGGGGAGAAAAGAAGATTCCTTGCTAAAGAGCTTACCAAAACAACAACAACAAAAGCAAGAAAAGTCCCAAGAAAACTAAAAAATTAAGCAATAAGCCATCAGGGCGTCAGCAGACACATACACACAAACTCAAGAAGAATGGAATTCCTAGATAATAACACAAGCTGAGAGGAGAAAACTGGGGGAAAATACATTTAAATGAATAAAGAAGGGTTAAAAAACACATATTAAAAAAAAGCAAGGGCATGCTGAATTATAACAAGCGGTTATGAAAAATAACCAAATAAAACTTATATAAAATAAAAAGGAGGCCCAAAATAAAAACACAATGTGTCGTATTAAACAAAAAATTAGACACAACTGAAGAGAGAACTCATAAAGTAAAATGAAGAGCTGCAAAGATTACCCAGAATGTAGAAAAGAGACAAGGAGCTAGAAAAATATGAGCAGGAGCTAAGAAGACATGAAGTGTAATATAACAAGAAGGTCTAAAACATGTACAATAGGACACAGAGAAAATAGGGAAGGAGGGCTAAACAATGAGCAAGATAAGGGTGGGGGATTATCCAGAATGAATGAAAGACATGACTCTTCAGATTCAAGATCTGTAACAGGGAAAACAAATAAAAATAAAGACATAAATGATGACTCTGTTATAAATTGCAGAATTCCAAAGACAGAGGAGGTTTCAAAAGCAACCAAGTACAAAGCAGTGATTACCTATGAAGGAACAACTGCAGTGACAGCAGACTTACCAAGAATAATAATGGAAGGCATAAAGTAGCATAACAACATCCCCAATGTGCAGAAAGAGAATAAGAATAAACCCAAAATTCAATATCCGGTGAAAACCGTTTCCAGTGCAGATGGTTAAAGAAAGATATTTTGAGACAAAGACTGAAAAGATTGCCCCAGAGGAAATTCTGAAAGGCAATAAGAGTGATTTTAGATTGAGGGTCAGAAATATAAAACAAAGGGAACTAAAGTTAAAAAAAAAAGAAAAGCCATACATAAGGAAATTAGCAAACATCATTCTAGACAATTACAAATTCAAACAGGAAAAACAGAGCAAATTAGAAAATACTTAGAACTAAAATATGGGAGGAAGAGAGCCCACACATCAAAGAGATGTATATATACTCTACTTGTTAGATGCGGCATTGTAAATATACTTATTAAATCAATTGTGTTAACTGTGTGCTTCAAATCTGTATCCCTGTGATTTTTTAGTCTGATTTATAAATTAAGATGTATGTATTAAAAGCTCCCACTACAGAGGCAGATTTTTCTATTTCTCCTCGTAGATCTGCCAATTTTTGCTTATTATTAGACTATGTTATTAAGTGCATATAAACTCAGATGCACTGTATCATCAAAATGTGGAATGCAGCTAACATGGTTCTTAAGAAAAAATCATCTGAAATGCTTACATGAGAAAATAAAACAGCTGGAAAGTAATGAGTTAAGCATCCAACTTGTTAGAAAGGCACAGAATGAAAAGTATAAAAAGCAAATAATAAATAAGAGCAGAAATAAAGTAAATATACAATAAAAAGGATCAACAAAGCCAAAAGTGGGTGCTTTGAAAAGACTAATGATATTGATAAGTCTGGCAAGAAAAAATAGAGAATGCAGAAATAACCAGTCCTAGCTGCAAAAGAGAAAACAGCAGCTCTCTGTAACCACTCGTCCCCACCTATTATCACCTTTCCATTTTTTAGTATTAGATAGCATCTATTATTTAACATGGAGGAGAAGGATTTAGCTTTCTTATAGACTATACTCTCCCTCCCAAATGCTTATCTTCTCCACAATCTCACCAACATATTTATATCACTATTTTGGGGTAAATCAATAATCAGTGTATTCATAATTATGACCATAAAAATGTATTCACAACTGCACCAATATATGTTTATGATTCTTTTTTTGTTTGTTTGTTTTTGAGACGGAGTCTCGCTCTGTTGCCAGGCTGGAGTGCAGTGTGCGATCTCGGCTCACTATAACCTCCGCCTCCCAGGTTCAAGCGATTCTCCTGCCCCAGCCTCCTGAGTAGCTGGGACTACAAGCGTGCACCACCGTGCCCAGCTAATTTTTGTATTTTTAGTAGAGACAGGGTTTCACCATGTTGGCCAGGATGGTCTTGATCTCTTGACCTCGTGATCTGCCTGCCTCGGCCTCCCAAAGTGTTGGGATTACAGCCATGAGCCACTACGCCTGGCCTTTTTTTTTTTTTTGAGACGGAGTCTCACTCTGTCGCCCAGGATGGAGTGCAGTGGTGCAATCTCGGCTCACTACAACCCTTGCTTCCCAGGTTCAAGACATTCTCCTGTCTCAGCCTCCCAGGTATCTGGGACTACAGGCATGCACCACCACACCTGGCTAATTTTTGTATTTTTAGTAGAGATGCGGTTTCACCATAATGGCCAGGCTGGTCTCAAACTCCTGACCTCAGGTGATCCACCTGCCTCAGCCTCCCAAAGTGCTGCCATTACAGGTGTGAGCCACCGTGTCTGGCCTGATTTTTTTGTTTTTTTGTTTGTTTTTTTGTTTGTTTGTTTGTTTTAAGTATATCTATAACCTTTGTTTTCTCTGGAGTTAATTAATGCCTTACTTTTTATTAATAACATTTGCTTATTTTTTTCCCGTGTTTATATTACTAATTGAGACTTAAACTCTGCCAGAAGTATAACTCTTTCCTCTACAAACACATCAGTTAATGCTCGATTTCTTTTCCTTTTTGGGCCATTCTTCCTGGAGCCCTTGCTGCTGCTCCAATCTGGACCAGTTATCTATCCTTGAACTAGGGAACGTCTCTTGTCCTACAATCTCCTTCGACAGCAACCTGGGCATTCCCTTTGCTCCTTTCCCTCAAAGGATCCTCTATTGTATCCTACACGCAGAGGACATGTGCCATCTTTTCTGGCCATCCAGCACTGTGAAACATCCTTGTGATGTTTCGCCAACTTCTGAGCCCCACCTTTCCCAAAACACTCCTTTCCCAAACTCTCCTGCCCTGAATGCAGGTTTGTGCCATAGCTCTGTGAGCAATGTGAGGCTGCAGGGGGCCTGAGAACACATTTTCTGGCATGGTGAAGGCATTGGGCTTTCAGAGACAGCACAAGTTTGGCCCTGAGGCCACCGTCAGTATGGGTGGCAATGTCCCTGCCATGTGGGCCTGTCTGGGACAGCCTTGTTATGGAATCCTGAGCAACAGAGCAAGACCCTGTCTGTACAATTAGACCTGTTGACATTCACCTGTAGTTCCAGCTACTTGGGAGGTCAAAATGAGAGGATCATTTGAGCCCATGAGTTTGAGGCTGCAATGAGCTAAGATCACACCATCGCATTCCTGCCTGGGTGACAGGGCAAGACCTTGTATTGTAAAAAAAAAAAAAAAAAAAAAGAAAGAAAGAAAGTTTAAATTCAGAGCACTGGTGGTTTGGTTTGGAAGTTACCCAACTTGAAAGAAGAAGCAAAAATCTGTCAAATTTGATTCTAAAACTACAAAACCTCTTCAATAGCCCTTCCAACACTTCCTACACCAACTCACAAAAGGCAGCTTCACATCCCTTGAGATCAGAGAGGAAATGAGACAAATGGACACCGTTTGCCTCATTAGAACAGCAGCACTGAAAGAGCCAAGTGAAGTCCCTTCTCTGAAGGCTTGTGCAGAACCCGTCTGTCATGTGGCTCTGGGACAGCGCTCAGTGCCAGTCCGCTGAGGATATCCAAAGTGGCATGTGGCACCTCCGCCCTCAAGAGAACACACAACCCCTCAGCCCAAAAAAGAGAAACACAGTCCCTCCTATCTCAGGGAGGTGACACAGCCCCTCCCCCCTCACAGGGACACACACACACACACACACACACACACACACACACACACACACAGAGCCCCTCCCCCCTCACAGGGACACACACACAGTCCCTCCCCCCTCACAGGGACACACACAGCCCCTCCCCCCTCACAGGGACACACACACACACACACACACACACACACAGCCCCTCCCCCCTCACAGGGACACATACAGCCCCTCCCCCTCACAGGGACACACAGCCCCTCCCCCCTCACAGAGACACACATACACAGTCCCTCCCCCCTCACAGGGACACACACAGCCCCTCCTCCATCACAGGGACACACACACACACACACACACACACACACACAGAGTCCCTTCCCCCTCACAGGGACACACACAGTCCCTCCCCCCTCACAGGGACACACACAGTCCCTCCCCCCTCACAGGGACACACACAGCCCCTCCCCCCTCACAGGGACACACAGCCCCTCCCCCTCACAAGGACACACACAGCCCCTCCCCCTCACAGGGACACACACAGCCTCTCCCCCCACACAGGGACACACAGCCCCTCCCCCCTCACAGGGACACACACAGCCCCTCCCCCCTCACAGGGACACACAGCCCCTCCCCCCTCACAGGGACACACACAGCCCCTCCCCCCTCGCAGGGACACACAGCCCCTCCCCCTCACAGGGACACACAGCCCCTCCCCCCTCACAGGGACACACACACACAGCCCCTCCCCCCTCACAGGGACACACACACACAGCCCCTCCCCCCCTCACAGGGACACACACAGCCCCTCCCCCCTCACAGGGACACACAGCCCCTCCCCCCTCACAGGGACACACAGCCCCTCCCCCCTCACAGGGACACACACAGCCCCTCCCCCCTCGCAGGGACACACAGCCCCTCCCCCTCACAGGGACACACAGCCCCTCCCCCTCACAGGGACACACAGCCCCTCCCCGTTCACAGGCCGGCCTTTGGGGCTGCTCCTCAGTCTCCTTCCTGGGCTCTGCTTTCCACTTCTAGGCTCCTGAGCCATGGATGTTCCCAAGAAGCCCCCCAGCGAGAGGCTGCCGCAGAAGGCAGAGCCGTCACCTGGAAGGAATGCTCAGGACCCCTCCGGTAATCTGGGTGGCAGAGGCCGGGCTGCCCGAGTACCTGGCTCCAGCCCTCAAGGCTGCCGTGCTGTGGGCAGGGACTCCTGCCTCTGTTTACTCATCCCTGAAATGGAGCCACGGTTGTACCTCATGGTGTTGACTCAAGGAAGTTTCTGGAGGACCTGGCACTGAAGGGTCTTAGTCACCATCAGCCTAATTGTAAGGGGAGCCCGAGTACCACGTCTTACGTAGTTGATGACATACAAGTAGAATTTCACTGAAAATATGAAGGAATTTCTTTTTTCTTCACTCAAAACTAGTTATTAAGAAGAAACACAAATGAGCAGCAACGTCTGTCTGGCTTTGTGGAGGGGACCACCTGGCGCAAGCAGCACCCTCCCACTGTGAAGCACCTACCATGGGTCTCCATGAGGTCCGGGGCGTGCTCTGCACAAACGCGGCGTTTCTAGAAAACCCAGCTGCCCTGCTCTGCTATTTATGTCTTGGTGACAAACACAAAATACTTCTCACCAAGCAGAGGGCGAAATGACACATTCGTAAATTCATTAAAGCCAAGATGAGTAGGATGTCTCAGGAACGTGTGACCAGGTAGCTAAAGTCTGCTGGTGTCAGCACAGTGGCTGTCCCAGTCACTCCTCACAACTGCACTGCCTGGAACCCCACCAGGCCTGGGGCCTCTGAGCACGTTCCACATGTGACGAATGCCACAAACTGTTTCTACGTGATTCCCCCATGGTTTATTTGATGCGAGTCTTTCTTCACTACAGATTAGCCTCCTAAGACTTGTGGAAAAATCAGCTCCCTAAGAGAAATAAACAGAAAGTTCCCAGAGCACTGCAGAAGCTGGAAATGTGTTCAATTCTCTCCCGGCCACCTTAAATTGGAATCTCAACCTGAGTAGATAAAAATGTTCTGCAGGCTGGGCACGGTGGCTCACGCCTGTAAACCCAGTACTTTGGGAGGCCGAGGCAGACGGACCGCTTGAGCCCAGCAGTCTGAGCCAGCCTGGGTGAAACCCTGTCTCTACAATAAATATACAGAAGTTTGCTGGGCGTGGTGGCACATGTCTGTGGTCCCAGCTACTCAGGAGGCTGAGGTGGGAGGATCGCTTGAGCCTGTCAGGTCAAGGCTGCAGTGAGCCACGATCATGCCACTGCACTCCAGCCTGGACAACAGAGCCAGACCTTGTCTCAAAAAAAGAAAACAGTGTCTGTCAGATAAAGAAACAATGGAAGGGGCTGTCAAGTAGAGACAACAAAGGCAAGAGTGCACAACACATGCCACGGCTGGCTCCTGGCCCCTGGCCCCTGCCAGTGCTCCAGAGTCAAGGCGCCCAGCTGAAATGCAACTTCCCAACCAGGAGGAGTGAGGAGTGAGGCCTGCAGGGGTCGGGGGTGGGAAGCGGGACTGCCCAGAAGCTTTAAACCCTGAGAAAGCCTTGGTTCTGGCGACTACATTGTGGGGCAATGGGGCAGACAGGACAAAGTCTGGGACATCCCGACAGCCGCAGACAGGTGACAGCGTAAGTCAGAGAGAAATCGACACAGGAGTTTTACAACTGGGGCTCCCCACACGTCCTCCTTACCATTGAGGAGCTGCAGCTCCAGGAAGGTGGCAGAACACACTTTACACGCCCACTGGCTGGGCTCCGACTCCACGGGGGCGCTGTTTTCTGGGGTGCCTGCAGCTTCAAAAGACATGAGAGGAGAAAAAGGTGACCCCCAAGCAGCTCATATGTCTCCATGAATCCCGGCGCAGCGGAGGAGGGGTGTGTGCTGAGAGGCGGTGATGACAGTGATGACGGCAGCAGACGGGCCTGTGGTCACTCCACATGACAGACACCATTTTCAGAGCTTTACACACATGGCTGATACGGTCGTGTGACTGTCCCCTTTTCACAGATGAGGCAACTGAGCACAGAGACACGCCTGCTGCAGGGTCACCAGTCACAGAGCTGAGAACTCCTCCAAGAAGCCAGTCCAGAGGGACCAGGCTCATCCCTTATATGACTTCATGAGAAAAGTGCATTCCTCAAGAACCAAGTGTAATTCCTCATCTCTCACTGGCTCATAGAATAAGAGACAGTGGAACCCCAAACGGCCAGCCAGTGGCGCCCCCGTGTGTGGCTGGGCTGCTGCTCCCGCCCAGCGCTATCCGGCAGAGCTTTCTGTGGATGACTGACGTGCTCCACAGCTGGTATCCAGCAAGGCAGCCACTAACCAGATGTGGCTCATGTTCCAGGAAATAAGTGTTTAATTTTACTAAGTTTGAACTTAATTTTAAATAGGCACCTGAGGTAGGGGGCCGCTATCCCAGGAAGCACCTCTATCCCTCAGTCCATGCCACACAGGAATCTGGGGAGGGAGAGCTAAGCTGGGGGTACATGGCATGCGGTGTAAGCCTGGCTATAAAGAGAACTACAGGCACCTTTTAACAAAAAAGTCACTGATGCTCTTGTGCAACCTACAATTGGGAGGCGTTTTAAGTGAGTGTACCATGATCTGGCCCAGGCCAGTTTCTCTACACCTCGTCTGGCAGCTCTGGGGGCTGGCCCAGGGCAGGACCCCTGCCCATCACTTCGACTCTAATCACGATACAGCCTGCATTGAAGTTCATCACCCACGGCAAACTCCAGGGGCCACTCACAAAGACAAACTCCTGGGTCTTTAAAAAAATAATCCAGAAGTACAACTGCATATGCATTCAGCACTAGAAAAAAACATGTATCTTTTCATATCCAAAACCAGCACTAAGGATGCAATGAATGAAGGAAAAAGATATAGGTTACTGCTATCACCCTGTGCATGCATGTTCTGAGTTTTCATAAGATAACAAGAAGAAAGAGGCATAAATGCAATATGAAATTTTTTGTCATACTAAAAATAAAGAAAGAGCAGAAAACGGTGTGGGGGGCACCCTGCCAGCAGGGCATTTTTCTGGGACACCCCATCCCCACCAGCTTCTGTTCCCTTTTACGCTTGCTCTCTGAGAATCCGCTGCTTGAAGAATCCCAAAAGATCAAGGACAAATGGAAATCAGAGCCAAATTCCCATTTCCCACTCACCTTCCCAAACATACACGGGTTCCAAAGAGAGAAAAACACTCGCATGTGAGTTTCAGAAAAAGAGGACAAGGGCCCAGGTTAGCTGGAAGCCACCACTTCTGAATAAGGGGAATTTCTTCGAATCCACGTGGGCCATTGTCTCCAGCAATAAGCCTCCACACCCCCACAAGTGTGGGTTCTCCTCAACTTGGCGCTCTGCTGCTAGGTAAAGAGGACTAGAAAAACTTGTCATGACGACTGCCCGCTCATCAAGAGAAGCACTCAGGGTTTTCCGAATAGTAATTGTAAAAGATAAGAATTCTTAAGAAGAAAATATTAGTTAACAGTCAGAAGGCAATTCTTGACTGCCAATCACTTAAATATCCAACAAAAGAGAAGTGTCCCAGCAAAATCTAACATCATACAGCTTTAAAGTGATGCCAGAGATAGTAACAGTAGGAAAAAGGCCTAAGATGTGGTGAGCCAGACTGTGCACACAAAGAAAAGTAAGCAGTAAGATGGGAGGTGCAGCTAGAGCTCCGCTATGCAAAAATGCAGAGTTTAAAACAAACAAACAAAAAAGGAACAGCAAAGCTACAGCACAGCAAACAGCCTGGCATTCCAGTGGGCGCGGCTGACTGCAGGGCCGCACGAGAGAACTTCCTGGGATGAAGTCGAGGTCTGTAACTCAGCTGTGGTGGTGCTTATACAACTGTAGACACTCAAAAGTCTCTAAACTGGCGGGAACACTGGCTCATGCCTGTAATCCCAGCGCTTTGGGAGGCCCAGATGGGTGGATTACCTGAGGCCAGGAGCTCAAGACCAGCCTGGGCAACATAGCAAAACGCCGTCTCTACTAAAAAATGCACAAATTAGCCAGGCGTGGTGGCATGCGCCTGTAATTACAGCTCTTGAGAGGCTGAGGCATGAGAATTGCTCGAACTCGGGAGGTGGAGGTTGCAGTGAGCCAAGATCACACCACTGCACTCCAGCCTGGGCGACAGACTGACTTAAAAAAAAAAAAAAGTCTCTGAACTGTACACTTAAAATTGTTGAGTCTTACTGAATGTAAACTATATGTCATCAGTGCTGGTTTTTAAAATACAGGGGCCAGTGAGGTGGCTCATGCCTGTAATCCCAGCACTTTGGGAGGTTGAGGCAGGTGAATCACTTCAAGTCAGGAGTTCAACACCAGCCTGGCCAACATGGCAAAACCCCATCTCTACTAAAAATAAAAAAATTAGCTGGGCATGATGGTACATGCCTGTAATCCCAGCTACTGGGGAGGCTGAGGCAAGAGAATTGCTTGAACCGGGAGGTAGAGGTTGCAGTGAGCTGAGATTGGGCCACCACATTCCAGCCTGGGTGACACAGCAAGACTCTGTCTCAAAAAAATAAAATGAAATTAAAATAAAAAATACTAGAAAATGCGAATCAAATGGCAACAGCAGTTGAGTTAGAACAGTGATGCTATATGTGACTGAACAGTTTCCCCAATGTTATAAAATGTGTTTGTATTTTACTCTTTTCACCAGAAAGGTGATTTTGAAAATTTTCTCGTTGGAACCCATGTGTGTTTGAGAAGGTGAGTGAGAAATGGGACTCTGGCTCTGATTTCCATTCGTCCACGATCTTGTGGGATTCTTCAAGCAGCGGATTCTCAGAGCGAGACTAAAAGGGAACAGAAGCTGGTGGGGACGGGATGTCCCATAACAACGCCCTGCTGGCATGGTGCCCCCCCACACTTTCCTCCTGGTGCCCCCCCAACACTCTCCTCCTGGGCCTCATGCTCTCTCCCATGAAGATCCAGGATGTTTCTTCGGCTGCCCCCTCCATCTGTCAGCAGGTTCAGGTTCTTGTAAAGAAACAAAATCAATCTTAATGTGAGCTCAAGAACAAGTTAAGGCCAGGCACAGTGCTTCACGCCTGGAATCCCAGCACTTCGGAAGGTGGGAGGATTGCCCGAATCCATGAGTTCAAGACCAGCCTAGGCAACACAGTGAGACCCATCTCTACTAAAAATAAAAATTAAAAAAATTAGCTGGGTGTGGTGGCACATCCCTGTGGTCCCAGCTACTAGGGAGGCTGAGGTGGGAGGATCACTTGAGCCCACGAGGGCGGCTGCAGTGAGCCACGATCATGCCACTGCACTCCAGCCTGGGCAACAGTGCCAGACCCTATCTCAAAAAACTACAAAAAAAGAAAAAGATGGAACTAGAAAAGTAAAATCCACTACCAGAAAAAAATAATAAGTTACTTTTAAAGGGATGTGTTACTGCTCCTTCAGTACAAAACCAAAGTTTTCTCTGTATTTAGAAGACGGCGCCACTGATCTGCAAAACTGACTGATTTCTACACGAAGATGCATGTTTGGAGCAAATCAAAGAGACAGAATTAAGTCACTGAGTCTTAGGATCTCTCACGCTCACCAGGAAAGACTCGGCCACCACAATAAGTAATTTACAGGAAGACGGTTCCTGGGTTCGTCGGCTGCCAATACGGTTCTAGGAGCACACCAATGGCCCCGGAGGCCACTCACATCACTCTGCCTACTCCCACTGGGCCAGAGGTACAACAATGCACAAAAGGCCTCCTTTTCTCCCACCATGCAGCAGCGTTCTCTCTGGGAGTGTCCACCCCAGAGGGCACGTCACTGAGCAGGAGTGGGATTACGCAGTTACCCTAGAACTCCAGTCCTTCACGTATCCAGTCTGAACAGTGAGAACTGGGCAAGCGGCCAGCTTTCTGGATGTTTCTAGCCTCTCTTCGAAGGTCTTGTTATCTATCGAGATACTCATTTCTGAGACGCAGGCAGCGTTGGGCTCCAGTGCATAGCTTCAGCTGGGTGAGGTGCTCGACACACACTCAGACTCTGGTGGGCCCTGGGTGCATTGGGCGGGCAGGGCTCTAGAAGCGCCACTGTGCCTCGAGAGGGACCCCTGGCAGGGTCAGGGAGGAGGGGCTCAGGGGAAGGAGCCAGATAGGTGGCAGAGGGTGAGAGGCAGTGTGTGTGTGGCGGGGGCGCTGACGCGGCTGCAGAGGGTGACAGGCAGCGTGTGTGTGAGGAGCAGGTGTTGACGCGGCTGCTGGCTTGCCATTTGAACAATCAGCAGGTGGACCCCAGGGAAAGTTCCCCAGGGCAGCCGGCAGCACTTCAAGGGCCAAGCCAGAGCTCAACAGGGGGCTCTCTCGGGAAGGAAAGGGAAGGAAGGACCCAACCAGCCAGTGAGTGGAATCGCCATGTTCACTACCTCTCCAGAAATAACTGCTTGCCATTTGTCCCCAAACACAAGTGACCATCCTAAAAAGCATTTCTGAAATCTAAGAGTAACTAAGTTGTTTATTTATTTCCCCAATTAAAAACCTTGTTTAGGTTTAAGCTATGCTCAGGTGACCATACGTTCCCATTTACACAGACTGTCCTGGTAGAATTATTACAAGTGTCCTTTTATTCTGAGAGGTTTTAGGGAGGAATGGGAATTACCCTAGGATCTCCGAAATCAGAGGCGACTCTGTTCGACACCACAGTCCCAGGCTGACTTCATTTAAATCTATTGTTTCAAACTCAGCTCCAGATTGAAGGGTCTCCAGCAGGTAAAATGAATACGAAACACCTGTAGCTCCAATAAGGCGTGGCAACCTTTGCTTTGACCTTAGCCTTGAGGGTGGTGAGGGCATCCCCCAGGATACAAGCTGACAAGGGGGTAAACGGCCAAGGCCGGCATCTCAGAACCCAAACCCCGGCGTGGCTGCAGTCTGGGCTGGCCGTGGGCACACGTGCTGCCAGCTGCCTAGGCCTTCAGGAATTCCAGACACAAGGAGCCCAGGTCCCGAAGATCACAGTTACTTGGGCTCTGCTCAGAGAGCCCAGCCTCGCAGGACTTGGAAACGGCCCCTGACCCAGCAGGCACCACCACAGGGGCCTCCCTTGTGCTGGGCCAGGCCAGGCACCTGGTTTTGGCAAAGCCACGAGGGTGGGGCTAGGAGCAGCTGGGTGAAGAGCAGTGGGTTTCTCCAAGTTCTTTTTGTCCTTTTCATTCTTAAACATCTCCCCACAAAGCCACAGTCTTTCTCTGCGAAGGGTGCGAAGCCCCCAGTACACTCAGCTCACTTTACCAACCTGGCCGAAGAGGACGCCGCCACCGCTGCAGGCCCCAGAGGGAGCCGCCTGGCTCCTCACCAACCCTCCCCAGCAGCATCCCCAGCGGCCCCTCTCCACCCAGCCCTCACATGGCCCATAGTGGGTTCAATAGTGGCTCCCCAAAATTCACATCCACCTACCACCTTTGGGAGAGGATGTGTGCAGATGTCATCAAGTTAAGGTGAGGTCATGCTGGATTGGGGAGGCCTGAATCCAATGACGGGTGGTCTTATGAAGAGATGACACAGAGACATGGGAGAGAAGACAGGCAGAGACTGGAGTAACACAGCCATAAGCCAAGGGACACAAAAGGCTACTGTGCCAGCCACCACCAGAGGTTGGGGAGAGTCCCGGGACAGATTCTCCCTCAGGGTGCCCAGAAGGGACCAGCCCTGCTGACACCCTGACCGTGGGCGTGTGGCCTCCAGCACTGCGGGAGGCACATTTCTGACGTGAAGGCACTGGGTTGCTGGTGTTTTATGGGGGCAGCGCAGCGCCGGGACACTCCCACACAGCCCATTGTGGACCTGGGATTAGGGACAACCAGGGGCATTTTACAAAGCCTCAATCATACTGACAAACAGGACAGACCAGAACCTTCCAATAAGTTAAGAATCTTAAGCTACCGAGCTACTAATATTTTGGATTACACTGCATTTATAAAACAAGGAAACAATGCTCGTATGAGAATCAGGTCATTTGGGAGGGGGGTCAGGAGAGTCAATATCTATTTCGCCCCCTTGAGCAAAGAATCTTCATGGCAACATTAAATAACATTTGCTCCCCTGGGTAGTGTCAGCTTCGGCAATATGAAATTGCTGTTTTGCAGGTCAAAAGACATCAAATACCAGGAATTTCATAGAGTTTCTTCAGGTTTTATGAGGAGGATCTATGTCAAAAAGACCCATAACATGGATGAGAAAGATTTAAAATTCAGCAGCCCCGCTTGATGGGCAAAGTGATGCCCTGACCCCGGCTTAGCAGGACAGGCACTGTGACCCGCTTTTTCAGCAGGAATGCTAGATTTGGGCAGATCACGCACATAACCTTCACTAGGGCTTTCTTTGAACACGCATGCACACACACACAGGTATGCACACGCGCGCACACACACACTGCCCCCAAATCTGGGAGGAGGCCATTGCACGGTGAGCAGCAACACTGGAGCCGGGTGCCATGGACCAATCCTGATTTCTTCATCTACTCCACTGTGACCTGGGGTCAGTTCCTTAACCTCTCTGTGCTGTTTCCTCCGTCCAAAGACAGGGCTAGTACCCCAGCCTCATAGGATTAGGAGGATGGGTCACTCACTGCACGTAGCCCCCAGGGCAGAGCTAAGCAGTCATGCGCCATGTGACAAGGTTTCAGTCAAAGACAGTGGTCCCATGAGATTCTAATACAGTATTTTTCCTCTATTACTTTGTCTATGTTTACATAGACAAATACTGACCATGTGTTACAGTTGCCCACAGCATGCAGTACAGTCACATGCTGGACAGGCTGGTAGCTAGAACAGGCTACACCATACAGCCTGGGTGTGTAGCAGGCCAGGCCATCAAGGTGCGCGAGAGTGCGCTCTACCATGCACTCATGACAATGCCATCGCCCCAGGACACATTTCTGAGAATGTATCTCTGTTGTTAAACACTGCCTCACTGTGTTAACTTGTGTTACATCCACGTGCCCAAACTGACCAAGGATGTTTAAAACAAGCAGAAAGACAGACCCGACTCTCCACTCCTCCACTCTCCGCATCCCAGCAGCTGGCCCAGCCCAACCCATCTCATCAGTGTGGGGTCAGCACAGAGCCAAGGGACCATAACCCCTTCGGCGAGGCACAAGGGAAGGTGGGCTCCGGATCGGGGGCCGCCACATACCGTGGACGCCAGAGCCGGCCTGCTTCAGCATGGGCTTGTCCATCTTCTTGGCATAGAAGGCCGCATACCACACGCGCAGCTCGGTACCCGGGGGGATGTCTCTGGAGGTGGTGAAGTACACGTCGCTGCCGTGCTGGTAGGCCGTCAGGTTCTGGTGCTCGGCCTCCGCCGCTGGCCGCACCAGCATCATCCAGTTGCAGTCATCCTCGTTGGAGGTGTCGAAGCACACGGGGTGCCCGTCCTTCTGGAACACCTGAAGGTGAGTCGGCCCATGGAGAAGCCGGGGAAATGGCTGATTACCCATCTGTGTATCAGCGTGTGGGGGGCAGGTGCTGAGGAACCCATCTAGACAGTGCCACGTCAGAGGCCATAAGGGCTCCTGTACGGGATGTTGAGGTGTTTACAATAGTGAGGAGGGTCACAGGTAGACCATGTGGTTTGGACGGGTCAGGTTAGTCACAGGCAAAAGGAAGCAGCAGACACAGCCAGCGGTCTATGTGTCATTGGGATACCTGAGTGTTACTCACGGCCCAGGTGCGGAACTCAAGTTCTAATCAGGTTCTAGTGGGCATGGGGACACCAAAGTTCTAGTCCTGGTCCAGGTGGGCTTTGAGCTACCTGAGCTTCACTCCCAGTCCACGTGTCACGGGGACACCTAAGGCTCTCCAGATGGCCCACTGGGAACTGGGACACAGTTCTACTCCCAGCTCCGCCACAGGGTGCTGGGCTCCTCAGGCTTTATGAGCTGCCTCCCCATCTATCAAACAGCACTATTGCTTTATGGATTAAATGCAGGCAGGCAGCAGGGAGAAAAACTTACATATTTTGAAGTTCAAATCAACCACATGACTATAGGAGGGTTTTGTTCCTTATTTTCTGATGTCATGGTCTCTTCCTCCCTGCAGGAAGAGAGCTCTCCCCTCTCCTAAGCTTCTCCTAGAGAGGCCTCTCCAAAGACGGAGCCCTTGGAAGTGAGAGGCAGGGGTGGGGGACCACCAGGCACCTAATGACCACCAGCTGCTGAGGAAGGTGTGCTCCCAGCTGGCGGCACGCTCTCTCTGGTGGGCACAGAGGAGCTGAACGCTGGTGCATGCACTGAGAACAACCCAGTACCAGGCGATGACCTTCAGAATCGCGTAGCTGAAGGACCACCAAAATGGGCACAAAAGACTTCTTTAAAGGGGCCTCGCCCCCAACCGTGCACCCACACCAACTGTGTACGTCGACCGGATGGGTGCTGCAAAGGACAGGCAGGTAGCCAACGGCCTTTCTGAGGCTGTTTTAAGCATTGTTACATATTTCTTCAACTTAAAACAGCCTTTTCTTTCCTTCCTTCCTTCCTTTCCTTCCCTCCCTCCCTCCCTCCCTTCCTTCCTTTCCTTCCCTCCCTCCCTCCCTCCCTTCCTTCCTTTCCTTCCCTCCCTCCCTCCCCTCCCTTCCTTCCTTTCCTTCCCTCCCTCCCTCCCCTCCCTTCCTTCCTTTCCTTCCTTCCCTCCCTCCCCTCCCTCCCTTCCTTCCCTCCCTCCCCTCCCTCCCTTCCTTTCCTTCCTTCCCTCCCTCCCCTCCCTCCCTTCCTTTCCTTCCTTCCCTCCCTCCCCTCCCTCCCTTCCTTCCCTCCCTCCCCTCCCTCCCTTCCTTTCCTTCCTTCCCTCCCTCCCCTCCCTTCCTTCCCTTCCTTCCTTCCCTCCCTCCCCTCCCTTCCTTCCTTCCCTCCTTCCCCTCCCTCCCTTCCTTCCTTCTTTCTTTTGTAAACAAATCAAGTGCCTTTCCTTCTTCCCCCCTTTTTGCTGAAATCTGCCTTACAAGCTCAGCTTTCCAAAGGACTTCCAAAAACCCAAGCTTGTTGACTTCATCTGCCTGTCCTAAGACAAGCAGATCCATTTCAAGGGTCTCTAAGAAAAGTTTGCTGACTAACAACCCATTCCTCATTTGTTTATTTCACAGATATTTCTGAAGACTGGCTGGCTTGGGGTACGATACAGAGGGCAGGCATGGCAACAGTCAAAAACCAGCCTCGCCTGGCCTCATAGCCTTCCAGAGGGCTCATTTTTTACTTATTCTAAAGCCTGCCTTGCAATTTACATACATCTTAGTTTTCTCGAGTTCACGTCAAAGTAGAGAACCACTGTCTTCTCTCAGTCTGATGTGCTTTTTAGAACGGCCAAACTTCACACTATTGCCCAATGTCTCATCACTGCCTAAACAAACACCTTCCCTTTGAAAGAGGTTTGCAAACTACCATACGCTCTGCACAGGTGTGGAAATAACTAGAGCGATGGGCCCCTGCAAGACGCTGCCTCGTAAAGCCTGCGACAGCAATGGAGGTCGTAAGACAGCTGGAGTCAGCATTTGGGTTTCTCCTGCATATGTCTTAAACACACTCTTTAGTGTTCTGCAAAATTGAAAATTACAAAATACTAACTTAATATCGATGCTCTTGCAATGTAAAAAGAAACATTTTCTTGGAAATTAAGCAGACCTACAATATTTGGAGCTGTTTTTGAGGCATTTATAAATCATGGAAACTCAGTGGTCCTTGCTCCCCATTCCCACATGGGAACGCCAGAAAAACACCCAGTTCCTGAGCTCCTGTTTGGCAACAGCCTTTACCTTCAGGGGAAATGCAGACTCCTTTTCCCATTTGGCGACCCTCCTGGACTCAAAGGGACCGAACTGTGTCCGCTTGACGAGCTGAGTGATGGCGAACACCCCCTCGGCTCCATCTTCCAGTCGTCTGATCTCCAAGTTGGGAGGAAGGGATGACCTGGAAATGGAATAAAACAAGACTCAAAAGAGAGCACTCACACCCAGGGACCGACTCGTTAAGATAACCTAAAAGCTCGCCCTCACTGACCGCCAGGGTTCTTCGGAAATAAAATTCTCCAGGTGATAAAATAGAAGCCTTCCAGGCCAGGCTTGGTGGCTCACGCCTGTAATCCCAGCATGCACTTTGGAAGGCCAAGGTGTGAAGACTGTATAAGCCCAGGAGTTTGAGACCAGCCTGGGCAATATGGTGAAACCCTGTCTCTACAAAAAATACAAAATATTAGCTGGACATGGTGGCATGTGCCTGTAGTCCCAGCTACTCGGGAGGCTAAAGCAGTAGGATGGCTGAACCCGGGAGTTTGAGGCTGCAGTGAGCCAAGACTGTGCCACTGCACTGTAGCCTGGATGACAGCACAGGACCCTGTCTCAAAGAAAAGAAAAAAAACAACAGAAGCCTTCCTAATAGGTGCTCAATGATGACTGAGACTGAGGTTGTGATGATGCCCTCGGGCTGTGGCAAACTACCCATAATCTTGTGGCCTTAGCTACACAAGGCCGACCACAGGGCCCTGGTGAGATTCACCCAGAGCACACCATGGCGGGGCTGTGCACTGAAGGATGGGTTTAATTCCCCGTGGGAAAGACAGTGCCAACAGGTGCATCCCTGGTGGGGCTGCTACGGGACAGAACAGGGTCAGACTGGTATGGGGTCCAGCGATGGAGGAGGGACCACAGGGAACTCGCTGCTGAGGAGCCATATGAAGAGCACCCCGAGAAAGACGCAAGGGCCATGGAAGTCCCAAACAGAAAGGGTTTCCAGCCAAGTGGAGCGGGCCAGTTTCACTGAGGATGTGACCTCTTTAACTGAAGTAGAAGAATGTCAAGGACTGGGGTCTGGGGAGGAAGGCATAGGAGCCGGGACGAGCCCAGGACACGTCCAGGACAGAGGCGGACATGGGGTCCCCAGAGCACAGGCCCCTCGGACAGAGGCGGACATTGGGTCCCCAGAGCACAGGCCCCTCCGACAGAGGCGGACATTGGGTGCCCAGAGCACAGGCCCCTCCGACAGAGGCGGACATTGGGTGCCCAGAGCACAGGCCTCTCCGACAGAGGCGGACATGGGGTGCCCAGAGCACAGGCCCCTCCGACAGAGGCGGACATTGGGTGCCCAGAGCACAGGCCCCTCCGACAGAGGCGGACATTGGGTGCCCAGAGCACAGGCCTCTCCGACAGAGGCGGACATGGGGTGCCCAGAGCACAGGCCTCTCCGACAGAGGCGGACATGAGGTGCCCAGAGCACAGGCCCCTCAGGGCGGGCAGGAGGCCGCTGAGACAAGGAGCCAGCACGGAGGGTCTGACTGCAGGACCAAGGGTTTCAGCTGAATTTTCATGGGCAACAGGCAGTCCCTGAGGGTTCTGGGGAAGAGGGGGGTTGATGGGAAGAGGGGGGTTGATCTACTGTCTACTTTAGGCCAAAACATTAATCTCTTTGAGTCACACTAAGAAAAAAAAATAAATGAACGGTGTTGTGGGGCAGTGGGGAGGCTCCTGGAAACAGTTCTGGAAAGACGGCGGCCACCTGTGCAGCGGCAGCACGTGCCAGGTACCATCACCCACAACACCACAACCACCCCACGGGAACTGCCATCCTCTACAGAGGCCACCGAGGTCCGGAGAGGAGTGCCTTGTCCAAGCTCACCTGCCCTGGGCCACCAGGTGGCACAGCCTCCCCCAGGTGAGGGTGGAACGGCAGGGCAGCTGCTGCCCACTGAGCCGCCTCACCAGGCCTGCAGGGACTGCTTCTGGAAGCTGCTGTGGGTCAGCCCTGTCCCTGTCCTCATAACCCCGCATCCCCTGCCCCGCCTGGGTGTGCACGTGTCCGCTGGCAGGCCAAGACCTGGAATGCAGAGAGAAGCCAACGAGCAGACCTCCAGCTTGGCTGCTGGTGCTCAGCACGTCAACCACCTTGGCAAGTCCACTCTTCTGCAGCCTCCACACACTGTGTCGGGAACAGCTGGGCTCCAGCTAAGAACCCTGGAGTGGATCAAAGAAACTCACTCTGGAGCTTTGAAGCACGTGTTTTGGTGTGTCCCGGCAGCAACGCTGCTCAGTTCACAGTGGGAGCGGAATCGCTGGCTCTCACTCAGAGTGCCTCTGTTCTCCCTCAGGCTCCTTCCTCCCCGTCTGCAGACCCAAAGGCCACTAGGCTCCTGCCGCAGCTGGCATATGGAAGGCCCGGGAGCTCACGGCGGTCACTCACCTTGCCCTGCTTAACACAAAGGAGTCTTTGACCATGACCACTGGGCCCAGCTCGGGACATTCGGAGTCGTGGTACTGGCTGCAGTCTTCACACCCTGCAAGCAGACATCCGGGCATTAGAGCACCCAGGGAGGGAGACACCTAAAGAACACAAACCTGGGAAATGGGGACCCTGGCCCCATGAGGGTGACCCAGAGTCATGAGACACATGCATGCCGACACTGCAAAGACAAGCAAGGGAGGGTGCATTGGATGGCAGAAGGCCTGTGTCCCGAAGGCCTCTGTCAGCACTCGTGCACACATGAGGAGTGCAAAGGCAGGACACGCCCCCAGGGAAAGCTCTAGCTCCGCCGCACGCCTCAAATCAAGCACGGTCACCTCCATGGTGACGAAGACCAAGACCCTCCCCAAAGAATGAGCATAAATGAAAATGGCCAATGTTAGCAGGTTCATCCCTCCTGCCTAGCCCTGGATTACTTTTCTGAATCAAGTGCTACCCCCTGCAAAGTGCCCTCGGCCAGGAGTTCTGAGAAAGGTGATCCTATTAAAACCATACCCCTGTAGTGTACTGCTTATTAAATAAATGTTTCATAGGGAAATTTTAAATATATAGCTTTTCTATATTATAAAAACCAAATGTAGACGTGGCTTTGCCCAGACAGCAAGCGCCACGCCCATCTGTGTTCTATGACATAGGGCTGGTCTCGGACCTGGGACAGGTCCCTGGGTCACTTACAGATGAACATGATCTCTTCGCTCCCATCTTCAGCCATCTCTGACACCTGTCAGGATACAAGAGAGCCTCATTAATGACAAGCTCTTACCAAAATACTTTTGTTTTGTTTTTGAAATTGAGCTCCCTCTGTTGCCCAGGATAGATAGAGTACAGTGGCAGGATCTTGGCTCACTGCAACCTCTGCCTCCCAGGTTCAAGTGATTCTCCTGCCTCAGCCTCCTGAGTAGCTGGGACTACAGGTGTGAGCCACCACACCCAGCTAATTTTTGTATTTTTAGCAGAGACGGGGTTTCACCATGTTGGCCAGGCTGGTCTCGATCTCTTGACCTTGTGATCCGCCTGCCTCGGCCTCTGAAAGTGCTGGGATTACAGGTGTGAGCCACCGTGCCTGGCCTCTTACCAAAATAATGTTTAAAGACAATTCCTACTAAAGGCCTCCTCCAGCCAGTACAGGAACATTACGTGGTGTTCTAAAGAGAGCACACAGTGGGGTCTCCTCTTATTGTGGGATGGGGCTGGGATCCCTGAAACATCTTCTCACCTCAAATAATGTTATTTTTAATGAAAGCAATGGATTTGAATGGCCTCATGAACTCAGACTTTCATCTTTTCATATTAGCCATCAATTTCCATTTTTAAAACAAATATATCACCTTTTTTTGGTGACAGGGTCTTGCTCTGTCGCCCAGGCTGGAGTGCAGTGGTGTGATCAAGGCTCACTGCAGCCTCTACCTGCTGGGCTCAAGCAATCCTCCTACCTCAGCCTCCCAAAGTGCTGGGATTATGGCACAAGCCATCGTGCCCACCTATATCACCATTTTTAAAAAGCCGGTTGTCACTTTTTTTCCCCTCACTCCTAACCTATGCCTGGTGCCCCATAAACACTTGCTTCTCTGGGGACTAAATCAATGCGTGACGTTGTGGAGGACTCTCGTGCTCCCACATAAGCTGTTATCAGATCCAATAATTCTATTCCCTATCCATCCTTGAGGTTCACCTCCAGAAACACTTGCATAGTGGGTAGATGAGCATAAACTGACACCCCCCACACACATATATTCACAGGGTGGATCTAGACATTGTTCATTCTGGGGCCTCACATTCCTGGGCTGTAAAATGGAAATAAAAACACCCACCTCATGCAGTTTGGGAGGAGCATAAAGTGAGATACACACAGTATGTGCCACCAAATGATTATTCCTCCTCTGCCCCCCCCCAATCCCCAACTGTGCGCACCGGCATGTCCTTCCTGCAACCTGCTTCTCTGATGCCCGTTGCTGAGTGGTTTAGGAAAGTGTGCATGCTGGCACTTCTTGAATGCTGATTCCACACGCCCTCCACCCCGCTCATCCCCAGCAGCTTGAAGGGTGAAAAGCAGACCGTGCAAAACTCATATGGAAACTCACAGTCACTGAACTTGTGTGTCTGAGAGCAGTGCCGGGTTGAAAACTTCAAGTTAGGAGAGTGAGTTAGCTACAAGGAAGTGAGGCAGAGGAAAGAGAGTTCCAATTTGCCCTTAAAATGCCAGAAATAACAAGGGGAGGGGGGTGAAATTTTCTCCCAAAACAGCACTGTATCTTCTTTTCCTGGGAACACACATTCACGTTCAAAGGTATCTCGTGCGGCTCTAGCAAGTGTGACTCAGTTTCATAGCCGCATTCGGCCTTGCCTGCCCCAGTTCCTGTGGATGGGCACCTCGGCGCAAATAGGGACCAGTCTGGGATGGGGGCTCAGCTGGGCAGTGAGCAGGAGATGAACAGGACAAAGGGCAGAAGAAACCCAGAGTGGGGTGGGGAGGGCGCACGCTTTCATGAGTTGCTGCTGTGCTACTGGAGGTGTAGGACCTGCGTGCCCCCTGCAGGAACCCACGTGACTCACGGTCAGGAGCTTGGGCGATGGGAACGATAGGCCTTAAGAGGCGCCCCACACTGCGGTCAGATCACCGCAGAACACAGAGTCCCAACAAAGGTATTGGAATCGGAGTGGGAGGATGGAAGGAAGTCGTCCTGGCCTTGCTTACTTGGGAGCCTGCACGAATCCCCTGAGGCCTTGTGTGGCCGCCTCTCCCCGGGGCAGACCTTGCCTCTGGCCTACACCTCTCACAGACTGCCCACCCCTTCTAGGTGCCCCCAAAAAAGGTCCCCTCTGAGCGGAGCTGCTGGGAGAGGAAACCCAGAAGAGAGGGGCGAGGGAAGCTGGAGAGCAGGGTTTTAGCCCCCTGTGCTGCACTCTGATTCTATGTAAATGTCCGAGTCCTGGCAATAAGGGTCCCGATTAGCAGCATCTGGTCCCCAAAATGAGGCCTCTCTAAAACGGCTCCTCTGGGCCCAAGATCAGAGGCCACAGCCACCCTGGGCTGCAGATCAGGCCTGATAAACGGAGCATCTTCAAAGTCTTTGCTGTCTTGGCAAAACTCCCTTTAACACTCAGAAAGTGCCTTCATAGAAGGGGAAGTGTGGTCTCCAGACCTCTAAGGCACACAAGACATCCCAGAACAAGGCACACAGGAAGTACTGTTTCAGGGAAAAGGAGAGGAAAAAAGAACTAGAAGTTCGAGATCCTGGGCAGGCGTGTGGCTCACGTCTGTAATCCCAGCACTTTCAGAGATGAGGACGGGCGATCACTTCAGGTCAGGAGTTCGAGACCAGCCTGGCCGACATGGTGAAACCCCATCTCTACTAAAAATACAAAAACTAGCCAGGCGCGGTGGCACGTGCCTGTAATCCCAGCTACTCGGGAGGCTGAGGCAGGAGAATCGCTTGAACCAGGGAGGTGGAGGTTGCAGTGAGCTGAGATCACGCCCCTGCACTCCAGCCTGGGCGACCGAGTGAGACTCCACCTCAAAAAGAAAAAAAAAAAAAAAGTGTGAGGTCCCCCTATCTCAACCACCAATCCTGGGAAGACTTACCTTACATTAGTGATTTCAAAATGTGGTCCCTGGACCAGGAACCAGCAGTGCCAGCACTGCTTGGGAACATTTCAGAAATGCACATCCTTGCCTCCCACCCCCAGACCTGATGAATCAGGCTTGGCAGAGGGCCCTGCACTCTGTTTGCAAAACCCTCCACGTGGTTCGGATGCAGCTCAAGTCTGAGAACCACTGCTCTGCCTGAAAAATCTCTTTACAATTTATATGACTACTACTACAAAAACTAACTAAACACACCTGCCATCACAGTAAGACCACAGTAATAATATCAGGAAACCAAACTTATCAGAAATGTCAATTAAGCTCAGACCAGGACCATCTGCATCTAACCTGGTGGTAAACGGGAAATGGGGGGTGACTTCAGGCAAATGGGGGGTGACTTCAGGTTCCTTACACGGAACGCTCCGTGAAGACACCTGTTAAAAACAACTTTGAAAAAGAAGGCTGAAGTGACAGACTCAGTCTACCTGACTTCAAACTTAATTATCAAGCTACCATCATAAAAACTTTGATACCGGTGAGAAGGTGGACAGAAATCAATGGAACAAAACAGACAACCCAGAAATAGACCTAAACAAACATGCCCAAAGCATTTTTTTTTTTTTTGAGATGGAGTCTTGCTCTGTCGCCCAGGCTGGAGTGCAGTGGCGCGATCTCAGCTCACGGCAACCTCCGCCTCCCAAGTTCAAGCGATTCTCCTGCCTCAGCCTCCCGAGTAGCTGGGATTACAGGCACGTGCCACCACACCCAGCTAATTTTTGTATTTTTAGCAGAGACGGGGTTTCACCATGTTGGCCAGGAGGGCCTCGATCTCTTGACCTCGTGATCTGCCCACCTCGGCCTCCCAAAGTGCTGGGATTACAGGTGTCAGCCACCGCGCCTGGCCTGCATTTTTTTACAAAGACAAAAGCGGATTGGATTTTAAAATCCAAGCGAGGAAGGGCAACCATTTCAGCAGTTAGTGCAGGAACAACTGGGCATCCACAGTTCATTCAAAGAAATGAACTATAACTTCATATCTTACTAGAAAATTAACTCAAAATGGATCACAGTCTTAAAACATAAAATATTAAATAATAATAGAACTTAGAAAAACAGAGAAAATCTTTGGGCTCTAGGGCAAGCCACAGTTTTTAGGCTTGTCACCAAAAACACAATCTATAAAAGGAAAATCATTTGCATCTTCATTCAGAAGGCAACAGGCAACCCAAAAACCAACATGTCAAAAAGTAAAAACATCTGGATGCTCCTGACAAAGTCTCTCTGCCCCCACCTCCTACATCTTAGGACGCAGTTGTCAGAGAGACCTGGAACCGCTGTGACCTCTCTCGCCTCCCTCTGACACCCGCCCATCACCCACTACCTGCAGCCCCCCTTACTACCTCCCTTGGCCACATCCCACTTTCTCCCACCTGTAAGGCTGCAAAGGGTCTCCAGATAACTCTTCCTCCTCTGCCTGGGCCGCCAACCCATTTTCCACACTGCAGAGCAGTTCTTCTAGAACATAAATCCAATCACATCGCTTGCCAGCCTGAAGCTTCACTGGCTTCCCACTGTCCCAGGAACAAAACCCAAACTCCTGCACATGACCAGGCACTGCCTTTCTCAGCAGCCTTCTCACCTCACCTCCCCACCCCCACCCTCTCCAGCCACGCTTCCCGGAACGCCAAGCTGGGTCCTGCCTCTGGGCCTTTCCACATGCTCGCCCCCCAAGGCTGGCCCTCTCCCCAGCCCTCTCTGCAATGCCCGCTCACTCCTCAGTCCCCACTCCCCACTCCCCTGCTCAGTCCTCACTCCCCAGCCCTCTCTGCAAGTTCCCACTCCCCTGCTCACTCCTCACTCCCCAGCCCTCTCTGCCATGCCTGCTCACTCCTCAGTCCCCACTCCCCACTCCCCGGCTCACTCCTCACTCCCCTGCTCACTCCTCACTCCCCAGCCCTCTCTGCCATGCCTGCTCACTCCTCAGTCTTAGCTTAACGTCACTTCTTCAGGGAGGGTCTCCCTGATCCACCTGTCCACAGCGTGGCATGCTTTCTAAAAGCGCTCTGCGATTTCCTTCACAGCACCGTCACCCGTGTAGCCATGCCTGTGTGTGACTGATCTCATGTCTCTCCCACCACACTTCAACGGCCAAGAGGGCAAGGCTTGTGGCAGCCTTGCACAGTGGGATATACTTGGACCCTCCTCGGCACCAGCACACGGGACAGGTCAACGTCTGATAAGAGAATCAGCCACTTCCTGGTACACCCCCTAACACACCCCAGGCTGTGGACGCGAGGTCCACCCCAGGCACAGCCACTTCCCCTCAGTCCACCATGGGGGTTCCACCGTCTTTCAAGACAGAGCCCTAACCTCACCCTCCCTGACACCTTGCTCCCTTCAATTACTCTCACATCCTCTGTGATCCCCCCAAAAAGCTGACTCTTCCTAAACCACTATCTCAGTTTCACATAATGTCATGCACATGGTCTGTTTTTTCTACTAGATTTATTTTCTTTCATTTTATTTTGACACAGTCTTGCTCTGTCACCCAAGCTGGAGTATAATGGTCCCATCACAGCTCACTATAGCCTCAAACTCGTGACCTCCTGCGATCCTCCAGCTTCAGCCTCTCAAGTAGCTGGGACTACAGGCACGCACCACCATGCCCAGCTAATTTTTTAATTTTTTGTAGAGATTTGGTCTCACTATGTTGGCCAGACTGGTCTCAAACTCCTGGCCTCAAGCAATCCTCCTGCTTCAGCCTCCCATTTTGGATTACAGGTATGAGACCCCACGCCCAGCCTCTACTAGATCTTTAACCATGAAAGACAGAAGCTTAAAAGTGACTTTTCCACTCACTCCTTTTGTTCAATTCTTATGTATTTTGTATGTAGCACCCTATGTATAAGAGAGCCCTGATAAATCTTTTGACCTGACACCTTCTTCACCTCCAGATAATTAAGAGTGGTTGGAAAGTTCCAAATGTTTCATTTGCACAAGTTACGCCAAGAAAGTTCAGAAGTTTAGTCAGATTAGCACTAAGATCTGGAGGAGAAATTTTACATGTTCCATATAAAAAGGGATTTTAAACTTTTATATTATTGTTTTCGATATTTACAAAGCACCTAGCAAGGTTCCAATGCTACCACAATGACCTGCGCTTGGCCTCTGCCATCCCCCGTCCATGACAGGAGGTGGCCCCGGCCTGGGGTCTCTCTCCTTAGTGGCCTCCAGGGACCACCCTGGTCTGGCTTTGGCCAGGCCGCTGCCTTCCCTCCACTTGACACTAAGCCTGTGTATGGGGTTCCTGGTTCACGTACTTGAAAGAAAGTTCAAACAAAGCCTGTGCTACTGAAGAAATCTTGCAAGCCAACAATGCTGTTCTTGGAATCTGCAGCCTGGCACCCACAAGACCATCTTATCAGCTCAAACAAAACGAAGTCCATTTCTTGTCCAGATATTCGTGGGACACCTAACATGGCCAGCTGGTGTTGAAGGGGCTGTTCATTTGGGGCAGCAGAACGAGCACAACGCTTCCCCCCTTCCACACACACTACACAACAGAGGGTGCGACCGGGGCCTGCACAGGGGAAGCCAGAGAGGGCTGGTAGAGCCCAGATCCGGCTGGACCACCTGACCCGCATCTTGATTCCTGGGGAGACGCCACAACACCTCCACTCCCTGGGGAGACCCTACTCACTCCCTTCTCAGTACAAACAGGGAAAGGTCTAGAACAAGGAATCCGAACTTTCTGTTGTTACCAGATGGGTGGATGGGTTCAACCACAACCTGCTCGCCTAGCAGGGTGACCTCCCCAGACAGGGCTAAGGGAGCAGGGACTCCTTTCTGTGCTGAGCTCTGAGATGTGGGGAGATGCCCGACACCCTCAGCCCAGAAAGCCCAGAAACCTCACTGACTATCTGAGTTTTGCACAGATTTTCTATTCACACACAGAGTGACCCTGCAGAAGGCAGCCACTCAGGGGCCTCTGCTGCGCCGGTAGTCAAACTTCGTAACACCAAAAGGAGTTAAGATGCAACTCCTTTCTACTCTAGCCCTGACCTCCTCCGTTCGCAATCTTCCCCAGGGCTGGGGGCAGATTTTCCTGGTTCCCCCAGGAAAAGTTTTGTGCAAAGGGTCCTGAAAGCAGTGAAAGGAAAGCAAGCTGAGGCTCTACACACTTCAGCAGAACAGGTGAAACATACATGTTGAAGAGACAGAGTCTCACTATGTTGCCCAGGCTGGAGCGCAGTGGTTTTTCACAGGCGTGAACATAGCGCACTACAGCCTCAAACTCCTGGGCACAAGCGACCCTCCTGCCGCAGCCTCCGCATAGCTGGGAGTACAGCCGTTGTGCCCAGCTTGAAAAACCGTTTTGAGGATTATTTATTAATATGATCTGCAAAGGCTGAGGAGGTTTAGAAAAAGCTACTGGTTTTGAAATATTAGGAAATGAAAGCTTCATGATTTTAAAAGACACATGTCTGGAGAAAATCTTCTCCATCTGTACAATTTTGTCATTTCAAGAATGTCACATAGGCTGGCACAGTGGCTCATGCTTGTAATCCCAGCAGTTTGGGAGGCCAAGGCAGGTGAATCACCTGAGGTCAGGAGTTCAAGACCAGCCTGGCCAACATGGCAAAACCCCATCTCCACTAAAAATACAAAAATTAGCCAGGTGTGGTGGTGGGCGCCTGTAATCCCAGCTACTTGGGAGGCTGAGGCAGGAGAATCACTTGAACCTGGGAGGTGGATGCTGCAGTGAGACGAGATCCACTGCAGCCTGGGCAACATTGTCTCAAAAAAAAAAAAAAAAAGAATGTCATATAAATGAAATCAGACAGCCTGTGACCTTTGAGATTGGCTTTTTCTAACTGAAATAATGCCCTTGAGATCCCTCCAGGATGTTGCCTCTATCAAAAGCTCATTCCTTTATATTGCTGAATAATATTCCATGATTCGAGTGCATTACCGTTTGTTTAGCAATTCACTCACTCATGGAAGGACACTTGCAATTTTTCCCACACGGGGCTGTTACAAATAAAGCTGTTAGGAGCAATCGTGTACAGGTTTTTTTGTACATACGTTTTCATTTCTCTGAGGTAAATGCCCAGGAGTGCAATGACTGGGTCATCTGTTAGGAGGATGTTTCGTTTTTGAATAAACTGACAGGCTGTTTTCCAGAGAGGCTGCAGCACTTTGCACCTCCCACCAGAGACACAGGAGAGATCCAGTTTCTCGGCGGCCTCACCAGCATCTGGTGGGTCACTATTTTTTATTTTAGTCATTCTGGCAGATGTGAAGTGGTGTCTCCTTGTGGTTTTAATTTGCATTTCCCTAGTGGCTAAAGACGCTGAACATCTTTTCACGTGCTTGTAGGCCACATGTATTAATATTAATAAATCCTCTTCAGTAAAAGGTCTCTGCATCTTTTGCCCATTTTCCTTTTTCTTTTTCTTTTTTTTTTTTTTTTGAGATGGAGTCTCCCTGTCACCCAGGCTGGAGTACAGTGGCATGATCTCAGCTCACTGCAACTTCCACCTCCCAGGTTCAAGCAATTCTCCTGCCTCAGCCTCCAAGTAACTGGGAGTACAGGTGCCCACCACCATGCCCAGCTAATTTTTGTATTTTTAGTAGAGATGGGGTTTCACCATGTTGGCCAGGCTGGTCTCGAACTCCTCACCTCGTGATCCACCCGCCTCGGCCTCCCAAAGTGCTGGGATTCCAGGCATGAGCCACTGCGCCCGGCCCTCTTGCCCGTTTTCTAGTTGGACTGACAGGGTTATTTTACGGTTGTGCTTGAGAGTTCCTTATCTGTATATATAGATGCTTTGTCGCATGTAGTTTGCAAGTATTTTCTCCCTGTCTGGGGCTTGTCTTTCCATTCCTCCCACTCCCAGTTTAAGGGTCTTCTGCAGAGCAATGGTTTTTAATGTTGTTGAAGTCAAATGGATGGACCTTCCCTTTCACAGACTATGCTTGTGATTACCACATCTAAGACCTCTCTTCACCAAGCCCAAGGTTCCAAAGACTTTCTCCTACGTTTCTTAGAAAAGGCTTTAAGAGGGAGTCTCACTCTGTCGCCCAGGCTAGAGTGCAGTGGCGCGATCTCGGCTCACTGCAACCTCCACCTCCAGGGCTCAAGCGATCTTCCTGCCTCAGCCTTCCGAGTTGTTAGACTACAGGCACACATCACCGGCTATTTTTTTTTTTTTTTTTTTGAGACATGGTGGAGTTTCACTGTTATTGCCCAGGCTGGGGTCCAATGGTGCGATCTCGGCTCACCACAACCTCCGCCTCCCAGGTTCAAGTGATTCTCCTGCCTCAGCCTCTGGAGTAGCTGGGATTACAGGCATGCACCACCACGCCTGGCTAATTTTGCATTTTTAGTAGAGACGGGGTTTCTCCATGTTGCCAAAGCTGGTCTTGAACTCCTAGGCTCAAGCCATTTATCCACCTCGGCCTCCCAAGTGCTGGGATTACAGGCGTGAGCCACCAGGCCCAGCTAGAAAAGTCTTATAAGTATACATCTTACATTTAAATCTGTTATCCAATCTGAATTAATTTTTGTATAAGCTGAGAGGCTGAGGCTGAGGTCCACCTTTTTGTCTACAACGCCCCATGGCCTCGGCACTGCTGACTGGCTTCTGCGCCTCTGTCAAAGCCGGATGCCCACACTTACGTGCATCTATGCCTGGGTCTCCCTTCTAGTCCACTGATCTCTCCAGCAGCACCACGCTCGGCGGAGCCCAGTCAATGCAGTCTTGATGACTGCAGCTTTAATCAAGTCTCAGAGCTGGGCAGAATGGTTCCTCCCACTTTATTCTTCTTTTGCAACGTTGTTCCAGCCATTCTATTCTAGTTCCTTTGCCTTTCCATATAAACTTGAGAACAATCTTGGTTTAAGCCATAAAAATTCTTGCTCAGATTCACATATGTAATTTTAGTAACATTTTATTAATCCAGTACACCCAAAATATTATGTCAACATCTATTAATATAAACAAAGAAAAGATACAATATAAAAAAAGTATTAAGGAATTTTTTTCATACTAAGCCTTAGCAATCCAGTGTGTATTTTACCCTTTCAGCTTCTTAATTTGGACCAGGCACATCTCAAGTGCTCAGAAGCCAGCCCTGGTCTGGAGGCTCAGGGAGTTTTTGTTGAAGCAGGAGGAGCATCTTTCCCGCTGGGCACACGGCCTCGTGACAATATTAAAAGCACTCAGGGAAAACCCACTAACGGAAAAAGCAAACGTATTTTCAAAAATATGCGCCGCAGAACCATCCTGAAAAATGCTGTGGGTGGGCTTCAGGGGGCTAGCGGGTGGGTGGAGACGGACTCTGACTAAGTCAGTTTGTGACACCCTGCAGATTCCCACTCTGGAGTCACGACACACACAGGCACGGCAGAGGCCCCGAAAAGTCCTTCAACAAAAATCTCTGCTGAGATGTGTTCTGTCCAGCAGGTGCCCGAATTTATTTGGGCAAAGAGCACCTTTTGCACACGCTGATGAACGTGCTCAAGAAGGATGGTCCACACTGCAGACTCCCGGGGTCAGCAAAGGGGCAGGGCCTGGCTTTGCTACAAGATAGAGGACTAGACACCAGGCCCAGGGTGTGAGTCTGCCTCTGCTGTTTACCAGATGAGAGAGACCTCAGGTGAGTTATGGCCCCTCCAAGGGCCTCAGTTTCCTTCCCTTACAGTAAGAGGGGTGGCCTGGTACTCACCAAGTCCCTTTCAGTTGGCACAACTTCCAAATTTCAGTTCATTGTTACTGTCTCATAAAGTAGTGTTAAAACACAGATACAGACATACAGATAAAACACAGATACAGACATGTAGATAAAACACAGATACAGATGGGTAGACAGAGGTTTTTTACCCAGCTTCCAAGGCTGTGATGAAATGGCACAATACAGCAACCACTCCTCACTGCCTGCTGCCCAGCAGTTAAAAGGCATGTGTTCTACAGGCCGGCAGTAACTCCCTTTCTTTCTCATTTCCCATTAAATACAATGCTTTCTTCCAGCCTCGTCCAGGGGTTCTGCATGCCCCAGGAGTGTTTGGGGGACTCTCTTTGGCCCTCCATTCCCCCCACCCCCACCCCCCAACCTCCTGCACCACCACCTCTGCCTCTGCCTGGGGTCACCCTCTCTGTCACTGTCCCTCTTAAGCAGCAGCTGCCATTGTTAAAGCCACAGGCTGTCCCTGTCTGGGCCCATATCCTTCCTCCCCTACTGGAGTGAGCCCACCAGGAGGTAGGGCAGGATTGCGTCGCAGGCCTGCACTCGCAGGGCTCAGTGGCTCAGTGTCGGACACCTCATTCCCTAGAGATGTTTCCAAGAGCTGCTCACTGACCCTCTGGTTCCCAATCTGGGACCTGTAGGCCAACAGTGGGTCACGAAAGTAGACATGAGAAGCCCACTGTCCCTCTCCACGTGTCTTGAAACATGACAGAAACTAACAGTGGTCCTCTGTTGTTACCACTGACAGCCAATCAGCAGCCTCCTTCCTGGATGGTTGCTGCTCCTCCAGACCTGCTGCGTTTCATCACCTCTCCAGCACCCAGGCTCAGGACGTGCAGACACAGGGGTGCTCTGACCGGCCCTGCCGAGTACAGTCTCTCCTGTAGCATGCCGGCCTCCACCTGCGCACACCTACGTGACATGACCAGAACCCTCCTTGGCCCAGCCCCGCCCATCTGCAAGGAAGGCCCCAGGATACAATGGAACATCGGGCCCTTTTATTTCCAAGTCTTTCTTTTTGTCTTCTCTAAAATAAAGCAAATAGCTATTATATAGCTAGAAATAGTACAAGGTTTTCTTAAGAGTATTTCTTTTATGATTTCTTCTCTTTTGTCACTTTCTGAACCTCTTGGTTTCATCCAAATGGTATCTATATAAACAGCTTTAAAAAACAAAAAGTGCCCCTTTCCCCTTCCCCATTTGCTATCCCATTCCCCAGGGCGGCCATTCAAGCCTCTTTCTGCTGTATCTGATTCTACATCTCAAAATAACATGCTTCTCTGAGATCCCTCATTTCTCAAACTTGGATCTTGCATTTTTACTTCTTATGGCAGATGAAGGGCTAGCTTTCTTACATTCTCTTCCCCTCCCCTCATTTCCCAGTATGATTATAGTTAAATCGATGTATATATTATGACTCTGAAAATATTGGCTGCCCTAACAAGTTCATTATTAAAACATTTTTTTCTTCAAAAGAAATAATGAACTTAAACAACTTCATTATCAATAACTTTAATTGATTTTTTATATTTGCTTAGGCCTTATTTTTTACACTTTTGACACATAATCAGTTGTACCTATTTATGGGGTACAAACTGATGCTTCTAATGGATAGTGATCAGATCAGGGGAATAAGCGTATCCATCATCTCAAACATGTATCATCTCTTTGTGTCGGAAACATTCAACATGCTGTGCACACATTTTGTTTGCTACCATTGTGCGGGCCAGAGGTGGTGGTTCAGGAGGTCGGGGGATGGTGAGGGCCAAAGAGAGCACAAAACGCACACTCCTGGGCACGCAGAACCACTGGATTCGGCTGGAAGAAAGCACTGTATTTAGTGAGAAATAAGATGAGAAAGAAAGGGGTTTATAGCCAGTTTATAGAACTGTGCTAGGTGGCTTCACGTGCATGTGGCTTGTTTTTGCTGCCTGTGTGCAGGTTTTGTGTGCTGCACGTGCACGGGTTCTGTTGCTGGTGGTGGTAGGAGGGAAAGACACCCATAGCTATAACTTCCCGCACCCTGCGATTGCGTCTCCTTACAGTTTTTCACCGGGTCAGACCAACAAGATGGACCAGGGGTTCCACTGTGTTTCCTAGCACCTCTCCTCCTTGTCCCATGCCCTCAAGGTCTGACAGCAGCTGCATCCTGGGCCTCCCCTTCCACATCAGCCTGGGGGCGCCTGGTTCCTTCTCCTGCATGTGAAGCTGTTTCCTGAGCCTCGTTGCTCCCCTTTCCTTAGTCTACTCCCCGGATCTGGAAAGCACATTTTCCCGTAGTTTCCGTAGGAGGGCGCATGGGGGTATATCTTGTGGGAGGATTTGTCATGTCTGTGAATGTCCTTATTCTACCCTCACACCTCGGTTAGGCTGCCTGGGTACACGGCCACTGGTCACTTTCACTCCGAACGCCCAATGTCCAAGGAAGGACTCCATGGTCCGTCAGCTTCCAGCGTCGTGGCTGATGCATCTGGTATCTTTCCTGCCAGCAAATCTCCTCTGTGCAGCTCTCTACCTCCAGAATCTTTCAGAATTTTTGTTATAGCTCCCGTGACCTGAAATTCTGTGACCTGCTTTGATGCTGTGCACTGACTGGGCCTTCAACCATGCCCTTCAGCCCTACTGTTTTCTTGTACTGTTTATGATTTCTTCTCCGTTCTCACTTTCTGAACCTCTTAGTTTCATCAAAGATGACATCTATATTTCTCATTTTCACATCTGGTTCTTTAAGAGGGAGAGAAAGGTGTGCCCTCTACCATCTTAAAAATGGAAACTCTGCTGGGCACGGTGGCTTATACCTGTCATCCCAGCACTTTGGGGGGCCAAGGTGGGAGGATTGCTGAAGCCCAGGAATTTTGAGACCACCTTGAGTAACACGGAGAAACCCCATCTCTACAGAAAACACAAAAGTTAGCCAGGCATGGTGGCACATGCCTGTAGTCATAGCTACTCGGGAGGCTGAGGTGGGAAGATTGCTTGAACCCAGGAGGTAGAGGCTGCAGTGAGCCGAGGTTGCAGTGAGACGAGATGGAGATCGCACCACTGCCCTCCAGCCTAGGTGACGAAGCAAGACTCTGTCTCGGGAAAAAAAAAAAAAAAAAAGCAAACTGAGGTAGTGTAGACTCTACCACACTGATGGCTGCTCTAACTGGCTGTCCTGTGTTTGCTTAATTTAAAAAAAAAAGGGCGGGAGGACTGACTCCTACTTAACGATGAGGCTTGTGCGACCCTAGAGGGCTTGGATGGTGGAGAGGCTGTGAGTGCTGGTTTAGCGTATTTCAAAAAGCAGACAGAATGAGAATAGGCAGAGAGCAAAGCCTGCAGGTCAGATGTGCTGGGGGATAGGGACCCAGGGAGACAAGAGGCATCCAGATGACAGGACCAGCTAACAGTCAGAGTTGAGGCGGCCTGCTCAGAACAAGGACCCTGTTGACCTCTTGCCTAACGTGGTGCTAAAATAACATTTATGTTTTTGGTCACAATAAAAGACAAACCTACTATAACTAAGCAGCATGCATATATATATATATATATATATATTTTTTTTTTTTTTTGAAACTTACAAAAGGCCAGAGGCCAGAGGGTTACGAGACACCTGAAACACCCCTTCTCAAAAGCAGACTCTGGTCCAGTGAGTGGACAGTTAAAAGTCCAACCGCATTTGCATCCTGCAGGCCCCACCCACATCAAGAATTAAGGACCCTGAACTCACAGTGAGTTTGCCGTGAGCCGCATCACTTAGTCAAGGTTTACTGATGACGCCTGCAGTAGGTCAGCACTCAGAGCTGTCAGGTGCAGACCTGGACCACGATGAACAAGGAGATCGGTCAAACGGAGCCAGTAACAGATGGTGCATCTCAGGCAAATAAAAGCATCCTCTCTGAGAAAGCCGAGCTCCAGTTTTATGTAAGGGTATGGAAGCAAGGAAGAGCTGAGCCGTCTGTGCTCATCAGACCCCACGGGCTTGGAGGACTCCAGGACAGGCTGACACCTGTCATCCCAGCACTTTGGGGGGCCAAGACGGGAGGATCGCTGATCTTGGCTTCTCCTGCTCTGAGTAGGATTCATGTAGGACGAGTGGCTTCAGCAGGGTCCCTGCCCAATCCCAGGTCCTCTCCACCCGAAGCCATCCTTACTGCCTCCTCTGGAAATCCCTTCTGCCCTGGAGGGTCCCTCTCACTGCGTGCTCCCTCCTAAGCCCCTTTGCTGTCTGCACCTCCCCTCCAGAGCCTCCACAGGGGGTACCCCAAGCTGGCTACCTAGACCTCCGTCCCTCTACATGCAGCACTTACCTGCCACCCCCAACTCCCAAGCCGGCATCCTGGCGGCCCCTCGCCCTGCCAGGCCCCGGACGGCAGCTCCACCTGATGCCTGGAACCAGGAGCAGCCAGGCTCTTTGAGTTTTGCCAGTATCCCCATGAAAATATTTCCTAAAATGCCACTCCCTGCATCTCAGCTGACAGTATAAACTGTTCATCCCTGTTTTAAACAGCTGCAAGGGACATCATTTCCAGCATACTGTAAATACTGAGTTAAAATAAAACTGCCATGTCACTCTTGTAAATATATCTATTAGAATCTAGGCACGGTGACGTGACAGCCATGGCCATCTATTTACAACGCACACGAACAAGCTCTTCTTAAGGCCAGAAAGTATACACTTCTTCCTCTAGGAACTCCTATTTCTGTTACTACAAAATGTAAACCCAACGTTATATATTCATGCTTGAAATCACTCTATTGATTCACCCTACTGTAACTTTTTGCAACACAAACATGCATATAAATTGAATTCGTCTTGATTTCCTACAACCATAGGGCTGTGCTAACGTCTCCCGAATCATCACCGCAGTACACTCGTGTGTAGCTTCCTGACAGGATTCTGAGAAATGCATTGCTATGGGATTTTGTAGTTGTGCAAACATGATAGAGTGTACATACACAACCCTAGATGGTATAGCCTACTACACACCTAGGCTATACGGCCCAGCCTACGACTCCTAGGCTGCAAACCTGTACAGCACTTAACTAACGGAATACTGTAGGTACCTGTAACACAATAGTAAGTATTTGCTTATCTAAACATAGAAAAGGTAACGTAAAAAATGCGGTCCTATCATCTTACAGGACCAGCATGGTATATGCGGTCCACCATTGAACCATATCTCCTTTTCACAGTGTGACTACAATTGGAACACCACTGATCAAAACAGAAATAGTCTCCACTTCGATAAATCATCATCTGATATAAAAGCTGTGTTTAATAGAAGAGAAAGAGCTTTTTTCCCCTAATCAGTTCACATAGCATGGACAAATGCTCGCCTCTGTCCCTATTCCTCTTTCTAGAAATGCGAGCACAGAGAAGCTGGTTCCAGAAATAAGGAGACGGGAGCAGAAGGGGCTTGGTCACAGCAGAGTCCCCCAATGCCACATCCTCTTGAGTTCTGAGCCTGAATTCATCAAAGATCAACTTGTCATCAACGATCACCATGAACACCGCTGGTGTAGAGGCTCCCGCAGCTGCTGCAGACCTGTGGCCCACGGGGGAGCCACTCCCCAACACCCTTACATCTGCTGGGACCCCGCAGTTTCCACACCCCAGGGCCATGACTGCAAGAGGAGGGACCTTTCCTTAGGAGGAGCCTTTTGAGGAGCGGACGTGGCCCCGGGGCAGGGTCTTCTCCCACTCTGAGGGAGAGTTTGAAGATGTCTGCTCTACAGGGCCCCTGAATGCCTCAGGTCACCTGCACCTCAGTAAATAGTAGCTCCAGTCACCCACCATGCATTTCCAACCAAACCAGCAGCAGGCCTGCCTGGCTCTGGAACTAGGCTCTGTCCTGCCCCATCTCCCCTTCTGCCTCCGAGTTCTGTGGAGTGGAATCATGCAGGGCCTGGATTCCAGTGATGCCAGCTCCATTCCCCACACACAGCCAAAAGATGCAGACTCTGCCCCGCCACTGCTCAAAGCCCCTCAGTGGCATCCACAAGGCAGTCAGAAGAAAATCTCTGCCTGGTGCATGGCCCCTGCTGCCCCACCTCCATGGCCACACTGGCCTGTCCCATCCTGGGCTCATCCCACCCCAGGGCCTTTGCATTTGCCACCATCTGCCTGGTGGGGGCAGGCACCACCGCACCCACCTCCACCAGAGGCTCCCTCACAGCACTGGTCTCCACTGTGGCCCCTCCTCAGACAGCCCCTTCTAGTCCCAGCCCCCAAGTGCCCCATCCCCTGCCCGCCACCTGCCTGCCCTCCTTCCTTTCTTCATGCTCTTCCCATCGTCTTACCTGAGAGTTTTATGATTTTCTGTCTACACCACCTCCACTCCCCTGCCCAGAACATTAGGTCCACCAGGTGCAGCCCTCTCTCCATTCACTACAGCGTGGGGGCACATAACAGGTGTTCAGTAAACATTGGTGGAAAGAATGCATGAATGGCCGAATGAATGAATATCTGCCCACACCAGCACTGTGAGGGGAGCTGAGCAGGGCCATCCACACTTTGCAAATGAGGAACGGAGTCTGAAAAATCATTTAAGTCACCGCTCACCATCCCAACCTCTTGAGCGCACGGGTGGAAGACACAGTTGCCTTAAATCTCCCTTCAATCTGCAAAATGGCAGGACTGTTCTTTCCTGGCCTTCTGTACAGATAATGACATCGAAAATGATATGAGAGCCACATCCTAAGTGAAAAGAGTTCTTTGTCAAATATAATTATTCTAAGACAAGCTAGCAGCCTTCCAACTACAGTTGATTTTTAAATTTATTTATTTGTCTTCTGGAGAAATAACCGTCCCGCCTGCTTCCAAAATGGAACATTTAGCTTGTTCTTTGCTGGCTACTTTGCGGCAAAAAGTATGAATCACAGATAGAAGAAAAACAAACTATAAAAAAAATGGTGTTTTTGCTCTTGAAAGTCTAAATTATAGAGCTACTATTTCTTAATCGTTCACCGTGAGGCAGCGATGTCAGGAAATCTGGGGAAGGAGTGAAGCAGTGAAAACGTGGAACACGTGAAAATGTCCGAGCTTGAAACAAAATACGGTAGTGGTGTGTGCACCGGGGTGGGATCACCACCCTTATCGAGTGTTGACATCATTGCATTCTCCAAGGAGAACTGTCACTGCTACCTTTTAAGGTACATCACAAAGCCAGTGGCTCCTTCACATGTCACCACCCTTCAGGAACCAAGCTAGGTTCTCCAAATTCACTTGAGTCTGGCTTAAGCCAATGTGGTTTTTTTAAAACGAGTGTTGGTAGCTTTAAATACACACACAGGTCCACGTGTCTCTGATCACACACTTGTTTCTACCGTTTTAAACTCCCTTTGGGGACTTGGGGGTGAGGGGCAATTTCTGAGCATTTGTGGGGGAAAAAACCATCCACTACATTAGGGGGTTAAGAAAGGTAAATGGGTGATAACTCTAACCACCAGATAGGAGTGTTTATTTCCATGAGTTTTCATTTCTATTTTCTCAAGGCTAACCCCTGCGTGAACACCTCCCCTCTAGCAGGACGCTGCGCGTGGCCCCCGTCCCCACCTGTCCACGCGAGGCGGGCCTCACCTGAGCGGCCGGGCACGCCCCGTCCCCGAACGGCCACCCACCCCGGGTAGGCACGCGTCACCTGTCCATCCACCTCGCTACCTTCTCTCTGCCACCAAAAGGCTTACGAAAATAAGGCGCAGGGGGTCTGGGAGACCCCATCACCAGGACTCAGCTTCTCTAAACGCGGGGTTGGGGGTCCAGGGACCCCCCCGTGCGACCCGCATGGGCTGTACCCGAGGGCGGGGGATAACGACATCCCCTGGGGCCTCGGCGACGACGCCGCCCGGCGGCGGGGGCCGCGGGGCCGCGGGCCGGGGCGGCGAAGACCCTGCGCCGCGCCCACGGGCGAGCGCGGCCCGGCAGCCCCGCGGCCCCGCGCTGGGCCTGGCCGCGGGCGGGCGGGGGGCGCGAGGCAGGGGACGGGGGCGCGGAGCCCGGCCAGGAGCGCCCGCGGCGGCGGGACCCGGCGGGCGGGCGGCGCGCAGGGCGATCCCGGAGCGGCTCCGGGAAATCCAGCCGGGTTTTGACTCCGATCGCCAACGGTGCCCGCAGCCGGCGAATGTAACAAAGAACAGTCGGCATGGCGGCTGGACCGGGGCGGCGCGCGGCTGCCGGGCGCGGGGGGCGGGGGGCAGCGGGCCCAGGGCGCGCCGGGGCTCGCGGGGGCAGCGGGTGCGGCCCGGGGCCGGCGGGGCGCACGCCGGGGCGGGCGGCGGGCGCAGGGCCCGGAGCTTTACCTGCCTTTGGAATGTGCAGAGCGGGATCGGATCCGGACTCCGGGTTGCGATCCGCTCCGGAAACTGCGCAGCACCGGAAGCCGGGGGGCGGCGGCGGGGCATGGCGGGACTTGTAGTCCGCGGGCGGGCGCGGGGGGCGCAGGCGAGACCCTGGCGCGGCCGGGGGTCCTGCGGGTGGGACTGCGGGGCGCGGGCGGCGTGGACGGGGCAGCGGGCGCGCGCGGGGCGGGTCTGGCCGGAGGGAATTCCGCGCGCGGCCCCCCTCCCACGTGGCACGGCCCTGCCGCCCACGCGCGCGGGCAGCTCCCTCTCCACCTCTCCTCGGACGCGTTTCTTGCGGAGTTGGGGAGTGGTGGCGGTGGGTGGGTCGAGTTTTTCTCTAGAACAGGCCTGGGACTTGCCCCCACTCACGGTGACCTCTGGATTTGGCCGGCGGGGCCCTGGGACACGAGCTCTGTGCCCGCGAGGGGAGTCTGGCCTGGCGGGCTCCGCCACGCTACCGGTGAGCACCGGGCCAGCCGCGGACCTGGCTCTCCATTCTTCCCCGGGGGCCTGTGTGGCCTCTCTTGACCCCCTCCACCAAGTGTGTGTGCCATCACAAAACGTGAGACGGAGAAGGGACAGACTTTTCACCTTAGTCCTGGCCGCCCATATTCAGAGAGGCCGACTGTCTTGTTCATTGCTGCCTGGCAAAAACCTACATTCATAAAGAGAAGTGATGAACCGGGGAAAATGATTTTAAATTGATGCCACAAAAGGGCTCGTTTCCCTCATGTACGTGAAACTCTTGTGAACCAATAAAAATATATATGTATATAGAAAAATGAGCAAAGTGTGTGGATGGACAGTTCGTAGGAAATTCAATGGTTCTTAAGCATATGAGAAGCTATTCAACTACGCTGCAATAAGAGAAAAAAAGTCGCAGTGGGATCATTTTTATTAGATTAGCAAAGATTTTTTAAAACGTTTAATACAACCTGGGCAACATAGCCAGACCTTGTCTCTAAAAAACTTAGCTGGGCTCGGTGGCACGTGCCCGTAGTCTCAGCTACTCAGGAGGCTGAGGCAGGAGGGTCACTTGAGTCCCACAGTTTGAGGCTGCAGTGAGCTGTGATCGTGTCACTGCACTCCAGCCTGGGCAACAGAGTGAGACCCTGTCTCAAACAAAAACAAACAAAAAAAAGTTTTAATAGCATAATTTTGAAGAAACTAGAGAAACAAGCTCCTTTACGGGTAGGAGAATAAATTAGCGTAGTTTCCATTCAGATATTTGTGGATATCCATAAAAATTCTAAATGCACATAGCCTTTGACCCACATGCAGGAATGGTGCCAGAGACGGACTCGCTTGTATGAATGGCATATGTGATCATCACATTTGCTTACATACTACGTGCCATCCCATGGGAAGTGTTGGATGCACCTGGGCACATCCATAGGCTGCAACGCCGGGCAGCCGGAGACAGATTAGGCAAGTGTTGATCTGTGAAGGCTGGTTTCTCTGCCTGGCCCAGCATTCTACAGTGGCTTCCATGTTGCACTATAGTAGGCCATCCCATGGCCCCCCAGACCTTTCTGGAGCATCCCCGGCGTCCACTGTCTCCCTGCTTGTCCCCACCTGCGACTTCATGCCTCCCTCCAGCCTCCTGTCCCTGAAGCCTGTTCCCAAGGCCTTCTGTACTCTATCTTCAAACACTTCCCAGGTTTTCCACAACCTTCTCTGTATTCAGGTCTCCGCCCAACCCCACTCCCACCACCACCACTACAGCTAATGGACATTCCCTCTATACACGCACCTCCAGTGACATCACTCACAGTTCCAAAATGGCCAGATGACTGGTTCTGTGGGCCTCAGGACATGAAACAGTCCTCGGCATATGTGAATAAAAGGTTGTTTACACTAAAAAAGTGACAGGTCCACAGCAAGTGCGAATAACTGAAAGTAAACCAAAGACTTCAACCTCCCCCAGGCCATTTCTCCTATTACTACATACAGCCCACGGCTGGAATTCACTTACACAATAATCGTCATATCTCGTCTTCAAGAGGATTGTCAATGTGTCCACTATAATCCTTCAGAACAATCTAGAAATAATACCTCTTAAGGCAGATTCATCTCCAAAATGTTAAAAGAAAAAAAAAAGTTTTATCTTAAAGTGTCAAATTTTCATTATTAACAATTAATGCAATATACAACTTTGAAAAATGGGCAGAAAGAAAGAAAAAACAACTATAAAGGTTGTTATTGAGGAAAATGGAAAATCTGAACGTGAACAGTGATACCGGATAATAGTATTGGATCAATGTTAAATTTCCCAAGGGTGATCATTGTATTGAAAGTATGGTAGCCCGTGCCATTCATTGTTCTCACCAAATTGTTCTGAAGGATTTAGGGTGAAATATTGTGATATCTGCAAACGTGACAGAGACCGAGAGAGAGCAGATGTGGCAAAACTGGTGAATCTAGGTGAAGGCTATATGGGTTGTTCCGTAGGTTTGAAATTAAAAATAAATGAGTTGAAAATTTAAAAAACAACAGACAAGAGCTTCCATGGCTATCAGTGAATTTCCTTGTGAACACTTAATTCTTCCTGAAAGATACTAGATGGGATTAAGATGTAATTAATCACTGAGGGCTATGCCCGCAGCCCTGTGGACCGCCCGCCCGCCCGCCTTAGATCAGTACTTTTCCAATTAGCACGTCTCCTGGGCTCTGGTTTTGTTATAATTCAAATACAAACCTACTGCTGTGCAAAGCATGATAGACATCCTCAACCACCTCTCCAGCCACCTCCAGCTTTTAAGAAAAAAAAAATTGGCTAATTTTTCTCATAAAGAGGGAAGTCTGATCATCAGCGAATAAGTTAATTCCTACTAAATATGAAACATTGACTCTCACTTCATGTTATTCTCACCCAAAACAGGCAGCATTAAAGTTCAAAAAAGACCATATATCCTTGAAGAGTAACTGCTGAACTTATTCACTGGCAGTGGGCCTTATAGCACAGTGAATGACCAGGTTAGAGACATGCTTCACATTTGCTTACATACCCACAAATTAGGGGATGATGTATCTGGACTGTCTAGTAGAACTTTATCATAGGAGTATGTAGATTTTCCATGGAGTGCTGTTGTGTGACTTGAATTTTAGTCTTGGCCCTGCCTCTGACTTCCTCAGTGATTTATCCTGGTTCCAGGGAAGGAGACCAGCCTTTTCCTCATGCTAGTCTTTGGTGGTTTTTAAACATTTGTTTAACTCAACAAATGAAATGTATCATATGCCTGACACCGCTACACCAGTTTTTTTACATATAAAATTGTTAAAAATTTTTGGCCAGGTGCGGTGGCTCACGCCTGTAATTCCAGCACTTTGAGAGGCCAAGGCTGGTGGATCATTTGAGGTCAGGAGTTTGAGACCAGCCTGGCCAATGTGGTGAAACCCCATCTCTACTAAAAATACAAAAATTAGCCGGGCATGGTGGCGGGTGCCTGTAATCCCAGCTACTCGGGAGGCTGAGGCAGGAGAATCACTTGAACCTGGGAGGCGGAGGTTGCAGTGAGTCGAGATCACGCCATTACACTCCAGCCTGGATGACGAGAGCGAGACTCCTTCTCAAAACAAAACAAAACAAAAAAACATATAGGACCATAGTCCTTAATCTCTCCAATCGACACAGGCAGAGCCAGAGACTCACGGCTGTGAGCAGAGGTTCTCCAGGCAAACAGCCAGTGCTCAAATTCTGGTCTAGCCAGCTGTCAGCTTGGGCAAGTTACTTAACCTCTCTGTGCCTCAGTTTCTTAACCTGTAAAGCTGAAATAGATCATGCCCCATGGAGTTGTTTCAGAGAGTATATGAGTCACTACATATAAAACTATTTGAAAAATTCTTGGCACATATTGAGTGTGCAATTATTATTAGCTATTGTTGTGATCTCAAGTCTTTCTCTAACTTTATTTATTTTATTGAGATGGAGTCTCACTCTGTTGTCCAGGCTGGAGTGTGTGATCTCAGCTCACTGCAACCTCCGCCTCCCAGGTTCAAGCGATTCTCCTGCCTCAGCCTCCCAAGTAGCTGGGATTACAGGCATGCGCCACCAGGCCCAGCTAATTTTTGTATTTTTGGTAGAGACAGGGTTTCACCGTGTTGGCCAGACTGGTCTTGAACTCCTGACCTCAGGTGTTCCGCCCGCCTTGGCCTCCCAAAGTGCTGGAATTACAGGCGTGAGCCACCGCGCCCGGCCTATTATATAAAAGCTATGCTTGCTACCGAGCTAGACTATAAATTAATACATCCCCTGGGCTTAGTCCAGTGCTTCACCTGGTACAGCAATGATGATCACCAGCTGATAACCCTTCTATTAAGGTGCCCAACGTACCTGCACGTCCAACTTTATAAATATCGATGACATTAATATAGACCTATAAATACATAGGCAACTAGTTTTGAATGCCTGTTACAGCAGGGCGTGACTCGCAGTTTCCACTGTGGACAGTCACAGTGTGGAGCTGGGGAAGGCCAGTGGAGGAAAGCTGTTTCTAGGTCATGATTGGGAAGGAGGGCCTGGCCTTGGCAGCTTTCTCTCTAGGGGGATCACTGTGCTATGTCAGCCATCCTGGTGTCTAGCCCCCTTTGGTGAGTGATCTGCATTTTAAAAATAAACTTTATTGACATATACACACATCACCCTGTCTTTGTAGGGGTGCTAAGGTCAAAACAGCATGTGGTCATCCCCTCCAGTGTCCTGCTCAGTCCCCAGCACCAGGTCCTGGGCGATGGAGGGTGAGGTGGGTGGAAGCAAAGCTGCTGTCTGTGCTCACGTAAGGGTCATCAGCTGACCTTTGTCCTTGCTCTGCTAGGTGGGCAGTGACTGTACGAAGCCCCGGGGGATACAGGAAATGAGAGCAATGCAGGACAGTGAAGCCTGAGAGCCGGAGGCCTGGACCGTGCCGCTGCAAGCACGCCAATTCCGCAGCCTGCAGAGAAGCTCCTTCGTGGGGAAGGCAGGGCTTGAGTTGGGTTAGACCATTCGAAGAGTGAGTGTGAACTGCTGGGCACGAGGATGCACACTCCAGAATGACCGAGGGTGGTTGAGTTGGATTAATTTGGGCAGTGGAGACGCATTGGCAAACAGTGCTCATCTGGAGGTGATCAGCTTAGGAAAGTTGGTAAATTAGGACAAGCTTGGCCTCCAGCAACTCAATCCAGCCTCCTCCTGGAGCATCAGCACAAAGTGGGTCCCTCTGGCCACACAGAGGAAGCAACAGTTCAATCACTGGGTCCTGAACCACTTCTAACTCCAAACAAGAGGCACTGCCATCACCACCTTGTGGTGCCCAGGAAATGGAGCAGAAAACCTGGAACCCAGCTGGGAAGCATCGGGCTCCCTCTAAGGGTCTACACGGTGTCTAGCGAGCGGGCGGGACAGCTGAGAGGAGGGGTGGGCAGTGTGGGGACAGGAGGCTGGGCCTGTCCAGTAGCTTTCTCCAGGACACCAGCTCTCCACGTGCTCTGCTGTCTGGGCACCGCAGGGGGAATGAAGACTGAGGGAGACCACGGGAACTGATGACTAGAAAGAAGGCACGATGCCTGCATGGGGCCCGCAGGACACGTCTGTGACCCGACTCGACCGCCTCCCTCCCAGAACCACCGTGAGCCCCAGGCAAGTGCCGACGCTGTTCCACCTGTGGCTGAGCCAGGTACCTGTCCCCTCTGCATGCACCCGGGCCACCCACCGGGGTGGGGAATGGACAGTGAAGTCCAAGGATGACCTGATGAAAGGGGCGCTCAGAGAAGACCCTGGGACTTCCAGGACAGAACAGGACTCGGGAAAAACAACTCAGTGTAGTGTTCTGTGTGCACATTTATTTCTTTCAAAGATTGTTTGTGTTCCAGCCACATCTTCTCCAAAGGAACCCACCCAAGCCCGTGTGCAGGCTTGCTGCAGGGCTGTCTTCGGCGTTTAAAGTGCTACTGAGGAATACAATCATTGTCACGTAAGTTCATCACCGCACTCCAGCGTCAGGCCAAACCTTTCCGTGGACCTGGAAAACCTGCCACTTTCTTCTCTTTTTACAATGCAGTTTCGACATAACATTGGTAGAGTAAACAACAAACCACAAGCCTAAATGATGAATGGTGCGCTGCTGCCCAGCTGCTAACTGAGAGAACGAGGCAGTGTATTGTGTTTCGAATGCAAACGGTCATGGACCCAAGTTAACCTGAGTTTGCTCTGCAGGATTCCGCGGGGGCCTTGCCCTGTGCAGGCTGCTTTGGTCTTCGTGTCTAGGCCGGTTTGGGGCAGTGGGGAGAGGGCCTGGCAGCAGGGTTTACGCCAGCCCCGAGGTCTGTTTTCCGTCAGACAGAGATACGTGTCCTGCCTTCCACCATCCACCAATTTGTACTCTGAAGTTTCCAGATCAAGAGCCGTGAGATTACTACCCAGGAAACACCTGCCTTCGGTGGCCAGCAGTGTAAATTAATCTTTCCCTCTCTGCTCAAAGCAACTTTGCAACTCTCGTCTATAGAGGTGGCCAGTAAAACCCAAGCAAAAATCTAAACGGGCACCAGGTGGCCACTGAGTGGCGACTGGTCGAGTAGCAGTTGGTCATAAGGGATCAGGGCTGGTTTTGAACTCAGACTTGAAACTTGACGAAAATAAAGTGCTCTGTCAAAACTCTCACAGCAGGTTTTCAGCTGGAACAAGGAGATGGCTACTTTTTGTTATTGCTACAATAACACACGCGTGTGTGCAAACACACATAACACACACACACACTTAAAGCTCCATTTCACTCCTCCACAAAGAACAGAGGCACCTCCTTAAACAAAGCAAACGGGGAAGGGTTGCAAGCTCATTAAAACCAACATGAGCACCCAGTTCCAGAGATACAGACACAATTAATCTTAGTGTTCATGAGGAATTGTTTTTAAAACACAACTGGGCAAAACTTTCATCCAGACAAAAGCCAAAAACAAAAGCCCTCAAGCCACAAAAGCTTGTAGAAGAGGTGAGGCGATAAAGGTGATTTACACATCAGTATTTTTAGCATTTGGTGGATAATCTTAATTTATCTTTAACCTTCACAACATTTACTTTGTCATAAATACCCTACACCATGAAAAAACAAACCTGTATAAAACAGCTTGGAAAACAAACATTCACAGTATCAATACAGCCCATTTCTCACGGTGCTACCCTGAAGCTAGCCGACGTGTTGCCTTTGCCTTTGCTTCATAAACTCCCTCCCATGTTGGTGTTTTCTGTAACTTCAGAAAAGGCCATTGGATGGAGACAACGTGTGCGTGTCTACAGGAAGCAGAGCCCTAGACCTTGGTATTCAACAGTAAGCAGCGCTCATGGGATTCATCTGGAAATGGAATAGTTAAAACCTTTTTTTTTTTTTGAGAGCAAGAAGGCTTAATATAAAATCCTGGGGCCGGCCTGGTGGCTCATGCCTATAATCCCAGCACGCTGGGAGGCCAAGGTGGGTGGATCACCTGAGGTCAGGAGTTCGAGACCAGCCTGACCAACATGGTGAGACTCCATTTCTACTAAATAGAATTAGCCAGGTGTGGTGGCGCGTGCCTGTAATCCCAGCTACTTGGGAGGCTGAGGCAGGAGAATCGCTTGAACCAGGAGGTGGAGGTTGCAGTAAGCTGCCATTGCACTCCAGCCTGGGCAACAGAGTGAAACTCCATCTCGAAAAAAAAATTTTTTAAATAAAAAAAAACTTCTGATATCCTTGCACTTGAATAGAGTGCACCTGAATTCCAAAATCAAATAAAAAAGAACAATTAAAAACTTCTCATCAGTGTCTGAAATTCTGACACATAATATCCTCTTGGAATTCTTAAATATGTCTCAGCCTCTTTTTACCACATGGCAAAGAGCAGTAAAACTTCAAGTAAAACATTAAAGTGAACATCTGTCCCATCTGTCCCAAAAGACTAACAGTGATGCCTGACTTTGGGGACAGAAACTTGGTAGTATTCACATGTTTTGAAACTCCAGGTGCTTTTTTTACAATGATTAAAACTGGAATATAATTTTTAAAAACAAAGCAGGTTGGAAAAGTCATTTTAAAGTCACTTGATAATTCCTGGAACACCTAAGAAGTTTGTAATGCGCATTTTAAAGTGAAATTCCTAATGTCGTTTTCTAATCTCTCTCTCTAAAAAAGAAGAAAAAAAAATCCTATAATTTTGGTTTTTATACAGGTTTTTACTAAAAAAGAAAAAAATCCTATAATTTTGGTTTTCATATAGGTTTTTACTAAAAAAGAAAAAATCCTATAATTTTGGTTTTTATATAGGTTTTTACTAAAAAAGAAAAAAATCCTATAATTTTGGTTTTGATACCGGTTTTTACTAAAAAAGAAAAAATCCTATAATTTTGGTTTTTATATAGGTTTTTACTCACCAGTGGCTCTATTACCCCCGAAATATTTAATGTTTAAGGATTAACAAGAGGCTACGGAAGGAAGCTTGCCCATTTCCGTCTCCATGACAGAAGCCAAGCTTTCGTAACAGCCTTTTACATGTCTTTGGAGAAAAGTGAATCATATTAAACTGTCAAGAACACTTCACCCCAATGATGACTGCTCTTTGACCAGCATGTCTACTGGAAGTGGCACATTCAGAAGTGAGATCTGTGAATGAACTGAAATAGAAAGGCAACTGATGAGGAAAGCGACTGGAATGATATTAGGGATATTCAAATGGTGTGCCAGGTTTGTGATGTTTTCCACCAAAACAAACCCAAACAAGGGCACCCCAACCTGTGTCCAAGAGGACTGTTCACAGCAAAATTCTGAAGCGCTCATAGAAGGAATGTCCTGCGAGTTTGGCCCATTTGTTATTAAACTTCCATTCCTAAGACTGACACCTGAGACACAAAATAATTTCCTCTATTGCCCTAAAAAGACTTTGTTTTGGCTACTGGCAGCACTTGGCAAAATCCATGTATGTGTTTGGTTACTGTGTTCTACGAGCGGTCACGTATGGCTCCTGACTTCATCTGACAGGCCCGCTGTGCTCTTGTTTAGCAAGTATGACAGGCAGGAAAAAAAACCCTGGATGTCAACTGCTCCACTAGCATTATTAGAGCTTTTAACACGATAGAGAAAAATGTAAAAACCATGTGAGAATATATATATCTTCCACTTGCAAGTAGGCTCAAAGTAAACTTAGAAAAGTGTTCTGCATACTATGCATAGGATATAGTTAGTGTTCAAGTTCTATGGCTAATATCAAAGGTAGATGACTTCCTACATCTGTCGTAGCGTCTCCATTCTTATCAAAATTTCTCTATTAATCCAAAATCCTGCCTATGTTCCACTTCCCTGTACTCAGGGCCAGCTGCATTTTTTATTCCAAGCAGCAGATGAAGAGAGGTGACCCATCCTTTCCATTCACAGTGACAGCACAGGGGGGCACCTCCTTTTTGTGACATGGTCCAGGCATGGACCCAAAACAACACTTGTTAGTGTAGAATAGGTAAACTAAGTCCCTCAAACCTGCCCTCCACAATCTATTAGAGCATATTATTTCACTTATAATGTTAATCTCCTTCTAATATTGAACCCTAACCCTTAGCTATGAGCACAGCCCAAGCTCTGCAGCTGTCAAGTCTCATTTAGCATCTGGTGGCAAGTTGGGCTTTTTTGTCCTCTCTGGGAGAAGCCTCCTGGCTGGAGACTCAGATTTTGTTTTCCCTTTAAATGACGAGATGGTTGGAAGAAACCCAGCAAGACAAGCGGGGCATCTGGACATCCGGCGGACACACTGGCTGCGTCCTGGTGAGGGTAGTTAACATGGGTGCACGTCTTCTGGCTTGGAGGTGATGACCTCAGGCCCTACGTGCAGGGCTCCACGGGGGCACCGTTCATGGTGTTCTTGTTTCTGTGCCTGGAGAGCAGCTTCTTGTTCAGGATCCTGGTGAGGGTGATGCCTTTCCTCCGGGAACCCTCTGGCTGCTCCAGGAACACAAGGTCATTGTGTGACTGACTCATGCCTGGGTCTTTCTGTTGATGCCGCCGGCGGAAGAACAGCTTTGCACCTTTCCTTAGAATTCCTCCTGGAAGAGGGAGGCACAAGGGCTGGTCAAGTGGGCAGGGAATGAGGGGCTGAATGACTGGTCCAATCGGACAAAGGGAAAAGGAGGCTCGAATGCCTCTAACGAAGGGCCAGTTTACTACTTCAATATGCTGTCACTACCTGCATGAGAAAAATAACTGGAATCTGGCTTGTACAAAACGAGAGTTTTCAAGATGAAAAGGAAACGAGATTATAACAGTAGAAGCAGTAAGCCTGAACTATCGCTTGATATCCCTTTCTAAGGCCGATATTTATATTCCTGAATTTTTTTTCTTTTTTTTTTTTGAGACAGAGTCTTGCTGTCTGTCGCCCAGGCTGGACTGCAGTGGCGCGATCTTGGCTCACTGCAACCTCCACCTCCAGGTTCAAGCGATTCTCCTGCCTCAGCCTCCCAAATAGCTGGGATTACAGGTGTGTGCCACCATGCCTAGCTAATTTTTTTGTATTTCTAGTAGAGACAGGGTTTCACCATGTTGGTCAGGCTGGTCTCGAACTCCTGACCTCAGGTGATCCACCCCTCCCTCAGCCTCCCAAAGTGCTGGGAGCTGGGATTACAGGCATGAGCCACCACACCTGGCTTATATCCCTGATTTTCTATCAGACCAAATGGAGGCAGACAGCTATTGCCTCGGTTGGGATACCTGGGTCCCCTCTGTGCCACCCACTTCCCCTCATTAGGAAGGGTGTAGCTGGCAAAGCAGTACTATGTCCCAGAAAGGATGGTCACACTCATAAAACCCAATTAAGACCCTGAGAACAATGGTATTCACTTTCTTAGGAATGTTAAATAATATTTGCTCTTTTGGGAATAAGATTTTATTAAAAAATAATTCCAGATCCTATCATATTAGGCTATGCCATCTGAAGTTTGTTACTTGGGCATATTTGGCCTACAAAACGTCAATTTTGTGTGGTTCGATGTATCTGCTTACAGATAGATACAGATCTCTATATACAGATATTTACCTGGCTATAGATATCCATCAGGTAGTAGAATACGGAATAGAAAAAAATTAGCAGCAGCAGCAACAATAATTTCAACAGCAATGATTCCTTAAAGATCAAGTACAAGCTAATGTAGTGGGTGCAAGAGCCCACTAATTTGCTTTTTCACAGATTAGTTTAACATCCTATTAACCAAGGCTGGCAAGGTCGAGGGAGTAAGCATTTCAGGCCAGCCTGTGAAATTCATTACCGCTGGCATGTAGGTGGTAATGACTTTGAAAGAAGACAGGTCTGATCATCATGAAGAGGAGCTTTATACCTAATGTGATAATTTATTCCCTTTGTGATAGGCATATCCAATAAACATTTCAATAGCCACGACATATGCAAATCGCCACCCATGTTGAGGAGGTTGAAGGAGGGCACGAAGAATATCAATTCCCTCTTCTAAATGAAATGCACACCAACAATTGTGGCATCTGAGGGCAGTCGGAGAAACCTGACCTAGACCTGCCTATGAATCTTTGTATAATCAAAGCCTACTATGGGGAAAGAAGCATGTGCCCCTGAGCCTGACTTCAAGCAGGAACTACTGTGTCCCATCTGCTCTGCCCAGGTTACAGGACAGAAACTGAGAAGATGAAAGGCCGCAATGGACTGAATTTAATTTGATCAAAGCGGCCATAATTTTTTAAAAACTTGACTCTCTCAACACAACCAAATCACTTTTTATGACGTGTCATTTGGACATTTTTTACAGTGATCTAAAGTTAGGAGCCTGTGTGCAGGGGCTTCGGGGACTGCTGGAAAAGGAATGAAAAAGGTGGGTAAGTAGTGACATTTTTTACAGTGATCTAAAGTTAGGAGCCTGTGTGCAGGAGCTTCGGAGACTGCTGGAAAAGGAATGAAAAAGGCGGGTAAGTAGTATCAACGTGTAAATGATGTCCCTGTTGTCCACAGGCCTAATGGCACACCTGTGGGACATCAGTGTCAGTTCCTGGAGTGAGTCACGTCCCTGAAAAATGCAGCACATCGTGAAAAACCAGCCATCAGCAGGGTGTGTTCTGACAGGTGGATAATGACCCCCAACTGGACATGACTTTGGAGTTTGGCCAGTGGGGCAGATACAGTGGTGCTGATGTGGCTAACTGCCTGGTGTATCAGAGGGCACCTGCTGGGGAAATGCCCTGGGCATGGTGATAGGGGCTCCCAGGCAGAGGAACCCCCAGCTGTCAGGGGGCTCTGAGCTGACCAGGTGACCTGAGGCTGGGGGATGAGGGGGACCTCAGTGGTGTTTCTGATCTATAGGCACCTGCACCTGCCTTGAAGCTCTGCTTTAGGCTGATCTTGGAGGCCCTGAAGGGCCTATGGACAAGGGCTCCCAGGTGGAACAGGGGAGAGGAAGGGGTGGATCCATCAGCTTCACCTGGACTGCTCCAACGTCACCCCCTTCACTTCTAGGGGAAATGGAGGCCTAGGGGGAGGGAACGCCAACCCACCCCCTGGGGTCAACCACAGACCCAAGGACTCAGAACCCCCAGCAGTGAGAGGTTCCCTCCTGCTCCACCTCCAAAGTCCATTTCATAGGCGTCCCTGCACTGAAGCTGGCCTGGCGTCTGTATCCAGGCCTGAGGTATGAGCAGGGACAATGTTATGGGCTGAACTTGGCTCCCCCACCCCCACCCAAATTCATATGTTACAGTCCTAATCCCCAGTACTTCACAGAATGTGACCTTATTTGGAGATGGGGTCCTTGCAGAAGTCATCAACTTAAAATTAGATCATTGGGGTGGCCCGTGATCCAATATGCCTGCTGTCCTTATCAAAAGGGGAAATTTAGACACAGAGACAGACACGCAAGGGAAGACATTGTGAAGGGTCACAGGAAGGATGCCACGTGAAGATGAAGGCAGAGCACAGGGTGATGCTTCTACAAGCCAAGGAACACCAAAGGTTGTCAGCAGCTGTCAGGAGCTGGAGAGGCGGGAGCAGGCTCTCCCACAGGGCCTCAGAAAGGGTGGCCCTGCTAGCACCAGCAGCTCAGACTTCCAGCCTCCAGAACAGGGAAAGAATTGGCTCCTGGTGTTGCAAACACCCAGTTTGTGGTACTTTGATACAGCCCTGGGAGGGGAGGGGGCGCATTTGGCTTAAGGATCCAGGAACGTCCACCATGTCTTCCTGTTCAGTCCTTAGAACCCAGGCAGCAACATGGAGGAGTGGAGGCGGAGAGGACAGTGAAGCAGCATCCTCAGCCCCGAGCCCTCCAAACAACAGGCCTCTAAGGACAACAGGCGTGCAGGCCCTTCCTGGAGAATCTGGCATGATGGGGGTCTGGGGACACTGGGCATGAGCATTTTTCAAAAGTTCCCAGGTCTTTTGAACATGCAGCTGGGGTTATCCACTGCTAGCCCGGGTCTGGCCAAAATGCCACTAGTGCTTAGAGCACTCGGAGGCCACAGCCGACAACGCAGGAGCAGGCCAGGGCCAAGGACACAGGCACCATACCTGCTCTCCTGCATGTCGCTGCTCATGCTCCTTCGCACTTCACTCTGGGGGCCGGCAGACCACAGGGCTGTGTGGGTAGAAGCTGACGCAGCCCACCCGCAGGGCCCGGTGCCACGCCAGAGACGCGCGGTGCGCCCAGGTTAAGAGGGAAATGGGTGTGGAGACAGGCAAGGCACGGCTGTGTTCAAAAGACCTTAGAACAGGAACAGGAGCCAGGCACGGTGGCTCAGGCCTGTAATCCCAGCACTTTGGGAGGCTGAGGTTTGGAGAATCCCTTGAGCCCAGGAATTGGAGACTAGCCTAGGCAACACAGCAAGACCCCATCTCTATTTTTAAAAAATAAAAAAATTAAACTTTTTTTAAAAGAAATAAAATGGGATATGCACATTTTCAAGCAGTTATGATAATTTATGCAAGTGAAATTGTACTACAAGTGCCTAAACCTGGGAGGCTGAGGTAAGTGTTTTGCTTGAGCACAAGAATTCGAGACTACAATGAGCTATGATCTTGCCACTGCACTCCAGCCTGGGTGACAGAACAAGACCCTGTCTCTCAAAATAAAATAAAATAATAAAAATAAAAACTGCCTAAAATTCTAATTCTTGGCATATTAAGATGAAATAGCAAGGATTGCAGCCTGCATGTAAAAAGATGGTAGACAAGAAAGATTCGCACGGCATGTTTGTTTTAACCTCACTCCGGGCTCCAGTCTGTTGTCTGTCCATACCCTGAGGGACTAACTTGTTTCAGTGGCAGACCTCTGCCCCAGGGAGCTCTGTGCCTCTTCTTACACCCTACCGAGAGGGGCTGGTAACAAGGTTATTTTCTGTTCTTCCATCTTCACTCACGCTCTCCAGAGCATGTCTGCTGTTTTGTTAAATTTCTTTTTTTTTTTTTTTTTTTTTGAGACGGAGTCTCGCTCTGTCGCCCAGGCTGGAGTGCAGTGGTGCTATCTCAGCTCACTGCAACCTCCGCCTCCCAGGCTCAAGCGACTCTTCTGCCTCAGCCTCCCAAGCAGCTGGGATTACAGGTGCACATCACCATGCCTCGATAATTTTGTATTTTTAGTAGAGACAGGGTTTCACCATATTGGTCAGGCTGGTCTCGAACTCCTGACCTCGTGATCCGCCCACCTCGGCCTCCCAAAGTGCTGGGATTACAGGTGTGAGCCACGGCTCCTGGCCTGTTTTGTTGAATTTCATAGTTCAACATCAATGCCAGAAACCAGATTATGGTCATATGTGCCCGTGTGCAAATCTTCCTGAAATCGTTTGTGTGACTTGCACACTTTCCCCTAACCTGATAATTTGTCACAGCTTCTAGGGGGATGGCATCAACTTCTCGAACAGGGCACAGTCATGTGCGGGTGGGGACTGAGGTTTGCAGTTCTGTAGACTGGACCCTCAATTATATTCCCCAGCCGCCTCTGAGGAAGGAGGCCTGATCCCTACCATTTTTAGGGTTGCTTTTGGTCACTGTTTTCCTACCTATAGGATTTTAAGACAGATTCCTCAATTAGCTATTTATGTTTGCTAGACTCTGTAGGGACAAATGAGGAAGCTAAGGTTTGGAGAGGTGGCTGGCTGGGGTCGCACACTAATGGGACGGGTGTGTGACATTGCGCTTTCTGGCTCTGAAGTCCATGTTCCCAGGCCCTGCTCTTCCATGCTGCTAAGGACAGCGTCTGAGAAGTGGCCAGCCAGGTGTCTAGAAAAATGGGCAAGTCTGTGGCCCCTGGGGAGGAGACTCCGGAGAGTGTGGATACATCAAAGCCCGTGGGGTCTCATGGAGCAAAGCCCCCTAATCCTGCAAGGACTCGGGCGGGATTCCCAGAATGAGTTGCGTCTCCAGAGAGGCATGCAGGGGGCAGGGGAGGAGGATTCCAGCCATGCGGACAGAGGCCATTCCATTCCCTTTCTCAATAGCAATGGGAAAGCCTGTTTCGACTTGGAAGCAGATTGTTCACTATCACCTTTGGGGTAAACGATGCAGGGAGAACAGGGCCCCCAGATTTGCCAGTGCACACTAAATAGCCGCCCCATGGTGGTTGTGAGGGTCAAGGCTGAGACAGGAGCACACTCTTGTCTGCTGGGCAGTAACCCCATATGGAATGTACCGGTCTGCCCACCTCCACGAGCAACACCTGTGAGGTGTCGCTGTGTCAACCTGGCTGCAGCACCCGGAGATTCAACAGAACACGCACTGAGGTGCGGCTGGGAAGGCATTGTGTAGATGTGGATAACAACTCCAGCCAGTGGACTTTAAGGAAAGGAGATTATCCTGGAGAATGTGGGTAGGCCTCATCCAATCAGCTGAAGGCCCTAAGAGCAAACACTGGTTTTCCAGGGAGGAGGAAATTCTGCCTCAAGAATGAAGCATCAGCTCTTGCCGGGGTCTCTGGCCTGCTGCCTGCCCTGCGGATTTCAGACCTGTCAATCTCATGAGTCAGTTCCTTAAATATGTAACCTATGGGTTCTGCTTCTCTGGAGGACTGTGACTGATCCAGTAACTGATGGTCTGGATCAAGCAGATCATCTGCTTGACTTTGAGCCCGCAGAATGTGTTGCCCTTTGCTGATAGTGAAGTTCACACTACGGTCAACAATAGCCGGGGCCATGTTGATTGCATGAAGCCTGACTACTTGACTCCAGGCTACCTTCTCTACGCCAACAGCAAGAAGCGAGATTTAGACCTCACCCACAACCTTCAAGATTCCTGAAGATAATTTGGGGAGTGGTTATGTGAAATTGGAGGCAAGTAACCAAGATTTTAAATGGGAGACAGGGAGAAGAAGAAAAGTCTTTCCCTGGTTCTAACAAGGTTTAAAAAACAAATCACAAGAAGGCTGAAGTATAAACAAATACGTGAAAGAATTTAAACATAATTAATCTAAATTATAGCTCTAATGTCATAAATATTTCCAAATGTATTCCTATTTGTCTCTACAGAGTCTAACAGACATAAATAGCGAATTGAAGGTTCTGTCTTAAAACCCAGCAGAAAGAAAAACAATGACCAGAAAAAAAAAACAATTGTCTTTGGCTTCCCAAGAACAGCATCGGATTTCAACTGGAACCACAGATGGTCCGTTGATAGAAGCGACTACTTTTTAGCTCTGGAGGACGACAAAAGGAACCAGCTTCTTCCTGTGGGTGTCACAGCGAGGTCGCCTGGCCACATCAGGTACCAGAGCGAGCGCCCTCACCTGATAGGCCCTGTACAACCTCAGCCACAGCACTGTCAGGAGGAACACGCGGAACTAGCAACCTAGGAGGGTAAAGGCGGAGTTGGGAGGGAACACGAGGCAGGCAGGTCGGCTGGCTGCTGAGCTACAGGCTGCACTCCTAGGACGTCTACGTGTAATTGAGAAAAATAAGACAAAAATAACTTACTGTGCAGGCAATTAATTCTGGTTGGCATAGCGATCCTCTTAAGTTAAAGGGAATGAGCATGAGATGAAGAGAAGTAAGAGGCAGAAAGAATTATGCAAGAGCAACATCAGAGTGGACGTGGGTAAGGGTTCTGAGCCATCTACAGACACCACACGCACACAGGACGCCACTGTGCAGGATATTTGGCAAGGTTTCTTACTGTTCCAAGTTTTTTTTCCGAAAACCTCCCTTGAAACTTTTGTGCTTACTTGTGGTAACATACCCATAATATACCCTCTTAACCATTTCTACCGGCACAGCTCAGTGGTGCTGAGTATATCCACGACCAACTTCACTGATCTTTTTTTAAACTAAAAGTAAATAAAAATTTGGGGAATACATTTCCTGTGCGGGCTGGTTTCCAACCAGCAGAACCTCAGGAGGATTCGAAATACACAGGCACTCTCAGAAACCGAATACAAACTCCTTAGCAGGACAAAAGATACAGGTGGTTCTTAAACCAAAAAAAAAAAAAAAAAAAAAACAAGCTTTAGTTTTTAAAAAAAGACATCCTCTATCACCAGTTTTGAAAAATGTTTGGTTGAAAAATGAAAATGACTTGGCACCCATAACACAGAATCGTCTCAGATTGTGACAGCATCTCACAGAGATGCTAATTACAAGTCTCTTTAAAAGCACTGGAAGGAAACATTTAAAACTGCTGCCAAGTATGTCCTGTTCAAAAACCTGGGGTCAATGAGGTAGGGGCGCAGGAGTGAAACGCACGGCACGGCTGAGCCTCTCTGCTGCATTCCCAAATGCCGAGCCTCCGGCAAGTTCTGAGCCTGCGTTGCAGGTGGCCAGCCCCAGCCCCCAACACACCTGCCCGACACCCAGTCCCCAAAGGGTGGACCCCTCATCCACCTGGCCCGTGAAGGGAGAGGAGCAGGGTGGGTGACACAGCAAGGATGGAAACCCAGGGAAAGACCTCCCGGAAGGGAAACCAGACAGGGGGAAGGAGGAGGGGCTGTGTGAAGGAACACAGATCTTTACATGAACAGAGTGAGCGAGGCTTGGCATTTCAGAAGGAATGAGGAGGGCGGACGGGGGGTTGGGTTCTGCCAGGACAAGAGGAAACGGGCCATCCAGTCAGGTAAGGGAGAGGAAGAGCTACCCCACCCTGCACCCATGTTTGTCCCGCTTCGCCCAGCACTCACTGTCTACAAGACAAAGAATAGGCCACAGGTGTGTGTGTCAGGTGACCAGGTCACCTTTGACATAACCCAAGCCAAGGCCTCTTAACAGGAGCACAGGAGCCTGCCACAGAGGTCAGCGTGCAGCTTACAGCCCTCAAGTGCTCTGTGGAGGGGGGTCCATGCATCAAGCACCCCAAGGCCAGGCAGTGGGCAAACAGAGTCCAACGGGTCTGAAATCTTATCCAGGAAATTTCCTCCTTCTCCCTTTCCTCTTCTAACTTTCCATTTCCCCCAACACCTATCACGACTCTGCACTGGCAAGGAGGGGGGCATGGGAGAGGGAGGCCGCCGTGCCATGGCTGAGGGACACAAAGCAAAGACAGGGAGAGAGGGGAAGAGGACAGACTCAGACAGTCCAGCCCATGGCAGGCTGTGGGCTTTGGCACCAGGGACATTTGGGACCAGAGCATGCTGCACTGTGAGGCTGCCTTGTGGGGGCGTGTCCTGTGCACGGCAGGGCGCTGAGTGGCATCCCTGGCCTCTATTCACTAGATGCCGACTGCACCCCAGACTCCCAGCTGTGACAACTAAAGTGTCTCCAGACACTGCCATATTCCCTGGAGGGAAAAAGTGCTGGGCTTGAGAATCACTGGTCTATGGCATCAAGAACAGAGGACAAAAGGCAGCGACAGCAGCGCTTAACAAAGCTCCCCCAAGGAGCCCCTTCGATTTCCCGACACAGATGGTCTCAGGACATCCTGAGATTTCCGCTGAAAGCCTTGGAGCCCCACACAAGAGCCAGAGCCAGGAGTTAATGCTGAGCTTCACCTGAGCTCACGGCTTGGCCTGCCTTGCCCCCAGTCCTGTCTTCTGCACCAAGATGTCCTTTTGTCCCCCGAATGGTGGAGTCAGGTGGGCGCAGGCAGCGGCCATGCTCCTCATCTTATGGAGGAGGATGCTGAGGCTCGGTGAGTCTCACATCTGGAACGGACCCCAAGCCCCTAGACTATATGTCCTTAGCAAATACATTCAGGTTACTCATGCCAAGGCACTGTCTCGGCAAATCTGCACACGCTTAAGGAATTTATAGTTTTAAAGCACGGACTTAGGGCTAATGGAAGCAATCAGTACTAATGAAATGATCACCTCCTCAGCACCCACATATTAAGTTAACCGATTCATTATTCCCAGGAGCTTTTCTCCCTGTAGAGCCTCCTAGGGTCAGGTGGTGAGGTCTGGTTTTGTTTCAGGTGCAGGGAGACTCTTGACAGGCACAAAGGAGCAAAGATGTCCATATCGGCAGTGGAAGGAGCCCCAGGCTCTGCCTGGCTTTGCTCTGAGTCTCTGCAGCCCATCATTGTGTACAGCTCTTGGTAACCCGTCGGGAAGCCAGGTGGAGCAAGCCCAGACTGAGGAAGGGGCCTCTATGCATGGACACACACTGACCCCAAATGCAGAGATGACGCCAACCCTCCCACAGAAGGACCGGCAGATGCCCCACCACGGGTTCAAACATTCAGCACAGGGCATTTCTGGAGGGGCAGGGGTGAGGCTGGGAGGGAGTTTGTAGGGGACAAAGGGAAGGAAGGCAGATGACTTCAGCTTGGAAGCCAGCATGAGCGCAAAGCCACCAAGTGGGGGGCCCGGGATGGGGGGCTCGGGAGCAGGTACCTTTATGCTTTTTGGCAGTGCCCGGCTCCAAGACACTCATGGAGCTCTCTGACAGCTCATCACCGTCGGGGTCCAGCAGGACCTGGCTGCTCCATGCCGCGGCCTGTGGCTCCTTCTCCAAGTCCCAGGAGTCTAGCTCGTCCTCCTGGGGCTTGGGGGCAAGGGATGCCTGGGCTGACTCGGCTTCCTCTGGCGGGGCAGAGGCTGCCGCCCTCTCCGGATGGGATGGGGCGTCCTCCTGGTGGGTGCTGTCCACAGAGGCCGTGTAGCCCTGCATCAGGGCAGCGTCGTGGTCCTGAGATAGTGAGGTCTGTCAGGGGCAGTGGGGAAGATGACAAGGGATACATGAAAGGAAGGGAGGGTTTGAAAAGAACTGAAAAGCACTCTCCAAAACATTCTGACAGCTGATTTCAAAGTCTCAGAAGATGCAGCCGTGGGCCTCATAGAAGGCGCTTATACATCACGGCCGTTGCTCATGCTTGGGTTAAAAAAGGTCTCCCTTACAGCCAGGGCTCAGGATCCCTAGGCAGCTGGGGGTTGGCCCCCGGGGCTCAGAGGTTAACCCTCTTCCTCTCACAGATGGGCCTAGCGGTGGGAGCGTTTGTGGCAAGCTGCAGAAATGAGATGCGAGAGAGAGAGCCCGTCCTTCAGAGTCCACGACAGCACAAAGGAAATGGCCGTGGGTGTTTCGGGTTTAGCTGTCTTTGTTCCTACACGTTTATGTTACCTGCAAGTGGAAATTCACCGGCACATCCTCTCAAAAATTATATTTTGTGTAAAAATATTTAAGCACTAAATGAACCTCTGAGAGTCGGGATAGCGCTTCCTTGGAGGGGGGAAAGTTTGGGGAGGAGGGCACGGGGGCTCCCTTCCTTGGAGGGGAGAAAGTTTGGGGAGGAGGGCATGGGGGCTCCCTGAGGGCCAGTCATGCTGTTCTTGGTGTGGGTGGCAGTGACACAGGCGTTTGCTTAGGGACAACTGTGCTGTTCTGACTTAAGTGCCAGCCTGTGGAAGCGCCCACTGACTCAAGATTAGATAATCTCCCCGTCTCTACTTAAAAAAGTACAAAAAATTAGCTGGTCGTAGTGGCGGGCGCCTGTACTCCCAGCTACTCAGGAGGCCGAGGCAGGAGAATGGCGTGAACCTGGGAGGCGGAGCTTGCAGTGAGCCGAGATTACGCCACTGCACTCCAGCCTGGGTGACAGAGCGAGACTCCGTCTCAAAAAAATAAAATAAAATAAAATAAAGATTAGATAATCTGAGCACCAATAAAAATAATCACTGCGGTGAATTCAGAACATTAAATACTAAGATCCAGGAGTTCTTTGTGATTTTTAAATATGATCTTAGAGAAAGTATAGGGGAGATGACCACGAGTCTTGTCCTTATTTTGCTCATTCATTCACCCAAGAGCGAAGAAAACCCAACTACTGGGCCCCGGACTTCCAGAGAGGTCATGGATCCCTGCTGAGGGCCCCTGGAGGGGCTCAGGAAGCCCCCAAAACACCACCCGCCTGCCTCTGGGACGTGGGGCAAGGCCACCCTCTGGGTACAATGGCAAGGTTGATGACTCATCTCTGGCACCTCCAAGGTCCTGTTCTGGCCTGTCTCCCAGCCACTGAGGAATCCATCTTCTGCGTGCCCTCTGCCCACCCACCCACTCTTTTGTCCAGAATTCTTCCTCATCCCCCTCCTACTCCAAATCAAAATCTTCCCAACTCTCCCTCCACCTGTTCATTTGGAAATGTCAAAAAAAAGTAAGGGCCGGGAGCAGTGGCTGACGCCCGTAATCCCAACATTTTGGAAGGCCAAGGTGGATGGATCGCTTGAGCCCAGGAGTTCAAGACCAGCCTGAGCAATGTGGTGAAACCCCATCTCTACCAAAAATACAAAAATTAGCCAGTCTCATAACAAATTAGCTGGTCTCAAAATAAATAAATAGATAGATAAAAATTTTAAAATCAATTTTAAAAAATGTAATAAAAAGAGTAAGGATCTGTAACATGGCCCTTCACCTGAGGGGCTGGCCTCTCCACAGCTGAAACCACACACTTGCCACCACCTGCTCTGAGCGGACGTCCCAGAGCGGGAGAAGGGGGAGAAAGGGAGTGCGGTGTCCACGGGGGACACTACAATGTTCATTTCTCTCTGATTACAAAAGGAATAAACATTCACTGCAAAAAAGTAAAAGGCTTTGGAAACGTGTCACGTGGAAAGTGAAAGTTCCCCGTGACTGGGTGGTGACGAGAGCAGAGGTTCTGTACCAAAGGGGAGTCTTACATCATGTTCCTCTCTTTCGATAATTTTTCTTGAAATGATTTGCCAACCTCTCAACGTGTAAAGCGTCCCTGATTAGAAAGTCTCCCATGTCCTTGGTGAATAGGATAAACTGTGTAAACACAACACCACACATGACTCCTTTGTGGGGTGAGGAACATAATTTGACATTTGTAAATGGAACTCTCTGGACGTTAACCAAGTGCTTGGGCTAACTTCTTCAAAGGGCAGAGGAGCAGCAGGTCACTGACAGATGACCAGATGAACACCTCCCCAGCCACCACGATGGTACCTTGGAGATCCCTGATATGATAATAGTGCTTTTCTTCCGTGGCGACTTGAGTTTCAGCTTTGAAGATTCACTGAGCTGTCGAATGGCCACTTCAGCCACTGGATCCGAACCATTCAACACCAACAATTCTACCAGAAGGAAGGCAGTGTTAAGTTCATCAGCAAAAATTAAAGACTTCCATGGGAACTTCCAGGGATAATGGAAATGGTCGATAAGCAATGGTTAGCAGATATTTTCTAAAAGGGGCCAAAGGGTCAATTGTTTAGGCTTTGTTGGTGGTCTCTGCAACAACTTCTCAATGCAGCTTTTATAGAGTGAAACCAGCTAGAGACCACAGGTAAATAAATGAGCATGGCTGGGTTTCAGTAAAACTTTATTTACAAAAACAAGTGACGGGCCAGATTTTTCCTATGGGCCATAGTTTGCTGTTTGCTGACCCCTGGTCTACAGCTTGATTCCCTGGGTGGTTACAAGATACTCACTGAAGTGTCTGCTTAAGATTCACCGATTTTATTTATTTAAGTTATACCTGAATAGAGTTGATGGAAAATGGCAAAAGCAAGCAAACAACAAAAAAAAAATATCTAACCCTTTGGAAGATTTTGAACTTTGAAAGGCAAGGTAGTGACTCCTTTTCCCTCCCAAGAGTGCCTAAATACATAGAATAGTAACTAGAGCTATGAAGGGCCAGTTAATAAAAGCACCTCCTTCCCCAGGTTAATAACAACACACACCAGCCAACATCAATAGAATGCTTACGGCAAACCAGGTGCTGTTCAGAGACAGAGCTCTGTGCACATTCTCTCATTTACTCCTATTCCACACCCCATGAGCAGGTCCTTCCTTTTATCCCATTTGACCATTGAGGAGTATGTCCAGCAGCCAGGAGGCCCCAGAGCTGAGATGACCAGCAGGTCTCTCTGACTCAGAGCTGATGCTTGTAACTTACACTTTCCTGCTCAGGTAAAGTCAAAATGGCAAAGCTATTAAAGTAGCAGGATGGTAAAAGGAACTTCTGTCTCGGTTTTGGCCATGGCCTGAGGCTTACAGATGCTGCATTTCCAAAGGGAGTCAAGATAAGACCACAGAGGCCAAGAACCGGTGACAACAGTGACACTGGGGAATAATAAATAGATACTTGGTCTTCCTCCCTGGTTCCTGGCACAGAGAACAAAAAAAAAAATCCTTTGAATTCCAGAGCCACGGAGCTGGGGCATCCTTCTCATTCCTAATAAGCCCCTGCACCCCATCCGAGTGAATGCTAATGAGGACGGGCACTGGATGTCAGAGGCACCAACCCTGTGGTTAGAAGGCTGGAACTTTCTGCCCTCCTCTCGCCTGTGGGGAAGGGAAAGGGGCTAGAGATTGAGCTCAAATCACCAAAGGCCAATAAGTGAATCAATCATGCCTACATACCTACTTATAGAAGCACCATAAACCCCCTAAATGACAGGGCTCAGGGAGCGTCCAGGTTGTGAACCAACGCATGCACGTACTGGGAAAGGGGCGACTCCACGGAGATCAAAGCTCCCACACTCAGGACCCTCCCAGACTGTGCCCTGAGCCCCTTCATCTGGCTGTGCATTTGTGTGATAATAAACTGGTAAACCCAAGTAAAGTGTTTCTCTGAGTTCTGTGAGCCATTATAGCAAATTACGGAACCCGAGGAGTGTGTCATGGAAACCCCAATTTGTAGCCAAGTGGGACAAAAGTGTGGTAACCTGGGGACCCACTATTTGCACCTGACATCTAAAGTGGAAGGGTGGTTTTGTGGGGCTGAGCCTTTCACCTGTGGGATCTGAGCTAACTCCAGGTAATGCCAGAATTGAATTAAATTGTAGGACACCCAGTTGGTGTCTGCAGAGAAACAGAAAATTGCTTGCCATAGAAAATCTACACATTTGGCGTCAGGAGTGTTGTGAGTAGAGGAACAGATTTTTGTTTAGCCACTGACCCACACTGAGAAGAGAGAAGTGCTGGAGAAAGGAGTTGGGGAGGACTCCTTAGGAGAAAGCTGTGCTGTAATTCCCAAAGCCACCAAGGGAGACGTGTCGGGAGCACGTCCTCCTCACGCCAGGCCCAGTGCTTCTGTTCAGTCCCCCGAGAGCCCGGTCCAGGTGCCAGGTGCAGCCTGCACCGTGGCAGGTGAGCCTGGGGGCCGGCTCCATGGACCATGCATCAGAACCCACAGTGGGAACATCAGCCTAGGTCTTTTAAGAGGGATCCTGCCCACGTGACAGGACCCCGCAGCATGGGCAGTGGGGGCACTGCCAGGGGAAGAAACTGAGGAAGGGGCATCAGGGGCAGCGGCAAAAGCATCAGCGGCATTAGTACCAGAGCGGCTCCAGCTCAAATAAGGGCTGGGCAAAATGAGGCTGGGATCCCCTGGGCTGCACTCCCAGGAGGTGAGGTGCCCTTACTCACAGGGTGAGCTAGGAGGTCGGCACAAGACACAGGTCACAAGGACCCTGCTGATAAAACAGGATGTGGTAAAGAAGCCGGCCACAACCTACCAAAACCAAGACGGCAATGAGAGTGACCTCTGGCTGTCCTCACTGCCGATGATACACTGAGGATAACGCATTAGCATGCTAAAAGACACTCCCACCAGCACCATGACAGTTTGCAACTGCCATGGCAAAGGCAAGAAGTTACCCTACGTGGTCTGAAAAGGGGAGGAATGCTCAGTTCTGAGAAATCGCCGCCCCTCGTAGAAAACTCGTGAATAATCCACCACTTGTTTAACATATGATCAAGAAAGAACCAGAAAAAGAGCCAACCAGCAGCCCGTACGGGTTCTCTGCCTACAGAGTAGCCATTCTTTTATTCCTTTACTTTCTTAATAACTTGTTTTCAATTTACTCTGTGGACTCGCCCCGAATTCTTTCTTGCACCAGATCCAAGAACCCTCTCTTGGGGTCTAGATCAAGATCCTTTTCTGGTAACGAAAGGAGGGGCAGGGCCTGCGTCCCAGAACTGCAGGTGGGGGACCCAGCGGGGTAGTATCCAAAAAACCATAAAACCTCCCACAAGAGGAGGAGGCAGTTATGAACTTTCACCAGGCTGAGAATCCAACACCATGTTAAGACAGTGCCCCTCCAGTGAGAACTTTCCACTCCCCTGACTGCCCCACCTTGCCCAGTTGTTGACCTGGGCAAGGTCAGACACAGGACTCAGCGAATGTGGGAGAGCTAAGCAAGAAGGAAGCATCCATTGCCCCTGAGAGCAGGTCACGAGGAGGCAAAGGGAGAAAGTTAATCCCCAAATTTAGATTGCGCAGTGATTTAATGAGTCAGTAAGACATCTCTTCAAAAAGTCTATTACCTGAAACTGACCATAAAATAGGGAATTTGCATTTCCTATTCGTAGTGACCATTTCCTAGTGGAAGGGAAAACTACTTCTACTAAGCTGGTGTAAGCAGAAAGTGGTGAATAAAATTAAAGTGACGGTGAGGACGATGTCCTGAGTCCTACTTATTTGCTATTAATGTAGCTAGCGTGTTGTGCAAGAGAAAAATGAACAGAAAATTTAAAATGTAAAGTCTCAGTTGGCTTTTTATTTTGTTAAAGCATTCCCTAAAATGTAGCAGGAATATGAATGCCGCTCCTGGTCTCTGATCAATTTGGAGTTCCCTTTTCTCCCTCTCCTTCACTCATCACTCATTAACAAAACAAAAGCAAATCAAAACTTTTTTTTTTTTTTTTTTTTTTTAAGAGACAGGGTCTCGCTCTGTCACCCAGGTTGGAGTGCAGTGGTGCAATCTCGGCTCACTGCAACCTCTGCCTCCCAGGTTCAAGCGATTCTCCTGCCTAAGCCTCTTGAGTAGCTGGGATTACTGGCATGCGCCACCACGCCCAGCTAATTTTTGTATTTTTAGTAGAGATGGGGTTTTGCCATGTTGGCCAGGCTGGTCTCAAATTCCTGACCTCAAGTGATCCACCCGCCTCAGCCTCCCAAAGTGCTGAGATTACGGGTGTGAGCCACCACACCAGGCCCAAAACAACTTTTTCCAAATTCTGAAAGGAAAATACTTCATATCAGAACAGCCCAAAAGGCCCAAAGGTGCTAAGAGGGAGAGCGACGTGGGCGTGTCTCAGTTACCTGTGTCTGAAGAAGAGAGTGTTTTGCTGACGGGGGCGCTGCGGCAGGCGATGGCCTGGACAGAGATGTCCTTCTCGATCACCTTCACCTTGATGGGAGTCTTCACCGGAGAATCTGCCAGAGGAAGATCCTGATTACAAAAGCGGCCCCGTGGCTGACTGGATCAACAGTTACCGAAAAGTGAAAGGACAGCCCTCACTGCAACTCTGGTGTGTGCAGTTGGTAAAGGCAAAGCTTAACGAAAGCTGTTTTGAGGGGAGGAGGGGCAAGAGTGGTGTCTGGAGTCCAGGTTGAAATAAAATTTCAGAAACATTTTAACTAAGCCAGAATTTCCCATTCTATTTTGCATCCCTGAACTGTGCCAACTCATGCACTCTGGGAGGATAATGCTTTTGCCCAAGCAGAGATGCAGTATGAATTTTGAGAAATAAAGCATACGCTTATACAGAAACTTCTGTCTCCAAGGCAGTGCCTGTGGAGACAGGTACAGAATTCAGCTGGATCTCAAATGACAGTCCGTCAAGCCTTCTAGCAAACGATTTTTCACAGAAGAAAGTCTACAAGGACCACTCACTTTGAATTTTTCAAGAAAAAAGCGTGTGCTGTCCCCACATACAGGTAATAGAGTTCGTGTTTTGTTTTGTTTTGTTTTTGCTTTTTTCTTTGAAATTTGCTCTTGTTGTCCAGGCTGTAGTGCAATGGTGTGATCTCAGCTCACTGCAACCTCTGCCTCCTGGGTTCAAGCAATTCTCCTGCCTCGGCCTCCAGAGTGGCTAGGACTCCACGCACGTGCCACCACGCCCAGTTAATTTTGTATTTTTAGTAGAGATGGGGTTTCACCACGTTGGTCAGGCTGGTCTCAGACTCCTGACCTCAGGTGATCTGCCCGCCTCGGCTTCCCAAAGTGCTGGGATTACAGGAGTGAGACACTGCACCCAGCCCTATCATTGAGTTCTTAATTTAACTTAGTTGGAGTTACACCTAAGGGCAACTATTTACACTATCTAGATTTTAGCTTCAGAATATACCATGGGAATTGAACCTTGTTTCAGTTTATTGCATATGTGTTTGGCAGAAGAGAAAGATAACTGTCATCCGATAACAACAACAAACTAAGCACAAGTGTGGCCAATTAGCACCCTTCCTGTGCTGTGAGAATTTCCTAACACTCGGCGCTGCAGGCTCCAGAACTCTGCAGTTGTGGGGGCAAGGTGGTTACAGGCAGGCGTCATGCAGAAAGTTCCTCGACTGCGTTCCTGTTGTCTCACCAGAGCTCAGCGGGGACGCCCTCCCCACGTCGACGCGAGGCTTGGTCTTCACAGCAGTGACAGTAGTGACCACAGTCCCACAGGGCATCACCGTGCGGTCCTTTTCTATTTTTGCAGCAGGAACAGGGGGAGGGATGGGCCAGGATTTCAATTCACCAGGTTCCATGTAAGAGAACTGCAGAGAAGACGCGTTACTTGTTTCTGGTTTTGTGGAAGTTGCCCAGGCTGATCAGCCAGGTAACACTGCCTTCTTGTGAAATAACCATAATTCATAATTCCTTCCCTTAAGGTCACTTAGCATCTCCAATTAACCTGGATATTCCCAGAATGGACACAGACCCAACCTTACGCACAGCCAGCTCAACACGTAATGATGGCAACAGAATAGAAGCTGGGGAACCAAGCAAAACTTTCAAAGGCCTTTTTGGGGTAGGTCCATAAAATGGCATCCTGAACAGTTATCTCCTCCAGCAGACAACTCAATTGTACAGTGGACAGAACGTGCTCTATTCGAGTCTGGTCCTGCGTACGATGAAACAGCATCTCCTCTTGGAGGAGGTCTTATTTCACACAGAGGCAGGAGTGAGACTCTGCAGACATAAGTGAAGACGCTCCTTGGGTAAGTGCCCCAAGCCGGAACCCGGCCGCGGCGGACAGCCTCGCCCTACCTCTGCCGTGACCGAGCCCAGCACCGAGCTGCCGCAGGCAGACCCGCTGGTCAGCGTGAAGCTCTGTGGCCCAGAAGGCTGCTTCTTAAATAAGTCCAGAGGAACTGTCGCCGTCGCCAGCAGACCTGAAAAGATAGGAGACAGGCAAGGGGTGCCGCTGATGTTTCCCGGGCTTCCGTGAGGACGGAAAGGCCCACACGCCCAGCAGCCGGAACACGCTCCTCCCGTGCATCCAGCCCACGGGGAAGTGCTCACGTTTCAGAATGTTTGAAAAATGTCGATGCCATAAAAGACAAAGAAAGGCTGTGGAAACGCTGCAGGACAGAGGATGCTAAAGCAATAAGACAGGCAGGCAATGTCCGGCCCTGTGCCGGAGTGGAAAGGTCACTGCTCTGAAGGACATCACGGGGTCGTCCAGTGACAAAAACTGGAAGATGGGCATAAGCTAAGGAATTGCAGCAATGTAAATTCAGGGAGCTGACAACTGTACCGTGGACACAGCAGAGAGTATCTCCATTCCTGGGAAAATACACACTAAAGAATTGAGGATAAAGGGCCAAGATGCATACAATTTACCCTCAAGTTGTGTGTGTGTGTGTGTGTAAAAGAAAATGAGTAAGGGGAGGGAGAGAGAGACCAAGCATGAGCACAAATAGTAGAGGAAACTGGGCAAATGTTAAGGATACGTGAGTTTGAGTAAAGGTTATGTGGCTGTTCTTTGCATTGTTTTTGTAAAGTTCGAAATTTCATGGATTCCATCAGGCTGGGCTGGAACGAAATTTGAGTGAGGCCAGAAGGAGTGGGGACCCAGGAATGGGATCAGAAGTTGACTTCTCTCCAGGTAAACAGCACCCCCATGCTGTGCAGGTCCCCGACCTGCGTTAGGCTTCTCTCTCAGGACTCTTATCTCACGGGCATCCCAGTTTTCTCGGGACTCCAAAATCAAGGAAGTCGCCTCAGGATTCTTGCTAACAACTAGGATATAAAACTAGTTAACTGGGAGAAATAACAACTTTCTCACTTTAGGAGGTAACCAAATGGCTTGATTTTATTGCTGGATAGGCTGGGCAAGGGCTTCCCAATTTTGGTATGTTTATGGGGAGAGTTTTACAATCTAAGAAAATATTTGTATCTTTAAAAACCTAACAAATATTGAAACTACTGATGTGTACACACACACACATACAGGCCCACGTTCATTTTAGTGTTTTAGTGACTTTACCTCTAATTGTTGCTTTCTTGTGTATAAATCCTGAGTTCAATGTAAACCTCTGTAGTTTATTTTACAAGGAAAAACCCAGTGAAATTCATACAGGCAGTAGAGTAGGGATGAAAAAAGCTCTGGAGATAGATGGGGGTGATGGTTGCACAACCGTGTGAATGTACTTACTGCCCCTGAACTATGTACTTAGAAATGGTTAAGACGATACATTTTATGTTGTTTATCTTACTACAGTTAAAAGGTTTTGTTTTTGTTTTTGTTTTCCAAAAAAAGGAGGTCTCTTGGAGCTAAGAGGGTTCAGAACTACTTCTCTATGCCAAGAATTGTTGCATAAAAGATTTTGGATTTTTTTAAAAAAACAAACAAAAAATCCAGTTGAACATTTCCCCAAAATGTATGACCTTGTTAATAACTCAAATTGCCTTTCGACCAAACATTCCCATGGGAAAACCAAAGTCATTTAGAGGAGGGGTCAGCTTCCTCTGCTGGATCTCCCACCGCCCTTTTCCTGAGGCCGAGGTCATGCAGCGGAGGACCTTTCCAGAGGGCGAGGCCTCTGTCCTCCTGCTCAACCCACCTTCTGAGGATCGCCCAGCCTCTGAAATCTGCAGGTGTAACTCCTTCGACTTGGCATTCAACTCGCTTTGGAAGAGAAACAAGTTATGAGTCCTAAAAAATGCAATGCTTGATTCTTTTTATGAAATAGAGTGTTTTTTCTGATTATAGAAAGGAAGACAAAGATGTCAATATTTAACAAACTACCAAGACATATAAGCAAAAAAAGGGAAAGAGTTATCTGCAACCTCCCCATTCGGAAACAGTTACTGTTAATATTCGGTGACTAGCCTTCCAGAGTAGTCAACAGGATGTTCTGTGATGGCAGTGACAGAGAAGCTGTCAAATGCGGTAGGCACGGAGCACTGGAGAGGTGGCCAGTGCAAGCTGAGGAACTGAACGTCATTTTAAAAAATTTCCATTAATTTAATTTAAAGAGACACATGTGGCCAGTCGCTGCCATATTGAAAGCACAGCTATATAATGACCTAAAGACAAAATACGGAACATGATATACCTCCCTCCTCCTTCGTAACCTATTTATTTTCATTACAAAGGCATTAAAAAAAAAAAAAAAAGTAGAGATGAAGTCTTGCTACGTTGCCCAGGCTGGTGTCGAACTCCTGAGCTCAAGCCATCCTCCCACCTCGGCCCCCCAACGTGCTGGGATTACAGGTGTGAGCCGCCGCGCCCAGCCTGTAACCTATTCTTTTAACTGAAAATTTTGTGGATGTCTTTCTGTATAACTACAGAGCAACATCATGTTGGATGGGCCTCTAGTATTCTGCTCTTTGCCCTTAGGAGATTTTATTTAGCCAACTCTTTACTAAACAACCCTTCTTAATGTGTTGGTGGTCCCCACTATTTCATAACTATACACAAGCTGAGAGGCACATTCTTACCCATATATCTTTGCACGCCGTGTGATTATTTCCTTAGGAAAACTCTAATTGCCTGTCAAATGGCATGTGCATTTGAGAGGTGTTTTTCATTTAGGTCGACGGATGGCATCCAGAATGCTTATTCCCAGTGACACCTCCAATGCCATTATCACTCTCTTATTCTTTACCAAGCTGTGAGGTGGAAAGATGACCTCTCCCTTTTGCTGAAGTTTGCATGACTTTACTTATTTCTGAACATCTTTTCAGAAGTTTATGGCCATTGGTAGCTCTGGCTTTTGTATTTCCAGTTCAGGAATTTTGTTCAGTTTTCTAAGGCAGCTGTCATCTTTTCATTCATGATTTATAAAAGCTATACACACACACACACACGGGAAATTTTCTTCCATTACTTTTTCTAATTGTTCATTTTTTAAGGATTAGATTATGATTAATTTTAATACTTTGGTACTCAGCTAATTCATTAAATGATTATGTCTATTAGTTTTTAAAATATTCATTTCTACCTTATATCAATTATTCTTTCTAATAGCTTGGGTTGATTTTCTTGCATAGTCCTGATACGCAGTCATATCATCTCCAAGCAATGATTGGTCTTGCCTCTTCCTTTCCGGTATTTGTGTATAGTTTTTTCCCTTATCTAATTTGCATTAACCAATACTTCTAGAATAAAATAGGCATCCTTCTCTTGATTTTAGTGAGTCTGCTTCTGGTATTTACCATTTATAGTGATTTTTAAAATCTTATTAAAGAAGTATCCATAAATTTTGCTCTAATTAAGTTTTTAAAAATTAAGAATGGGTATTAAATGTCACTGAATGTCTTTTGGACATATGTAGAGAAAATACATTTATTTTCTCTTTTGATCTAGTAATACAATGAACACCATTAACAGATTTCCTTATGAGAAAGCACACATACATCCTTACATTCCTGGTATGAACACAGCTGGTTTTATTTTTCATGTGCTGCTAGATTCTGTTTGATAATATTTTATTTATGATTCTTACCCCATTATTTATGCATGGCCTACATTTTTCCCTATCTCGATTCTTTTTTTTTTTTTTTTTTTGAGATGGAGTCTCACTTTGTTGCCCAGGCTGGAGTGTGCAGTGGTACAATCTCAGCTCACTGCAACCTCTGAATCCCAGGATCAAGTGATTCTCCTGCCTCGGCTTCCTGAGTAGCTGTGATTACAGGCACCTGCCACCATGTCTGGCTAATTTTTGTACTTTTAGTAGAGACAGGGTTTCATTTACCATGTTGGCCAGGTTGGTCTCGAACTCCTGACCTCTACCCACCTCAGCCTCCCAAAGTACTGGGATTACATGTGTGAGCTACTGTTCCCAGACTTTCTTTCTTTTTTTTTTTTTGAGACAGGGTATCTCTCTGTCACCCAGGCTGGAATACAGTGGCACAATCACAGCTCACTGAAGCCTCGCTCTCCCAGACTCAAGCAATCCTCCTGCGTCAGCCTCCCAAATAGCTAGGAGTACTACAGGCAAGGCAAGGGCCACCATGCCCGGTTAAATTTTTTAAAACTTTTAGTAGAGAAGAGGTCTCGCTATGTTGCTCAGGCTGGTCTTAAACTCCTGGGCTCAAGCGATTCTCCCGTCTCTGCCACCCAAACAGCTGGGATTACAGGCATGAGCCTCTGCACCCAGCGCCTTTTTCTATTTTCTTCGTTAGGTTCTGGATTCAGTCAGAGGCTCCCTCCCTTTTCACCCTGGATGATATGTGTGTCTGTAAGAGACCCCACGATGGCTCCCTCTCATCATATCAGGGCAGGAGGAGAAAACTGACTCTAAGAGCTGCCTTTACAACAAAACCCATGTTTGACCTAAAGCTACCTTTAAGATGCTTAAGACATCATTTGTTGTTAACTGTTTTGGTTTAGTGTTTTAGCCTAAACGGTGCTGCAGAATGATTTCAGGATTTGGCGCTCCTGAACAGACACGGCCGTGGACACACAGGCCCATAACCCGGCCAGACTCACAAGGTGAATTCCTCTTCCCACATGAGGTCCGGAGTGTTTTTCGTCAGGGTGCTGGAGAACCTCTGAACAGGATCGTTCAGCTGCACGACGCACACTGCATTAATGTGGCCTGTAATTAAATAGAAGGGCATCGTGTTGGCGTTTATTTTTATTATTTATTTATTTTTTTTTTTTTTTGAGACAGAGTCTCGCTCTGTCGCCCAGGCTGGAGTGCAGTGGCGCAATCTCGGCTCACTGCAACCTCCGCCTCCCAGGTTCAAGCGATTCTCCTGCCTCAGCTTCCCGAGTATCTGGGATTACAGGCGCACGCCTCCACGCTCAGCTAATTTTTGTATATTTAGTAGAGACGGGGTTTCACCATGTTGGCCAGGCTGGTCTCGAACTCCTGACCTCGTGATCCACCCGCCTCGGCCTCCCAAAGTGCTGGGATTACAGGCATGAGCTACCGCGCCCAGCATTATTTTTATTTTTTAAATTGCATGAAGACATTGTATGCATAGAAAAAAAAGGCTAAATTAAATGACTAAGGTCGAGGTTTACCCACTTCAGAGAGTGGGAATTCTTGCATCTGCCATTTTCAAATGCTCATAGCACCAGCCTTTATTGGAGTTAAGTAATTTTTTCCCACATTTGATATCAACAGCCAAGGGCTGTTGACCCCAAGTACCTCGCCCCCTCCGTCAGTGCTGGCCACAAGCGTGGGCTCCCAGGGGGACCCTCCCCGAGAGGCAGCACCATTATATACACAGGCATGGTCCCCACTTTTAGACAAGACTAACAGTTTGCCAAAGCCTAAACATCAGTTCGTGTTGACTCCTAAATTTGGAAATATACCTCACAGAGTTCCCATTTCCCGACTTACACCAGACAGGTGCTGTACCTGATACTAGCCAGGGTATTTGATCCAGGTAGTAGGACATGTCACTAGTGAACAGCTGTTTCTGCTTTGAGACAATGCTTCTCCCTGCAGCACAAAGTCCCCAATACACTGTGGAATCAGTAATTGCTGGAATGTGTGGACGCTGGACCACGCAGCAGCAGGGTGAAGCAGCCTCCACGCATTCGCTACTGAGCTTTCACAGTCACTCTTCAAGAGAAGACTCAGACCCAGACGTGGGGACATCCAGCAGAGGCAGGAACGGGGCCTGGCCTCAGGACAGGTACATGTGAGAGCTGGGACCCCAACCCTGACCGACCGAGTCCAGGGAGCTCACGTTTAGCCACTAAGCAGTACAGGCTGAAAGGGCAACATGTGGGCACTTTTACCAAAAAACATCCTCAACAGCTAGCTCTGCACAGTCTCAGTTGCTAGATGTGGCCCATTTGTGCTTTTGGAACTGGAGGAAGCCCCTTGCAAATAAAGATAAGTCACCTTTAACATACTCGGGCAATACAATTTGCTCCTGTTCTTGGCAAAATGGAGTCGCGCTGTAAAGAGGTGCCCTGTCCCGAGTGACTCTGTGTCTGGGGCCTCAACAGTGATTCAGAACCACCCAGAAGGGGTTATCCATTCTGTGTTGCTTGTCTTGGCTCCAACAGCAGCCATGGTCTCCCAGCATCGGAGTCCCGAGTGTGGCCGAAGCCATCTGATGCCCATCAACTCCCTACATCCCCCTTCACCCACTTTCTAAGAAAGCAGAATCTCCAGCACTTTGGGAGGCTGAGGCGGGCGGATCACCTGAGGTAGGGAGTTCAAGACCAGCCTGACCAACATGGAGAAACCCTGTCTGTACTAAAAATACAAAATAGCCAGGCGTGGTGGTGCACGCCTGTAATCCCAGCTACTAGGGAGGCTGAGGCAGGAGAATCGCTTGAACCCAGGAGGTGGAGGTTGTAGTGAGCCGAGATCGTGCCATTGCACTTCAGCCTGGGCAACAAGAGCGAAACTCCATCTCAAAAAAAAGAAAGCAGAAGCTGCACCTTGGTCAAGGATGCTTAACACATACATACAGGTTCAACAGTTAAAAAAAAAAAAAAAAAGGAAAGAAAAGATAAAAAAGGCAGGACAATTCCAGACAAATGAAAAAGGCCAAACCAATTATACTCCTTTCCCTCCTTGGCCTTCCCACGTGCAGAAACAGGATTGGATTTTTTACCATCTCTTGTTCCCGTTACATTTTCAGGTGCTTTCTGCAACCGTGGCAGGGCTCCCGCTGCACCCCCACGGGAGGATGCCACCAGAGAATCCAAGGCCCCCCGGAGCCCCCGACTCTGCTCAGGGGCTGGAAGAGCCCCTCCAGGCAGGCAGGCTCCCATCGTCACCCACCTGAGGCACCGGGCTCGCTGAGCAGCAAGACGTGGATGTTCCTCACCAGTAGCTTCAGCTCGTGAGCCCTTGGAGGTTTAGGAGGACAGGATTCCTGAGCAGTAGATGCAGCACACTGTAAGTTCTGAAAAAATAAAGAGCACTTTATTTTTGGTCTTCATGGGGAGATTGAGGGCCAAGGAAGTAGCCACTGGACTCCTGTTATGGGGGGTGGTGGCAGTGGGGTGTCTACAGGAAAACCTGCACAGGGAGCCCGAGCTCTGGGATCTGCTCTGAAACAATTTCCCTTCTCACATGAAGGGAGGGAGCCAATGAGCCATCGCCATCCTCCTGCCTGGGAGCATTTTCTACCCCAAATACAGCAAGTACAAGTAGCAGTGCATTCATCCACAGACAGGGTTCCCACAACTTACTTACCACGGGGGAAGATGGAGCTCACTTTGCCATGGGTCTAAACTATCTGACCCGGGCAGGTGCTTAAGAGCATGAGGACCTCTTCCGCTGGCTGCGGGCACTCATGGCCTGCTAGTACAGAGCAGGACACCAGACAGATGGGAACAGCCAGGGCTGTCAGCCCACACCCATTTCCCACCTCCACACAGAGTCCAACGTCCACATGAGGAAAGTCTATGCATACCCTAGCACTGCACAGGTGAGGGGACAGAGGCAGGGGCAGCTGGGACCAGCTTCTACCACATCACATCCTCCAATAGACACCACATCACATCCTCCAACAGACACCAGGGCGTTTCCAACAGAAAGCACCCCCAAATCTGGAAGAGCCCAGCTTCAAACCAGCATTTCCCAAACCGGGTTCCACCTGTCACTCACTGCCAAGAGTGTTCTTTTTTTTTTTTGAGACAGAGTCTCGCTCTGTTGTCCGGGCTAGAGTGCAGTGGTGCGATCTCAGTTCACTGCAACCTCTGCCTCCTGGGTGCAAGCGATTCTCCTGCCTGAGCCTCCTGAGTAGCTGGGATTACAGGTGCCCGCCACCACACCCGGCTAATTCTTTTTGTATTTTTAGTAGAGACAGGGTTTCACCATGTTGGCCAGGCTGGTCTCGAAATCTCCACTTCAGGTGATCCGCACGCCTCAGCCTCCCAAAGTGCTGGGATTACAGGCATGAGCCACCACGCCTGGCCAAGAGTGTTCTTTTATTTTATTTATTTTGTTCGTTTGTTTGTTTTAAGTTCTTTTTCTTTCCTTTTCTAATTATACTTTAAGTTTTAGGGTACATGTGCACAACGTGCGGGTTAAAGAGGCTCTGTTCGTTGCAAGCATTCAGGGACCCAGACGGGCTTCTCGGAGGTGGCGCCAGCCCCCATGCTGTGAGAAGTTTTCAGGCAGAGCTGAAAACTGGGTGCTGATTTGACTGAGCACTGATTTGACTGAGCACTTCTTCGGGGGAATGCTCACTAATGTCTCAAGAGACACAGGTGTTCTTTCCCACCTAGAAAACACTGTTCTGAGCCAGGCACTTCCCAAACGTGAGCTGAGGGTGCTGGAGCCCAAGAAGGAATTGCCGAAATCCCTGAAATCCAAGGACATGAGCACTGGGGACAGAGCAATCTACTTGTCTGGGACAGAGATGAAATCTTTTTTTTCAATTGCTGAGGGTGATGGTTAACTGTATGTGTCGACTTGACTGGGCCATGGGGTGCCCAGATATCTGGTCCAACATGATTCTGGGTGTGACTGACTGTGTTTCTGGATGAGATTAACATTGAACTTGGCACACCCAATGATGCAGATTTTCCTCCCTCTCGTGGGTGGGCCTCATCCAGTCCGTTGGAGGCGCAATGGAACAGAAAGGCTGAGTAAAAGGAAACTCCTTCACTGCTTGAGCCGGGAAAGGGGCCTTTTCCTGCCTTCAGACTTGGACTGAAACAGTGACTCTTCATGGGTCTTGAGCCCAGTGGCCTTTGGACTGGAATGTACGTCACGGGCTCTTTTAGGTCTCAGGGCTTCAGACTCGAACTAGAATTACCCCACAGACTCTCCCGGGGCTGCAGCTTACCAAATGCAGATCTCAGGACGTACCAGCCTTCATAACTGTGTGAGCTGATTACACACACACACACACACACACACACACACACACACACACACTCCCATTGGTTCTGTTTCTCTGGAAAATCCTGACCAATATAATATACATATATGCTATTTTGATTAAATAAACTGTACAAATTTATGGAAAAGCATGATTGAAGTTATGATCGTCTGGGTCCTATTAAATTCATGGATTCCAAAAATATACGACTGTTTTATGAAGCCGCATACATTTTGACATTAAAAGTTGATTGTCACATTCAGAACAGTCACCTCTGATGTGAAATAAGCTACTGTGACAGAAATACTGAAAGGGACAGCGCTGGGACTCTCCTCTCACCTCCCAAGAGGCATGGCCTGGTCCCCTCCATTTGGAGAGGCTGAGTGCCCCCAGGCCTCAGGCCCCTGGGAAGCCCCCCAGACATCCACACCCCTCCTGCTCTGCTCTGCTGGCCCGGTGCCCCTTCTGCATACTGCAGGCTTCGGGAGGGTGATGGTGCTTCCTTATACTCTTGTGACCCCCATAGCCAGGGCTTAGCAGCAAACACTGCCATCAACTGATATCTGTCCAGTGAAACAAAGTCTTCAGACTCTACCTACTGACAGCTGGTGACATCTGCAGACCAAGGACAGACATCACACAGGAATTTGTATTTTCAAACTGACTTCACCAAGAGCTAGATAATAAAGATGGACATTATAATAAAGATGTATTTTATCATGCTACATAAAACCACTGCCAAAAAAATATATTTTTTAAACTTCAGGGACTATAAGTGCCTGTTGTACGTAATCATGATAAAAAGATCAGCGTATGACTGAGAGAACTCACCTTAAACAAAGGATTACTGATGTGTTATTTAGGCCCATGAGGTTGACCAGGGCAAATGCTCTGGTTAAGAATTTAACCAGAAAAGTGAGTAGCGCCCTAATCAGATGGAATAGGGGGGCTCCAGCATGAGGAGGGAGGCAGGTGATATGGAAAAGGGGGTCGCACAGATGAGACTAGCCTCCTTTATCGTGTGCCTCCAAAGGACACAGACCTCCAAGAGGCAGGAGCTGTTGCAGGCAGGACCAGGGCAGCAGGCCGGCCCTAGCCCAGGCTAAACCATCTCTGTCTATCCCACCCACCTGGCTCTGCTTGCTTCTGGGGCAATGTTCTCAACACTGGCTGCTTTCCCAGGTACCTTGGTCCTGGAAAGATGAGGTCTAGGGCTCTGAATGGACAGGGAAATGTCAGGTTTTCCTTCCACTTCATGAAGCTTTGCAGCCCCATGCTCCAAACCCAAGGCTTTATCCCACATCCACCATCATGATCTCCAGCAAGCACCCGAGCCATCTTGGCTCTACCATGGGAGGTGGAGGAACGCTGGAACGCACACAGATTCTCCAAGAGAGGTGGGCCATGGTGCCTAACGGGGTTCAGATGCACCCACAGCACCCAGATGAGTTTACCTGAGCTTCCTTTACAGTCGTGGGCTTGGTAATCAGAACCACTGATGGAGAGGCAGAACCAGCCAAATGCTTCAAGATGTCCTTGAGAACGTCAGACATCGCACTTGTCTCAGCCACCTGGTCCTGGTGAAAGAGGAGAAAGTTGACAAATCGCCTTTGCAAGCCCACTCCCTGCTCCCAATCTCACGTCTTCAGGTGACTAAAACCATGCAAAGTAGGAAGGAAGGAAATTACCTTCAGATTTTAGCTCTGTCTTTGCAAAAACTGTGGAAAGAAAGGACGCCCTGCCCTTGGAAGCAGCCTTCGGACTCAGCCCAAGTTACGAGTGCAGCACCCTCACCGTGGGAGAGAGGGCCTGATCGTCAGACATGGTGGAGCGTCAAGCAGGTACCTACGGTGTCATTAGCCTTGGCTGCATATGAGTGCTAAAATCATCCCCAGCCAATTAAACCTGCATCTTGGGTGGGGCAGGGAAGGCTTCAGGGTTTTTTTTTTAAATGGCCAGGTGACTGCAGGTGCAGCTCAGGTGGGAGCCCTGCATCCAATCCATCAAAGCCATCCCCCAGCAGGCCCTGCCAAGCCAAAGGGCCCATCCACATCCTGAGAGGCCCAAGCCAGCCCCAGGAGGAGTGGCTGGGACAGGGAAGGAGGCCAGCAACACCAGCCATGCACTCAGTTCCCCACCGCAGACTGTCCTAACACACGTGCGTTCTCACGCCAATGGAAGAATCATAAAAACTTACGGACTGACCTCCCCCAGTGCTTTGGGCTGGATATTAACGGCCATTTCCGGCACACTGATGAAAGACCAGCTAATCTGGAGGTCCTCTCTCTTCTCCTTCATGTGGAACTCCAGCTATTAAAAAACAAGTTATTAGAGGGCCACTCTTTCCACCAAAGCCTTAATGTGCACGTGCGTGTGCATGTGACTGTGTGAGCATGTGTGTGTGCATATATGCATGTGAGCATGTGTCTATGTGAGCATATATGAGTGCATGTGAGTGTGCGTGTATGCGCATGTGTGCATATGAGCATGTGTGCTCATGTGTGCATGTATGAGCATGTGTGTGCATGTGAGTGTGAATGTGTGCATGTGCATGTGTATTTGAGCGTGTGCGGAAGTGTGCATGTGAGCACGTGTGCCTGTGTGTATGTGTGCGCATGTCTGCATCAGTGTGCATGTGTGTATGTATGTGTGTACCTGCTCATTTATTCACATATTTTCACAGAAAACTGCTTAGCTTTCCACTTGGCATACAATGTGCTTTCAAAATGGAGAGCAGGACCCCAAACTCTCTTTACCCCCTGCCCTTCCTGCCCCTTCTCTGGCCTCAACCTACCCCTCAAAGAGGAACCTCAGCATTGGTGGTCGACAACCAGATGCCATCAAACCTTGCAGTCTATTTAACATAAATAGTTTGCTGTGCTTTGCATTTCTCCTTCTGGGAGTATCCGCAAGGCATAAAGGAAAGAGGAGTGAGAGAAGGGCCCAGGGCGCCTCATTCTAATCCTGGGCGTGGGCTCCCCTGCCCCACACTCAAACAGCCCTGAAGATTGTGTGCAGCACAAAGCCATCTTTACTGTCTCTTGCTGGGGCCGCCACAGCAGCCTCTAACTGGACTCCATCTCTAAGGATGCCTCATCCCACCCTGTCCATTTGGGAGACAGAACAGCGGCCCCCAAAGATGTTCACCCCCTAATCCCTGGAACTTGTGACTGTGAGACCCTACAGGGCACAGGAGACTTGGCAGGTGCGACAGGGAGAGGACCTCAAGATGGGGAGATGACCCTGGGTCCTTCCGAAGAGCCCAGTGGAAACACCTGAGTCCTGAAGAGTGGGGGAGCACGGGAGAAGAGGGGCCAGGGCATGTGACGTGAGGACTGCAGGCATCCCTGCGGGTGTGGACGTGGAGGAAGGCACCCTGAGCCAAAAAATGGGGTGCCTCAAGGAGCCGGAAATGGCCCTCCACTGACAGCCACAAGAAAATGGAACTCAGTCCCGTAATCCCATGGAATGAAATTCTACCAACAACCCCAAAAGCAACGAACAGACTCCCCTGTGACTGCCGCTAAGGCAGGCAGCCCTGACAGCTCCTGGATTTGGGCCTGGCCGGACACCTGGCCTCCTTCACGATGGCATCACCAATCTGTGCTGTTTTAAACTGTTCAGGGTCATTTGTTTCCACAGCCATAGAAAGCTAATATTGCATCCTTTATTCTTCAGCTAGATGCTCCGTCCAAAGCAAAAATCTTAACTTTGCAGATCTCCATTCCTTCCCCACTCCTAAACAAAAGGGAAGAACGACTTCAGACTATCTGAGTAAGTGGACTCTCACCTCATGCTAGAAGCAGGGTAAGAGAAAAACGATGACTTCTACTTCATAACTGTCTCCAACCTGCCTTCCTTGTCTGGTAATTCTAGGAAAAAAATTAGGTAATTCTAGTGGAAAAGTGCACTTTAATTGTTTTGACACAGACAGCTCAGTCGATGGAGACCACTCTTGCATCTCTGGTTGGAGGAACATCAGAGAAGCGGGAACGCCTCCTGCCGCTAGCATCAATTATTTACCCATCTCTAGCAGCTGCCTCTGCGCTGAGAGGTAATCCACATATTGGTTCCTAACTGTGTTAACAGATCAAAGATACAATTGTGTTCCTTCTGTGTGAGCTGCTTAAAATGGCATGAATGCTTTGATATAATAAACACAATGTCAGAAATGACATTTCTTCATTTGTGTTTGTGATCCTCTCTGGTCTCATTCAGTTCCAAAACATGCATCAAATGTTGGGTAAATATGACCCAGACTTTGCAGGTTATTTTCTCATCACATTGTCCAAAACATCTGGGGGATGTAGGAGAGCATGAACGCCTCACAAATCCACGATGCCAACTCTTCACCTCTTCAATTCCCTCAAAGGGGGTGCTGCTGGAGTGGGGCTGAGGAACTAGCGGGGTGGATTTCAGAAAAAAGCCACTTAGGTAGCCAGGAAATCTTGTTAGTGCTGGCTATTTAAAACCATGCCTTTGTAGGAAAAGCATACAGGATGTCACCTTCCCTTGTGATTGGGAATTCTGCATGACTTGAGCTCATCCCCCAAATTAGGAGTCAAGTCCAAGGACACGGGACACGGGAGATGAAACAGGGCATTGAACTGGCAGTGACCCTCGAAACAAGCCCAGACATCTGCAATTTTTAAATACCAGCTAAAGAGGAACTCCAGTGAATATCTGGCCGGATGTGAGAGACGCACAGCTCTCTGATGATTTGGGCAACCAAAGTCTCACTGGGCTTATTGTAATTATTAGAGATCCGTAAGTCTCTCTCTATAAAATTATAGAGATGTGTAAAATTATATATATGTCTTTATTCTTATGTCTATTATGAAAACATGGAATAATGGTAATACTAATTTTTTAACTTATAAAAATAATAAGGGGGTTCTTTTTAAATCAACTTTGTCAAAAACTGAAAAGAGGAATGCCCCACGGCAGCCACTCAGCTGTGTTTCCAAGCTGCAACCAGCGCTGGATTCGGAACCAGAACTACTTTTCTCCTCTCAGATGCCACCTGCCTTATCATATCCGTCAACAACACCCTGCCTCATTCAAATGCCCGAAAGAGGCAACCCCTGAGTTTATTATAAATGTATGTGTGTGTGTGTAGTGTGTGTGTGTAATGTGTAGTGTGTGTGATCATTTCCTACATAGAAAATCCTATATGAAAGGTTACAGTTTGAAAATTATGACATGAATGATAATTAATAAAAACATGAACGTTACAGCCCTCTGACTCACACCATGCTCACTCTTCACATTTCTGAGAACTGTGACGGGTCTCATAACTTGCAAAGTCTACACATCTTTACCTGTAAATGGAAAGGGGAGAGCCGCATGTCGTACAGCCGGCATCCAGCACCCAAGGCAGGCGTCTCGCTGACCAAGAACTGAATAGCCTGGCCCACCACGTGACAGACCACCACCTGGAGGAGGCACAGGTAAGGGAGAAAACTGTATCCAAAACAAAGGACAGCGCGTGCATACGCATCTTCTTCTTCTTCTTTTTTTTTTTTTGAGACAAGGTCTCACTCTGTCGCCCAGGCTGGAGTGCAGTGGCGCGATCTCAGCTCACTGCAACCTCCACCTCCCCAGCTCAGGCGATCTTCCCACCTCAGCCTCCTGAGTACATGAAACTACAGGGGTGTGCCCCCACACCCACCTAATTTTTGTTTTTGTCTTTTTTGTAAAGATGGGCTCTACCTGTATTACTGAGGCTGGTTTTGAACTCCTGAGCTCAAACAATCTTCCCACCTTGGCCTCCCAAAGTGCTGGGATTGCAGGCATGAGCCACTGTGCTCAGCTGCCATAGGCATCTTTTTTTTTTTTTTTTGAGACGGAGTCTCACTCTGTCACCCAGGCTGAAGTGCAGTGGAGCAATCTCGGCTCACTGCAACCTCCGCCTCCCTGGTTCAAGTGATTCTCCCACCTCAGCCTCCCAAGTAGCTGGGATTACAGGTGTGTGCCACCATGGCCAGCAAATTTTTGTATTTTTAGTAGAGACAAAGTTTCACCATGTTGGCCAGGCCAGTCTCGAACTCCTGGCCTCAGCTGATCTACCCACCTCAGCCTCCCAAAGTGCTGGGATTACAGGTGTGAGCCACCACGCCTGGCCTAGGCATCTTTATATCAAAATAATCTGGACTTTATATGTTAGCAAGGATACAAATTTAGAGTTTCAAAGTTGGATAAATATTCAGATTAAAACCTTTTCTATAATATAGTTTGAAAACCAGAAACAATGTTTCAAATCTTTGCTTCCTGATGACTTTCTTAGCAGCTAAAGTCTTGACCAAATCTAGTTATCATGCGCTTTCCACATGTAATACAGTCTTTTTCCTTTTTTTTTTTTTGGAGATGGAGTTTCACTCTGTCGCCCAGGTTGGAGTGCAGTGGCACAATCTTAGCTCACTGCAACCTCCGCCTCCCGGGTTCACACGATTCTCCTGCCTCAAACTCCCGAGTGGCTGGGTTTACAGGCGTGTGCTACTACTCCCGGCTAATTTTTTGTGTTTTTAGTAGAGACGGGGTTTCACCATTAGCCAGGAGGGTCTCGATCTCCTCACCTCGTGATCCGCCCACCTCGGCCTTCCAAAGTGCTAGGATTACAGGCATGAGCCACCGTGCCCGGCCAACAAAGTCTTTTTCTTTAAATATCATCTTGTTCTATTTCTCCACAATAGCTGATTTTTAATTCCCCAAATGTTTCCACATTCATACACAGTCAAAGCCATTAGCCAAGTTCTTTTGCTAAAAATGAGTCTTAAAGAGAAAGTAAGTTATAGATGTTAGAAGTAAAAAAAGTTTTCTTAAATTACCCAGAACACAATGGGTTGCTTCCACCTAAATAATTTCGAGGCGATCATGGTTTTCAAAAAGGTGGGAGTAATTGGAAAAACATACAAAGTATCAAACAATTATAAAATTATGCAGCCGTACCAAAACCAGAATTATAAAATGAGCTCGTTGAAGAAACTGTCAGACAGAGAAAGATAATAACCTCAGGAATAAACCAAACTGTGGTTTCCTGACATAAATCATAATCATACAGTATTAAGAGGGGTGCTTTTCACAGCTACCATGGCACAGAGAGAGATCTAGTTTCTGCCACAGATTCCTCTACAGAAGCTGATGTAGAATGAGAGGTCAGACCCCTCCCCGCTCCCCTCCCGGGGGCAGAGGGCCAAGCAGACACGTGTGGGATAATTACCAGGCCAGGTGCCAGGTGTGTACTGGCCAGGAGGAGGAGAGGGGAGGCCAGGGGCACAGTGGGCTGGACCACAGGGCAGGCACAAGGGGGTTCCGTAGGTGGCCAGTGTTTGGCCAAAAAGCAAAGCTACCAGGAGCTGAGGGTAAGTCAGACTGACCTCCTCATTCCCAAAAGAACCACTGACTCCACTGCAGGGAGTCACAGGACAGGAAGAGAAAATTCTTTAATTCTCTGGTGGATTTATCAGAATCTAAAATACCAAATGGAAAGATTATCAAAATAATTACTCAGTCAGGGCCTGCTATTCCCCCAAGTTCAGGGCTAGGACATTCCCCTGTACTTTCTCATCTGCTGGCTCCTGGCCGCAGCCAAGCCCTGGGTCCAGCTCTTCCCACCAGTGGCCCATCCCACTCTGGAACAAAAACGGAACCTGGGCACTAAGGCCCGGGCAGGGGTCAACATCCAATATCCACAACCAAATACCTCAATGCCACAGAGCTAGAAAAAGAAAATCCTGCCTTCTCTCAATATTGGCAGAAAGTCGTGCAACTCTTTCTACCGGTTCTTATAACGCCACGTTCAGAAGACTGATACACATGAGTTAATTACATATTTCCATCATCTCCAGAGTTCACAAAGGGCCAGAACAAAAAAATGTTTGTATAAGAAATGTTGTCTATTCATGTTAAAAATAAATGATCTATAAACAGTCCTTTACGGAGGAACATGCTTTGTGGCCAGATGAGTTACACGCACCAATGGCATGACACTGAGAAAATTCCCTGTCCTTGGTCTCAACAGCCCACTCCTTTTACTGCTTAAAGTAAAAAATAAAAAATAAAAATAAATTTAAAAACCCAACCCTGACTCTGAGCACTGCATAATTCCTCTGGAGCCTTCTCTACTAAGCTAATCAGCATTGTACCAAGAAAACAGACTCAGAGCCTCAACCCGAGCAAGAAAGAATTTCATTTTCTTTCGTATCCAGTTCTGCAGAAAGCTTCCCACCACGCACTCCCTGATACACAGAGAACCAAGCACTTGATTAAAAGCAAGCAAATAAATAAGTAAATAGATAAAAAGACTTTAAAACTTCTAGAATGCGGGACTCCAAAGCTCATAAGTAATCACTGAAGCCCCATCACTAAGGTAATGTAATCTCTACATTCTACTCTAGGACAGAATGTGTGATGTCTTTTCATAGTAACCCCCTGGCGTGTCTTCCCCAACCCTAGGGCTTCGCTACCCTCTAAATAAAACCTACAGTGCAGACCAAGCCTTTCTTAGCCTCCCCTCAGAATTTGGCTAGAAAAGTTAATTAAAGAAACAATTTAGGCCGAGTGTGGTGGCTCACGCCTGTAATCCCAGTGCTTTGGGAGGCTGAGGCAGGAGGACTGCTTGAGTCCAGGAGTTCAAGACTAGCCTGGGCAACATAGCAAGACTCCATCTCTTAAAAAAAAAAAAATTAGCCAAGCATGGTGGTGTGCACCTGTAGTCCCAGCTACTCAGAAGGGTAAAGTGAGAGGATCACTTGAGCCCAAGGGTTTGAGGCTGCAGTGAGCCGTGATTGTGCCACTGCGTTCCAGCAGAAAGAAACATTCTGAACCTGCCTCAAATTTTTACATGGCCAAACAAAATACTGCTCCTGCTCCACTTGGAGGGATAAACATTAGGGCCAAGTCCTCTTCCAGCGCCAGCCCCTGCCTCTGCCACCCTAACAAATAATGCCCCATTTGCCAAATGGACGGGGACAAAATGGAGAGGAGATTTTAAAAACAAGTAATCTTCTTTTAGTGTATTAAGGTGTTATCCACAATGGGGATTAAATTCTCCCAACCCATGCCAACAGTGGCAGGGCCCCCACGGGCTGAAAGGGGTTCCTCGCATCACAGCAGAAGTCAGGATCGCCTGACACAGGTAAGCAGCTCCTCCTCTCTAGTTAGCCTTCCTAAGTGGCCAGATGTCAAGGGTTAACATCTACCTAAATACCCACGAGTGGGTAGAGACCCTGATTTTGACCCTAGATCCTCCCTCCCACAATCAGCCATGGTCATGAGAGCCTCTTCTTAGCTTTCCAAGTGAGCTCTTCGGGGAATTCCAGTTCTATTCAATTGACAGACTGGGCCCTGAGTGTTTCCCTCTGAAACAGTCTGCTATTAATACAGGATTTTAAAAAGTTAAATAGAAGCAATTATTTGGCATAGGCGGCAGTGACAGTGAACTCCTCAGAGGACAGGAGTGAACCCCCAGCCCCAGGGAAGAACTCCACAGAGCCCAGGTCTGCATCTGCAGGAGCGAGCTCCCTCGACAACAACCAACCATCCCCCAACCTGCATTTTTTTGACATTTTTTTTCCCCAAAACAAGCAAAGATTATTTACATAAAGCATTTGAAAATCAAGCAACAGAAGGGTGAACTTTGTATTCCAAATAAACAGCTTCCTCTCTGTATAAGTGACAGAGTGTTTTTCGGAGTGGGGGGCTATTCACGGTAAGTCAGGGTCTCCACATGGAAAGGCCAAGGGGGGACTCACGGTTGGCAGGTGAGGGTTTGGGTCGGGGAGCCCTGGGCAGCAGATGGAAGCACCACGGGGAGGGGAAAACAAGACTGAAGGCTGAAGAGCAGGCTGAGCGGGGAGGCCTTCATTCACCTTCTCGGTGCTCTCTCCAGCCTCAACACCTTGACCTCATGTAGTCACATACCTATGCAAACAGCGCTTATCTGGAAACTATTCCTTTGTTTAGACTTGGGGCCAAAAAATTCCAGGCACAGTTACTCCAGATTTTGCTACTGTTCACCAACAAGAGAGCCCCTGAGTCTTCAGATCTCACTGTGCCCTTTCACTTTCCTTTTCAATTAAGCTTCCTGTACAGCTGCCTCGGCTCCTTCTCTTAGAACACTCTAGAGAACTGGAAATCATGTAATTACTTTTGTCTCCAAAGAAACTAGCAATGCAGCTGAGGAAATGTATACAAAAGGTTTAGATACTCGAATAATTTTCACTTTCATCACATTCTGTAACACCCAAGGAAAGAACTCCCAAATAAAAGGAAGGCAAAGACCCTTCAGTAATCATCTGGATTTCCTAGTCAGATGTCTTTCCCCACTCTGCAAGCGAGTCTCACCTCTGTAAATATCCTTTAAGACAGTATGAACTGGATATAAAATACTATTTCTACTCTGGAACTGGGACTCAATTTAAAAAGTAAACTCCATTAGAGCTAAAGATTATCCCAACATCTACAACATTTAATCCTGTTTGCCCACTAATTCAAAATAAACGGCTAAAGATGTATTTTTATTTATTTATTTTTGAGATGGAGTCTCACTCTGTCCCCTAAGCTGAAGTGCAGTGGCACAATCTTGGCTCACTGCAGCCTCCGCCTCCTGGGTTTAAGCAATTCTCCTGCCTTAGCCTCCTAAGTAGCTGGGAATACGAGTGTGCAGCACCATGCCCAGCTAATTTCTGTATTTTTAGTAGAGACAGGGTTTCACCATGTTGGCCAGGCTGGTCTCAAACTCCTGACCTGAGCCTGCCTCAGGCTCTCAAAGTGCTGGGATTACAGGCGGGAACCACCGCACCGGGCTTAAAACTGTATTTATTTATTTTTTGTTTTTTGAGACAGAGTCTCACTCTGTTGCCCAGGCTGGAGTGTGGTGGCAGGATCTCGGCTCACCAAAACCTCTGCTTCCTGGATTCAAGCGATTCTCCTGCCTCAGCCTCCCGAGTAGTTGGGACTACAGGCACGTGCCACCACACCTGGCTAACTTTTGTATTTTTAGTAGAGACGGGGTTTCACTATGTTGGCCAGGCTGGTCCCGAACTCCTGACCTCATGATCCACCCACCTTGGCCTCCCAATTTGCTGGGATTATAGGTGTGAGCCACTGTGCCCGGCCAAAGATGTATTTTTATAAGAAATTCTCGCAGGGGATTGAGATGAAAAGGGTTGGAAACAAGATGGTGGCCAACCCCAAGAGCTGCTGTTTATCCTCTTTTGGGGGAAGCCTCCACCACGTGGGGCTCCTGCGTCAACCTGACTCCAACCCCGCCCCCAGCAACACTCTCCTCCCTTTTCTTGTTACATACTTTAAACAAGAAAGCCTTTCAGTAATGCTGCACTGCAAGGAGGTGTTGTTAATGCATCACACGGTTTAATGTGGCCATTCTACACAGAAAGATCTGTTTGTGAATGTGTTGTCTTTCATCAAGTTTACACTAAAAGACAAAATCAAGACAGTTCCTTTAACATGAAGAGCAGAAGGGAAGTAGGTCTTCTCCAGGCTGGCAGCTAGTGCTTCCTGACAGGGCCAGGCCACTTGGCCACACCAACCTCCTACGCCCCATGCTCTGTATTCCGACCAACCGACGAAACCTCGGGGCCACCACAGGTCTTTCACTCTGTTTCCTCCAGGCCAAAGTCGGGCTGCACCTGCAGGCTGGCTCGGCCCAGAATTCCATACACCATCATCCAGACGAACAGGTGGCCTCGTGGGAGTCGCATTCAGGGGCAGTATCTGCCCTGGATCTCAGAGGACGGGGTCTCCAATGAGGAACCTCCACCACCCGCCCTAGGAAAGACCCTCATTCAAAACAATTTCACAACCTGTTAGCATTTTAGCATAAATTCCAGGTTAATGGAATACCTGGAATTTCAAATCATGTAAAGCAAAGCAAAAAAAAAAAAAAAAAAAAAAAAGACAACTGAGCCGAGCTTCCTGTTTACAGTTAGCTAGAGTGACAAATGTGGACAATTTTAAATCATGGTGCCCATACCAAACAGGCAGCCCCCTGAGTTATGGACAGAGCAGGGGACCGCCCCCCACCCCCCAATCCCGCAGCTCTCAGGGCGTATTTCAGCATCAGGTAGAACACACGTGCACACAACACACCACACACACCCAGGGCGAGTTATGGGTTTCCCCTAGAGAGGATATGGAATAAGGTTCTGGGGGAAATTCCACACGATCGTCCAGTTCCGTCTGTAGCTGTGGTTTTACAGATGCAAAGCGTGATAGTGCTGACCAGTTCTCCTTTCCCTATCTCTGTTGTCTTTTTTATGGTGAGGATGTGGTGGGGGCACGAGCTTAAGTGAAATAATAAAAGTGATAATATCATACCTGTAATCTCAGCACTTTGGGAGGCCAAGGCAAGAGGATCACTTGAGTCCATGAGTTTAAAATGAGCCTGGGCAATATAGTGAGATCCCACCTCTAAAAAATATTTAAAAAGTAAAAAAAAAAAAAAGTAATAAAAATGCAAAAAGATCACACTAATGGCATGGTTTATTTTGTGCTGTGGTTGGAGCTAGATTCTGGAGGCCAAATGAGGTTCACTCTGGCCTCTGCTGCGTCAGAGCTCCATACCTTGGCCAAGTGACTGCACCTCTCTGCCTCAGTTTCTCCTTCTGTACAGTGGGATGATGCTTCTGACACAGGAGCATGGTGAGCTCTCATGAGAAGGGATACAAGCTCTATACCCAGGGCCTGGGCACACCTGATGCCATCACATGCCACAACGTGTGCCATGCGGGGTACTGCACGGGCACAGGCCTGCCCTGCTTCCCACAGCCCTGCACGGGAGGGGCCCCTACACAACAGACACAGACCCTGTGGCTCAGAGAAAGAAGGAAGTGCCCTAAACGAGCCCAGATCCAATCAGGGTCTCCCTGGCTTCTGAGATGGGCCTTTCCCCAGACTAGGTGGGTTATAACTTTTATTTAAAACTTTCAGTTCCAGCTGATGGTTATACCATTGGGAGCCTCCATTTACTTAGAAATGAAACTGAAAACAGACAACTAAAGCATGTCCAGGACTCCTGGCTCCACACCATGCCAGGCGACATCACTCAAGTCTCCAAAGATCACCAAGTGTCCAGCTCAGCTCCTGCCCTCATCAGCAAGTTTTCCAAATGAAAGTTACGTTGAAAGCCACAGTTACCATACTGTAACCAGAATTCAGGCAGTGGCTGCTAGCAGAGTATGATGAACAAGAGCAGGTCTGGTATAAAGACAGTGACTTTGCATTCCAAAGCTTAGCTTAGGGGAAGAACAGGCTTCTGCCTTAAGGGTACCCCTTTGCTTTTGGGGCAGAAAGCAGGCACTTTCAAAAGGGGGCTTGGCATGAATGTCATGAAAGGGAGGAAGCGAGCAGGTGAGGGTTCACCTAACTTGCTTTGGCGCCTTATCTATTGAGTGTCCAAGCTGGTGACCAGTGGTGCCTTAGTGGACAGGACTAGATTGTAACAGCCGAAACTCTTCCGGTGGGAGAGAGTTTCATCATGGGCACACTCTGGGTTATAAATCGACTGTTCTCTCTCCAGGCAACCTCCTGGTGGGTGAGGGTTTCATTCTGGAGCACCTGAGCACATGGTTAGGTAAGCTTTCCCGGTAGGCAGTTTCTGGTGAAAGGGAGGTAAGAGGCTATAATTGCATTTCTGAAGGGCTAAGTAAAAAGTGGGGAGCAGGGGGAAGTGGAGAAAGAAAAGAGAAAAAAATAATAATAAACCAACAATAACTCATACTCTTTTTCTTAGAAAATGGGGGTATTCAGGGCCAGGCACAGTAGCTCACACCTGTTATCCTAGCACTTTGGGAAGCCGAGGTGGGCGGATCAAGAGGTCAGGAGATCGAGACCATCCTGGCTAACATGGTGAAACTCCATCTCTACTAAAAATACAACAAATTAGCCGGGCGTGGTGACACGTGCCTGTAGTCCCAGCTACTCAGGAGGCTGAGGCAGGAGAGTCACTTGAACCCGGCAGGCGGAGGTTGCAGTAAGCCAAGATTGCGCCACTGCACTCCAGCCTGGGCAAGAGAGTGAGATTCTGTCTCAAAACAAAACAAAAAAAAAAAGAAAGAAAGAAAGAAAATGAGGGTATTCGGTTACAATATTTCCTAAAAGAAATGCAACTCTTTTTCAGTGAGTGACCTGTCACAGCACAGTTCCTAAGCCCTGATTCACATTCATCTTTTTACTGATGTGTGGACCTCAGACCCCCAGGGAAGGGGTCATGAAAAGCTTCTGAACCCCCACGTGCCAGGGAAGGGCTGTGGCTGAACCTGCGGGGGAAGGGCTGGCTCTCAGGTGGCTTGAGATATGGAAATAGGAATTTCCTCCTTCTAGGTCAAACATTCTGGAGCAAACCTCTCCCAAGACATGAGGAAAGACAACATAGGTAGAAACTTGTTACTCTTGTGTAAGAAGGTAATTGAAGTCTAGGAGAAATAAATGCACTCGGTGCATGTTGGGACTAGAAGAGAATGCAGAGAGAGCCCCGGAGAAAAGTTTAAAGGCCATGCTCTGCTGCCTCCAAGCCAGCCCTCACTGGAGCCTGCTCACAGCAGCCGTGGGCAGGAGCGTGCTTCCACACCCGGTCTGAGCAGATACCCTGCAAGGCAGGCACCCAGGAGAATTCCCTTAGGAAAATGCCACAGCCCTGCAGGGCCTGCTGCCTGTGATAAATATGTGTTTGGTCTTTGTTCCTGATGCCTGGCACAAAGCTCTGAAAACCCTTGGAATCTCCCGAGAGATAAGAGCGTCTTTTGAGAAGAGTGTCTTTTTTTTTTTTTTTGAGACGGAGTCTTGCTCTGTCGCCAGGCTGGAGTGCAGTGGCGCAATCTCGGCTCACTGCAACCTCTGCTTCCCAGATTCAAGCAATTCCCCTGCCTCAGCCTCCCAAGCAGCTGGGACTACAGGCGCGTGCCACCACGCCCAGCTAATTTTTTGTATGTTAGTAGAGACGGGGTTTCACCATGTTGGCCAGGATGGTCTTGATCCCCTGACCTCGTGATCCACCTGCCTCAGCCTCCCAAAGTGCTGGGATTACAAGCGTGAGCCACCATGCCTGGCCAAGTGTCTTTTATATGCTGACAAAAGGGCTGTTGGGGGGGACCCCAGATAGCACCAGGATGGGGGCTGGTCACTTGAGAAACTTTGAGCCCCACCTCCAGCATCCCACTACCCCACCTCCAACATCCCACCACTCCACCTCCAACATCCCACCACCCCACCTCCAGCATCCCACCACCCCACCTCCAGCATCCCACCACCCCACCTCCAGCATCCCACCACCCCACCTCCAGCATCCCACCACCCCACCTCCAGCATCCCACCTCCCCACCTCCAGCATCCCACCTCCCCACCTCCAGCATCCCACCACCCCACCTCAAGCATCCCACCACCCCACCTCCAGCATCCCACCACTCCACCTCCAGGGAGGGCAGAGGGGCTAGAGGTCGCATTCAATCACCTATGGCCAATGATGTAATCCATCATGCCTAGCGAATGAATCCTCCATAAAAACCCTGAAAGGATGGGTTTGGGGAGCTTCCAAGGTGGTGAATACATCAAGGTGCCGGGCGGGTGGCTCGTCCAGGCAGGGCATGAAGCTGCTGGAGTCCCTGCCCTCCCCCTCCGCCCGCCTAAGCATCCCTTCGATGTGGCCGATCCTGAGTCATATCCTTCACAATAAACTAGTAATAGTTAGTAAACTGTTTTCCTGAGTTCTGTGCTATGAGCCGCTCTAGTAAAATATGTGAACCTCAGTGGGGTGGGTTGGGGAAGTCTGCCATCTACAGATAGTCAGAAGAACGGGGGCAACCCGGAGCTTACGCCTGGTGTCTGAAGTGGGGGCCGTCTTGCGGGACCTAGCCCTGGGCCTTTGGGATCTGTGTTAAGTCTGAGTAATGTCAGAATGGAGTTGAACTGTAGGACACCCAGTTGGCACCAGAGTTGAAGAACTGATAATCGGTGTGAGAAAAACCCCCACACATTTGGTGTCCAAAGTGTTGTGAGTAAACATAGTTGAGACTGCTCCTGGCCGCAGCCGCGGCTGGGCCGGGTGTGGACTCTGCACTTATCTATCGTTGGTCCTGTGGGATGACTCAAGCTGCTCCAAGTTCTGGAAGACCGCACTCTGTGTAGACTATGCAGAGAGGGTTTTGCAGATGAACCAGATATTTGCAAAGGTGATGACTTGGACACACCGAGGCCTTCAGGGTGGCAGGAGAAAGTCCAAGAAAAAGGCATCCAGTGGGCACGGCAGCCAGTTTCATTGGGAGAGGGACCCACAGGGAGACTCCAGATGGAACACCAGTCAGGGGTTTGTCGGCGGAGAGGAGGTGGGGAGCTCAGGCCAGCCAGTCCTCGGCCTTATCCTTCCGATCAGAGATGGCATTACATAACAGACAGGCTGGGTTCCGGCGGCCTTGTCCCTGTCTTGGCTCAAATGCCAACCACATGTCCCTTGTCAAGGCTGAGTTAGAAAGATAGGAAGAGGCAACCTGACACCAAAGTGTGAGCTTTGAAAGGGAGGGGCGATGCCCTGGAATGAGAAGTTCCTGTTTCTTTTCTACCTCTTATTTGTCACAGGTCCTCAAGTTCTGTTACAGTTTTTTTTTTTCCTTCTCAAGAATTATGCCCAGCTGAGGGAACACGAGGCGGTGCAGACACGGAATTAGGTGTAAATTTGGAGACCATGGGGGTGTGTGGCTTAGATACCAGAGAAGAGGAACACCACTGTGAACCCGCTGCCCTACACGGCAGTTCTAGGGCTGAACTCACCGAACAGTGTTAACAAAAAGAGGCCTTGCTGTCTTATCATTTTTATTTAACGCACGAACATTAAGCAGTGTCTCACCCTGGACATTTTACAAGAGATTAAGCTGGCTGGATGCCTTTGCAAAAACAGTGCCCTAAAAATGTGTCATGTTTGGCCAAGATGCTCATCCAAGAATGGAAAAGGCCATGTACACAATCCAAGCACCCGAGGGTGTTCTACTCCCAACTGACCCTTCCCAGGAGCCCGGGCAGATCCCAACAGGACTTCCTCCTTGTGGGTATGCATAGGATCCAGGCTGGCAAGAGCGACCAGGCTCCTCCTCCCGCACTCACAGCCCCGTGAAAGGGGAGGGGAGGGGAGGGAACCCGTCTACTCAACTGGTGGGCTCACCCCACCTCAAAGGACAGTGTGAGCCACAGCCACGACAAGGCAGTGGCAAGGGCTCCTTTCCTCATTTGGCCACAAAAACATAAAAGTCAAGAGCTACGTGGAAAATTGTTGCAAAACAAAACAAGAGTCCGTGTGTGTGTGCTTTTCCTCCGGCAGGAAAAAGCTTCCGAGAACACTGTTAACAGCAGCCTCATCCCAGCAGGCGGCAGCAGGAGATAGATGGTTAAAAAAAAAAAAGTTTGGACATTTTTATTTTTAACTTTTTAATGACCATGAACTATTTCTGTAATTATATCAAAACAAATACAATTTAATCATCCACTTTCACCAGGTGAGGTGGCTCACACCTATAATCTCAGCACTTTGGGAGGCAGAAGACGATGGATTACTTGAGCCCAGGAGTTCAAGACCAACCTGGGCTACAAAGTGAGACCCCATTTCTACAGAAAAAATAAAAAAACTAGCCGGGCATGATGCTGCATGTCCGTAGTCCCAGCTACCGGGGAGGCTGAGGCAGGAGGACTGTTGAGCCCAGGAGGTGGAGGCTGCAGTGAGCAGTGTCTGTGCCAGTACACTCCAGCCTAGGCGACAGAGTGAAACCCTGTCTCAAAAAATAAAAAACAGTCCACTTCCTAAGGCTGCTTTTCTGACACTATGTATCAAGATCCTGAAACATGTGCTAGTCCACTTCCTAAGGTTGCTTTTCTGACAATATGTATCAACATCCTTCAAAATGCACGTACTCTTTCTCAAGTACCTCTACTCTTCTACTTCTAGGAACAGTGAGGAAATAAACACATGAGCAAAAATAACAACAGAGGTAGGAGAAAATATTGAGCCCCGCACAGGCTTGGCATTGCTCCATGTGCTGTACCTGTGGTAACTCACTCCATCCTCATAGCCCGTCTAGGGGGTGGACAGTATCCTCTACCTTTACAGGTGAGAAGCCGAGCCACACAGAGGAAGAGAAAGAACGGAGCAAGGAACCATGCTCCTAACCAGGACAACACGGCTGCTGCTTCACAGCCTTGCCTCGTTTTTTTTTTTTGCTTGTTTGTTTGTCTGTTTGTTTGTTTTTTCTGTTTTTCCCGAGTAGAGTCTGGCTTTGTCGCTCAGGCTGAAGTGCAGTGGCACCATCTTGGCTCACTGCAACCTCCACCTCCCAGGTTCAAGCAATTCTCCTGCCTCAGCCTCCCAAGTAGCTGGGATTACAGGCGTGCACCACCATGCTCGGCTAATTTTTGTATTTTTAGTAGAGACGGGGTTTCACCATGTTGGCCAGGCTGGTCTCGAACTCCTGACCTCGTGATCCACCTGCCCTGGCCTTCCAAAGTGCTGGGATTACAGGTATGAGCCACCGCGCTGGCCAGCCTTGACTCTTATGTGTTCATTCATTAGAATTTTAGGGGAATTTTAGTAACATGGGGGAAAGAATATAAATGGAATATAGTGTAAATTGTAGCAAAAAATAAATGCAGAAGCAAAAGACTGGCAATGCACACCAACACATGAACAGAGCTAATCACCAGTTCATGCAACTACTGTGTGTTTTTATTAAATATTCTTCTGTGTCTTTCAAGTTTTCATCAATGAACTCGTATTGATTTTATGATAATAGCGGAATTCCTATGTTTGAGACAGAATGGAACCATGGCAGCCTGAGGTCTGAACTTGCCAGAGTGTGGGAGTATCTGCAAACTGCAGCATGCCCGTCTGTGCTTGCTGAAGCCTGACCCCCACAGCCAGAAAAGTTCTGACACTGAGGGCCGGGCGCGGTAGATCATGTCTGTAATCCCAGCACTTTGGGAGGCCGAGGTGGGTGGATCAAGTGGATCAGCCTGGCCAACATGGTGAAACCCCGTCTCTACTAAAAATACAAAAATTCACAGGGCGTGGTGGTGCACACCTGTAATCCCAGCTACTCGGGAGGCTGAGGCAGGAGAATCACTTGAACCTGGGAGGCAGAGGTTGCAGTAAGCCAAGGTCGCGCTCCAGCCTGGGTAACAGAGCAAGACTCTGTCTCAAAAAAAAAGTCCTGACACCTTGAATGGTGCTGGGAAAACTGGCTATCCACGTGCAGAAGAATGAAATTAGACCCTTATCTCACACATATATAAAAATCAACTCAAAATGCATGAAAAACTTAAATGTGAGACCAGAAACTATAAAACTACTAGAAAAAAAAACATAGAAGGAAAGCTTTAAGACACTGGATTGGGCAATGATTTTTTTTTGGTATGATCCCCAAAACACAGGCAACAAAAACAAAAACAGACAAATGGGACTGCACCAAAACTAAAAACTCTGCACATCCAAGGAACCATCAACGGAGTGAAGAGACAACCTACGGAATGGAATCCCATATTTACAAGCCATTTATCTGATAAGCGGTTAATATCCAAAATAAATAAACAACTCAAGTAACTCAACAGCAGGAAAACAAATAACCCAATTAAAAAATGGGCAAAGGATCTGAATAGATGTTTCTCCTTTAGATGGCCAACAGGTCTATGAAAAAGGGCTCAACATCACTAATCATTAGGGAAATGCAAATCAAAGCCACAAGGAGATATCACGTCAAACCTGTGAGAATGGCTATTAGCAAAAATATGAGCAATAACAAGTGCTGGTAAGGATGTGGAGAAAAGGGAACCCTTGTATGCTGTTGGTGACAATGTAAATTATTCCGGCCATTACAGAAAACAATATGGAAGCTCCTTTAAAAATTAAACAGAGAACTACCATATGATCCAGCAGTCCCACTACTGGGTATACTGTTAACCCTTGAACAACGTGGGTTTCAACTGCACAGGTCCACTAATACATAGATTTTTTCCCACCTCTGCCACCCCTGCTACAGCATGACCAACCCCTCCTCTCCCTCCTCCTCAGCCTACTCAACGTGAAGACGATGAGGATGAAGACCTTTATGATGATCCACTTCCACTTAATGAATGGTAAATAGATTTTTTTCTTCCATATGATTTTCTTTTCCTTTTTTTTTTTTTTTTTTTTTTGAGACGCAGTCTTGCTCTGTTGCCAGGCTGGAGTGCAATGGTGCGGTCTCGGCTCACTGCAACATCCACCTCCTGGGTTCAAGCAATTCTCCTGCCTCAGCCTCCTAAGTAGCTGGGATTACAGGCACACACCACCATGCCTGGCTAATTTTTGTACTTTTAGTAGAGATGGGGGGTTTCACCATGTTAGCTGGGCTGGTCTTGAACTCTTGACCTCGTGATCCACCTGCCTCACCCTCTCAAAGTGCTGGGATTATAGGCGTGAGCCACCGCACCCAGCATTTTTTTTTCTTTTTTTGAGACGGCATCTCACTCTGTTACCCAGGCTAGAGTGCAGTGGCTTGATCTCGGCTCACTGCAACCTCCGCCTCCCAGGTTCAAGCAATTCTCTGCCTCAGCCTCCTGAGTAGCTGGGATTACAGGCACCCATCACCACGCTCGGCTAATTTTTCTGTATTTTTAGTAGAGACAGGGTTTCACCAAGTTGGCCAGGCTGGTCTCGAACTCCTGACCTCGTGATCCACCTGCCTCAGCCTCCCAAAGTGCTGGGATTACAGGCATAAGCCACCTTCACAACATTTTTCTCTGGCTTACTTCATTGTAAGAATAGAGTATATAATACAGATAACATACAAAATATATGCCAATTGACTACATTATCAGTAAGACTTCTGGTCAACAGCAGGCTATTAATAGTTAAGTTTCTGTGGAGTCAAAAGTTATATACGGATTTTTGATGGCACAAGGGGTCAGTGCCCCTAACCCTCATGCTGTTCAAGGGTCCATTATAGATCCAAAGGAAATAAAATCAGTATGTTGAAAAGATACCCAGAGCATTATTCAAAACAGCCAAGAGATGGGATCAACCTAAGTGTCCATCAACAGAAGAATGGATAAAGAAAATGTGGCAGATATACACAATGGAATATTAGCCTTAAAAATGAAGAAAATCCTGTCATTTGCAACAACATGGATAAACCTGGAGAACATTATGTTAAGGGAAATAAATCAAGCACAGAAAGACAAATTCCACGTGATCTCACTTACAAGTAGAATCTTAAAAAGTTAAACTCAAAGAAACCAAGAGCAGAATGGTGGTTACCAGACGCTGGGGAGTTGGGGACGTCGGGGAGGTATTGGTTAAAGGATACCAAATTTCATTTAGAAGGAACACGTTCAAGAGACCTATTGCATACCGTGGTGACTAAAGTTAATAAAAATACATTATATACCTGAAAATTGCTAAAAGAGTAGATTTTAAATTTCTAACCACACAAAATGGTAAGTATGTGACATCATCTGTATGTTAGATTTAGCCATTCCACACGTGTATATATATATATATATAAACATCATGATGCATACCATAAATATGTACAATTTTCATCAATTAAAAAAAATAAATTTTAAAAACAAAATAAAGTCATTGACACCTGGCAAGGATTGACAAATCATAGCTCAGGTAAAGGAAGGGTAAACAAATTAAACAAAGCTTGTATGTGAAATAGTGAAACCTTAAGAAATCTCTATACCCTTCCATATTTTTAATTATTGTGGTAAAATACACATAAAACTGACCATTTAAGCCATTTTTGAGTGCACAGTTCAGTGGCATTAAGTCCATTCACTTTGTTGTATCAACCATCATCACCATCCACCTCCAGAACCTGCATCTTCCCAAACTGAAACTCTGTCCTCACTAAGCACTAACTCCCCGCTTTCCTCCCCCAAGCACCTGGCACGCACCATTCCACTTTCTGTCTCTCTGAATCAGGCTACTCTAGGGACCACTAAGAAGTGGACTCATACAGCATTTGTCCTTTCACATCTGGCTTATTTCACTGAACATAATGTCCTCAAGGTTCATCCACGTTATAGCCTATGTCAGAATGTCCTTGCTTTCTCTTTTTTTTTTTTTTTTTGAGATGGAGTCTCACTTTGTCACCCAAGCTGGAGTGCACTGGCGTGATCTCGGCTCACTGCAACCTCCGCCTCCCAGGTTCAAGCGATTCTCCTGCCTCAGCCTCCTAAGTAGCTGGGATTACAGGTGCATGCCAACACACCTGGCCAATTTTTTTGTATATTTAGTAGAGATGGGGTTTCACCATGTTGGCAAGGCTGGTCTCGAACTCCTGACCTCATGATCCGCCCACCTTGGCCTCCCAAAGTGCTGGGATTATAAGCGCGAGCCACGGCACCCGGCCTAGAATGTCCTCACTTTCTATGGCTGAATTCTATTCCACCGCGTGGACGAGCCACAGTTTATTGATCTATTCGCCCATCAGTGGGCCCTTGGGTTCCTTCCACATTTCAGCAGTTATGAAAAATGTTGCTATGGTCATGGCCATACAAATACGATGCTGTTTTTCACTTCTAATTTACATGTACTATTTCTGTCATGTCCATTTCTGAAATTGTATTTATTAAAAGGATTACAATTGAATTACCTACCGTGTAAGGCCACTTTTCTGGCAATATGAAGTTTTTTTAAAGATGGAGTCTTGCTATTTCCACAGCCCCGCTTCCTCCACTCCCTGTCCAGACCAGCCCTGAACATTCCACTCCTCTCTGAACTGGGAAAGTATCAAAAACACCATACAGAAACCACCCAGCCACAAAGGGATGAAGTCTCTATTTGCCACAAATAGAGAGGGTGCTCACCGCCTGGGAAGGCACTTCCAAAGCAGCGGGCTCCAGGAGGGCAGGCCCACGGCTCTCTGCACCTCAGCTCCCAAGAGTATAAAATGGGCACTGGAGCACCTGCCGCAGGGCCCTCCCAGCTCTCCAGGCTGTGCCAGTCTCAGCATCCCGCACCGCTGCCATGGGCTTCCTCCTGCAACCCCAGTACTTTCCAGTGACTTCCTCACACTACTTACAAGGATTATCTAACAGCGTGGCTCCAGGACTGACGAGGGTATGCAGGAAGGAGAGCTCTCCTATGCTGCTGGGGCAGAGAAAACCGGGAACAGCACTTTGGTGACTGACTCAGGAATACTTGGTCAAGCTGAAGTATGCACACCAGTGACCCGCCAGGCTCATGCCTGCCCTTGGGGTCCTCCGGTGCTTGTCTGAGGAGTCGGGAGGCGGTGAACAGACACAATCGCTGCAGCACTGTCTGTGCGGACTGAGCATCCCGAATCCGAACATCCCAAATCTGAAACGCTCCAAAATCTGAAACTTTTTGAGGGCCAATGTGATGCTCGAAGGAAATGCTCACTGGAGTATTTTGGATTCGAGATGCTTGACTAGTAAAAAAATAATACAAATATTCAAAAATCCAAAAAAAGATCTGATACCCGAAACACTCCTGGCCCCAAGAATTTCAGGTAAGGGATACTCAACCTGTACTTTCAAAAAAGAGAAAATAATTTCATTATCCAGCAACAGGAGATGGGTAAGTGAGCTCGGGTTCATCTGGAATCCTGAATTATAGTTGAAGCAAAATGAACTACAAAGAAAAGAACTACAAAAACCAACCTGGAGAAGTCTCAAAATTACGGTGATCTACATAGAGAAAGCTTGTTGCAAAAGTGTACATAAAAAATGGTAAAAATGTTAAACACACAAATACCCCAGCTGTCACAGGGATACGTAAGAGGTGGGGTGAAGGGGCTGGCAGCACTCTCCTCAGTCTGGGGCCACACAGGCGTCCCCTCCTTGCTGCCTGCTAAATGGTACCCACATACCTAACTTGATAATAAAATGCAGACGGAGCCATAAAGATCATACAGCAACACAGGTAACATATAAACACAGGTTGAAAATGAAGGAAGAGCAGCCCAACTTTACAAGAACAGTCATCACTGTAGGTAGGAAGAGGAGGAATGGAGGATGGAACTTCATTATAGATGATGCTTTCCAAAATAGATTCTTTATATACACATATGGGAAATGTACATGTGAGTTATGGGGAAGGCGGGAAGCACTGCTTCCTTCTTTTCCCTCCTAAAGTGAGACCATACCATCATGTCTAACTGCAACTCTAGACTGTAAGTTACAAATCAGTGCATTCAGCAGCCAACAAGAATATACTGTATTTCTCCATGTGGAGCTGGCCTTTGGATTTGCTAGTTATGCTGAACATAACTGGCAAATAAACCATTTTTATTAATGGGGAAAATTCAGAGCCCAAGAGTAAGAAATATATAATGATAATAATAATAATAATAATAACAACAGCAACAATAATATAATAAGTACAAGGGTAAGATTTGTATTGAAGAGAAAATTTCAGCTGGTCATGGAGAGTCACATCTATAATCCCAGCACTTTGGGAGGCTGAGGTGGGAGGATCACTTGAAACTAAGAGGAGGTCAAAACCAGCTTAGGCAACATAGCAAGACCCCATCTCTGCAAAAAAAAGAAATTAAAAAATTAGCCAGGCACGGTGACACGTGCCTGTAGTCCCAGCTACTCAGGAGGCTAAGGCAGGAGGATCATTTGGGCCCAGAAGTTTGAGGGTACAGTAAGCTGATGCCCCTGCACTCCAGCCTGGGCAACAGAGCGAGATCCCATCCCTAAAACAATACAAAACAAAGCCAAAAAAGAGAGAGAGAAAATGTCTTAGGACTTATTACAGAAGCTTTTATGCTTTATGCTATCTGACCAGTCTAGTAAGTGGAGCACATAAACTGTTAGCAACAGGAAAATGAATTCTACATAACATCTACATAGTTCATATACACATAAATATATGTACATAAATCTAGATATATCATAAATATATAAAGTCTACAACATGATGTGCATATTTGAGCAACAGATATCAGATGTCCTGAGATACAATTCACCTGTTGAAGCTATACAAATCAATGGTTTTAAATATATTCGCAGAGTTCTACAACTATCACCACCATCAGTTCTAGAACATTTCATCACCCCAACATGAAACCTTCAACCCATCAGCAGTTACTCTCCATTTTCCCCCAAGAGTCCCTCACCCAGGCCTTGGCAACACGAATCTCCTTTGTGTCTCTGCAGGTTTATCTATTCTGGATGGTTCATATAAATGGAACCACACAATATGAGGTTTTTGTGTCCAGCTTTTTCTACTTGACACGGTATTTTCAGGGTTCATCCGCACCGGAGCGAGTGTCAGAATCTCGCTCCTTTTGAAGGCGGAATAACGTCCCATTATGTGGACGGATCACACTTTCTTCATCTACCCATCAGCTGATGGGCCAGATGGTTGTTTTGATTTTTTTCCTAGTGTAAGGGTTCCGCATTTTCAATGATTCTAAACAAAGCAAACTCCCCGTCCCCGGCATCAAGTTCACCTCTTCCTGCAGGGAATGGGCTCCTGGGCTCACCTTCTCCTCCGCCGACCTGAGCACGCTGGAGACCTCCTGCACCACCAGCTCCAGTGCCTGCTGCCGCGGGTCCTCCTCAAAGGACAGGAAAGGTGGGCCCTGGAACAGAGGGGCAGCATGAGGAGGGCATGCACAGGAGGGGCTGCATCTTTTAAATTACATATCTGTTTAAAGTTCTGAAAAATTAAGAAAATGTACTAACACATCTTTCTGTGAACTCTGTGCTTCTAATAGCAGCAATGGCTAAATATCAGGAGCTCTGCACATCCAAGGAGCAGCTGGTGATGGATTGTGCTCAGTGGGCAGGATTCAGTTATGGGAGAAGGCTGGGAAAGGACAGGAACCCGGGAGTAAACCTGAAGATGCTGCAGGAAGGCAGCGAAGGGTGTTTTGAATCTTCCTGCTGACAGCATAAGGAAAGAAACAGACTCTTGGGGCAGGGCTGCTTCGTGCAAATCAGAGGATCTGTGGGTCTAGCGGCGCACCTCGCCCAGCACAGAGGGCTCCAGGCTGTGTCCTCCCTGTTGCTAGGGACAGTCCTCTATTCTGGTCTAGGAGAGGCACCTCTCCTGTTGCGTGTGGTTGCTGTGGTACGATTACTTAGGGTGCCCCCCATTCTCCTCTCCTACCCCCCAGGGGCTGGCCTCTCCCTGGGATCTGAGAGGGTGGCCAAGATTCCTTGGCTGGAAATGAACCCGCCTGGTGGCTGCCCACAGAGTAGACTCCTCAACCCCTACTTCACAGCCCTCTGGAGCCACCTGGCCCCAAGGTTCACCTGTGCCCGTGGCTCTGCATGTTCCCCCAGCATCCTTCCAGGAAACTCGGTCAGCTCATGTCTGTTCTGGTTCTTCCAGTTAAAAATCTCCAAGCAAAGCCAGGCATGGTGGCTCACACCGGTAATCCCAGTACTTTGGGAGGCCAAGGTGGAAGGATTGCTCAAGGCCAGCAGTTCGAGACCAGCCTGGCCAACACGGTGAAACCCTGCCTCTACCAAAAATACAAATATTAGCTGGGTGTGGTGGCACACGTGTAATCCCAGCTACTCAGGAAGCTGAGGCATGACAATCACTTGCACCCAGGAGGTGGAGGTTGTATTCAGCTGAGATCACACTCCAGCCTGGGCGACAGAGTAAGGCCCTGTCTCAAAAAGAAAAAAAAAATTCTCCAAACGAGAGACGCACAATTAAATGAACAGGACCACAAGGCAACAAGGCCAACGTTTTATGACGAAGAACCCAGGGCTTATGTGACCAACCAAGTCTTGTCCAAGTCTTGTCTAGCTCTCGAGAGGCCAAACGTGTACATCAACAACACAATCCCAGATCGAAACTCTCCTAGAACTCTGTTCCTGACATGCTGTAGAAAGCACACCGTGTTTCAATGAGCTCCGACTGGGTGGTTAAAAAACACACAGCCCCACAAGCTCCCATCGTATCTCATCTCCACCGTGGTGAGCTAGGTCCAGCTACAAGGCGTGACCGAGGGTGGGAGAGGGGAAGCGGTGTAAAACCTTGCCGTGGCGATTCCAGCAAGCATGGTGCAAGTGAGCAAGCGATGAGGTTACGCTGTGGCTATTTCTCAAGAATGCCCAATGACCCGCGTAAACCTAAAGGGGACAGAACATTTTGATTTATAGGCTTCTAACCTCACCCTTTTCTTACACTGTCTATCTCATCCCCCAAAAATCAGCAGAGAATTAAATGTACTGCTCGAGAGGGCTGAAATCACAGTTTCAGGGCTGCTCTGCTGGCATTCTCTGTGGTGGGAGCTTGTTTGAGTGGGACCTGCTGGCCAGGGCCACGCTCTGAGCTTGGTGATGAGACGGTTCTGTGCACCAGGCTCTCTGGCCTGAGAGAACAGAACCCAGCACAGAGGCCAGTGCCAGGCAGAGAACCATGAGCAGGCAACATGCCAGCCGCTCGGAGGATGCAGCGGAGAAACAATGTACCTTCTGTAGGAGCCTAAAGATACGCTGTTGCCTTATACCAGCCTGGGTGCAGACTCATGCTCCCCTGAGGCGGCAGATGCAGTGTTTACCCTCTTCCCTTGCTACCTTCTGAATTCAAACCTTGAAAAGAGTTTGCAGCCGGGTGCCACGGCTCACGCCTGTAACCCCAGCACTTTGGGAGGCCGAGGCGGACGGATCACGAGGTCAGGCGATCGAGACCATCCTGGCTAACATGGTGAAACCCCGTCCCTATTAAAAATACACACACACAAAAAAAATTAGCCAGGCGTGGTGGCAGGTGCCTGTAATCCCAGCTACTCGGGAGGCTGAGGCAGGAGAATGGCATGAACCCGGGAGGCAGACCTTGCAGTGAGCCGAGATCATGCCACTGCACTTGAGCCTGGGCGACAGAGCGAGACTCTGCCTCAAAAAAAAAAAAAAAAAAAAAGAAAAGAAAAGAGTTTGCTGGAAAACTTAAGGTCAAGGGATGGTCTCACAAAGAAAATAAGTTATTAAGAGAGATTGCTTTTCCTTTTCTGATCTGCCTAGTCCTTGAGTTTCAGGAGCAGGGTGTGCCTGCCTGCCACACACAACCACAAATTCAGGTATCTCTGCATCTCTGCTGCTGTGTCAATGCTGACAGAACCCTCATTCCAGACCCCACTCCACTTAGACTAAAGGAAGACTTTGTGTCCACATAGAAAAAGAAACACACAAGAATTGCCAGGAAAACACTGAAAAAGGAAGACAAGGGTGACTAGCTCCACCAGATATTAAAACAGACTATAGAAACCCCGTAATTAAAACTGTGTGGCTCTGGTGCACCAACAAACACATGCACTACGAATGAACAATATAACCACACTGAAGGGGATGGGAAAAACACGGATATAACCTAAGAAGCTTGGAAAACTGCATCTTGACTGCATATAAATGCTATAATCCAGTAAATGTGTTTCATAGGTTGGGAACTCAGAAACTACTTCATGCATATACTAGAACTGAACACATAAGTAGTAAGTAAATAAGACAGCAGGTGTGCAATGTCTTACTCTTGGAGAAGGGAGTTAAGAATAAGAAAGTGAAAAAACTAAAATGAACTCTGTACCGTTGGACTAGAACCCAAGGTACAGGATACAATCACGGTTTTTCAGATAAACACAGAGAGAAATACACAGAAATATAGACATGCGCACACACGTTGGTATACACACGTATGTTTGCTATTGCTGAACACTGAAGGGGAGCAATGAGAACCAAGAGGTAATGAACACACTTAATGCCTAGGTCTTGGTTTCTAAACACTTCTCCAATAAAAGGAATCAGGGCTGCTTGAAGAAGTGGCTGAATCCAGGGCCTGTGGGGAGCCAAAAACAAATATTTTGTGGAAACATGAAGTAAGGAAATGAAAAAAAAAAAAAGTGGGCTTGATGGAAGAACACAAGAGGCTACTCTCAAAGGAGCACCCTGATGGCCCAAAGGAGAACAACCTAAGCAACTGATTCGGTTTGGCTCTGTTTGTAACCACCATGTGTCAAGAGAGGGACCTGTAATCCTCACCTGCAGAGGGAGGGAGGTAACTGGATCATGGGGCAGTCTCTCCCATACTGTTCTCATATAGTGAGTTCTCACAAGATCTGATGCTTTTCTAAGTGTTTGGAAGTTCCTCCTTCCTTCTTCCCTCTCCTGCCGCCTTATGAAGAAGGTGACGGCTTTCCCTACCATCATGATTGTAAGTTTCCTGAGGCTTCCCCAGCCATGTGGAACTGTGAGTCATTAAATGTCTTTCCTTTATCAATTACCCACTCTCAGGGAAGTCCTTTAGAGCAGTGTGAAAACAGACTGATACAACAATATAATAAATAGTGATAGTATGGGATTATAACCCACAGAATAAAATCCATATCCATGAGTCCATATTGAGCTAAACAATCAGATAAATATCTCATTGGAGGAGAAATGACAGTTCTGTCTTGCGGGAGAGTTCCAAATAATAAAGACAGTAAGGAAGAGGAAACAGAAAGTCACCATCAAGAGAACTGCACCTGCGCCATCACTGCACACAAGATACACCAATGGTTGCGAAATCAGTGAGGAAGAGTTTAAGGAGCAACGGGCTCTGTACAGGCTCAAAGCATCTCCCCACACTACCTGTTAACTACAGCAGGAAAGATAAAGGAGGTGACATGATGTGGATCTGTGTCCCTGCCCAAATCTCATGTCGAATTTTAATCTCCAGTGTTACCAGATGGGCCCGGTGGGAGGTGACTGGATCACGGTGCGGGGAGTTCTCATGAATGGCCTAGCACCATCTCCCCTTGGTGCTGTACAGTGAGTGAGTTCTCATGAGATCTGGTTGTTTAAAAGTGTGTAGCACCTCCCGCCTCTTTCTCCCCCTCCTGCTCTGGGTCATAGAAGATGACCTTCACCTTCCACCAGGATTGTAAGTTTCCTGAGGCCTCCGCAGAAGCAGAACCTGCTATACTTCCTGGACAGCAGAACCATCAGCCAATTAAACCTCATTTCTTATAAACCACCAGTCTTTCTGGCATTTCTTTCTGGCAATGCAAGAAGGGACTAATACAGGAGGAGACATAAAATACAAGAGGATGACCCCAGCAGAAGTCACCTTAACCAAGGCACCAAGCTCAGCATCCTCTACAACAAGACACGCTGACATCACAAGCCCCAGACACAGTGCACACCACTTCTGTGGTTTGTGTAATCTCGCTCCAACCATATGAAAATGCCAGGCAAATGGAAAGACAGTCAGCAAAATAATGATCAACAGTCTTTAGTTATCAAGGTCATAAAAAACAAAGAAAGACTGAGAAACCCTGACAGACTGCAGGTGATGAAGAAGGAACAACTCAACGCCACAGGTACCCTTAATGGGACCCTAGAACAATACAAGGAGACAGGTGGAAAACTGGTGAAATTCAAAGAAGGCCTTCGCTTTTGTTGTTAGGCATTGTGACAATGTTAATTTCTTTTTCTTTCTTTCTTTCCTTTCTCTTTTCTCTCTCTCTCTCTCTCTCTCTCTCTCCCTCCCTCCCTCCCTCCCTCTCTCCTTCTTTTTTGAGACGGAGTTTCACTCTTGTTGCCCAGGCTGGAGTGCAATGGCGCGATCTCGGCTCACTGCAACCTCTGCCTCCTGGGTTCAAGCAATTCTCCTGCCTCAGCATCCCGAGTAGCTGGGATTATAGGCATGCACCACCACGCCCAGCTAATTTTGTAATTTTAGTAGAGATGGGGTTTCTCCATGTTGGTCAGGCTGGTCTTGAACTCTTGACCTCAGGTGATCCGCCCGCCTCAGTCTCCCAAAGTGCTGGGATTACAGGCGTGAGCCACTGCGCCTGGCCTAATTTCTTGAACTATTACATTGCATTAATCTCCTTGTGTTATGAATCATAGTAACATGCCACCAATGTTAATTTCTTGGTTCTGATCATTGAGCTGTGGTTATGCAAGGTTGAGTGAGGAATATATGAAAGTTGAATTATTTTTTCAACTTTTCTGTGAAAGCAGTTCAAAATAAAAAGTTTAAAAAATAAGACTTTAAAGAGAGCAGCCCACCTTTATTGTCTCACTATGTCCCAGGCATTTTGCTAAATGTCTCACACAGATCTGATCTCACCTCTAGGAGAGTGGATTTTGTTTTCTGGATTGAATCCAGTTTTCCCTTCTGCAGATGATGCACAGAGACTCTCCCAGGATCGCACAGCTAGGAGGGTAGAGCTGGAGCACAAAGCAAACCCGCAACCAGCTCCAGAGCTTCCCCACGGGCCCTTCCACGGGCTGAAGAAGTGCCTTCCCTCCTCAGCAACCTACCAGGGGCCCGCGGGAGTGGAAGTTAGCGTTGGGGGAATTTTAGTTGATGTGAACGCTACACCCACACTTTCCTGAATCCCTGTCTTGTTGGGAGAATGGGTTAGTGCAAAGAACAAACTGAACTGGCGCCTATTCCTGGGTTTGGCATTGATGACTTGCAAAGTCATCAGAGCCTCCTTTAATGTTGATGCTTTAGAAGTGAAAAACAAAGCACATTAAACAGCTTGTTTTGCCCAGGCCTGGCTGGCTCCCAAGACAGAAGGCCTGAGTCCAGATGGGGGAATGGGCATCACCACTGTTTCTCCTCCTCCAGAGGCCCATGATTCACCCCACTGAGACCAGGGCCTGCCCCGAGCCGGCTTTGTGCTGGGCACTGGGTCTGGCTCTGCCCAGACAGCCCCTGGCTCTGCCCCAGCTCACAATGCCGGGAGCTGACCAGGGCATAAGTGACTCCGGGGGGGTCGGGAGGAGGGCAGGGCGGGGAGCATCTTGGCTGAAGGGGAGGATCAGGGACCTCTGAGCTGAGACCCAAAAGATTTAGAGAAGTTAAATAAGCAGGAAAAAAGATAAGAATTCCAAACAAAAGGAATGACCCGTGGGAAGGCCCACACAGGAAAGGTCCCTGGACACTGGAGCAACAGAAGGGGTCACGGTGGAGGGTGCAGGGTTCACAGCCCCAAAGAGGCCCAAGTTCCTTCTACTGGAGGAGGGAAGGGCAGCTCCATGGTCCTTCCCCACAGTGGTCACCACAGTTCTACCAACTGGCTTCCTACACCACAGCCACTGTCATTGGTCAAGGAGTTTGGACTTCGTGAGCACAACTGGAAGGTCATTATATAATGCAAAGACTCTGAAGTCTGGTGGCCACTTTGTTTACTTTTTAAATGCAGAAACTCCTATTCAAGTCAGTGCTATTAATAATATGTTCCAAGTCCACACAGCATCTTTTTTTTTTTTTTTTTTTTTTCTTTTTTTTTACAAAGACCATAATGATCATAGTCTTGATCATTTGCAATTAGAACATACCTCTAAAGAAACCCTGGGCTGAAGGACTAAAGAAACAAACAGCGTTGGGGACCCTCCTAGTCCGGGGCCTCATCCCACTCAGGTGGGCCGCTACCAGACAAGCCCAGAGCACAGGCCACGGAACACAGGCCTCGCTTCGGGACAGGTGCTGCCCACACATGGTCCAGACAGCATCAGCCTTGGGAGGAGTTCTGGGCAGCCCACGGGCAGCGGCCATCAGAGGCAAGCATGCTGGATCCCAGAGTCGAGGAGACTGTAGGACAGCAGTCCCGGAGACTCCCAAGGGGATGTTGGGGGTGTAACTGATTATCATGGACCACTTTGTAAATATTGATGTAATCGCAGGGGAGCAAAAGGAAAAGCTCAACTGCTGCTTTTGGATACCATAATATTAGTTCTCAGTCTAAGGAGCCTGACCTGAGACTGAGCCAGTTCTGGGATCTTCTGTTCTGTGTGACCAAAGAGTGATCACATCAATGGGAATTAGGGGTCTGCAACACCACACCAAGTGGAGAGGCAAGAGTCAAAGCTCAAACAATTGCTTTTACGTGGTGCTGGGTGAAAGAGGAACTCTATTTACACTGTTGGTGGGAGTGTAAATTAGTTCAACCATTGTGGAAGACAGTGTGACGATTCCTCAAGGATCTAGAACTACAAATACCATTTGACCCAGCGATCCCATTACTGGGTATATATCCAAAGGATTATAAATCATGCTACTATAAAGACACATGCACACATGTTTATTGCAGCATTATTCCCAATAGCAAAGACTTGGAACCAACCCAAATGCCCATCAATGATAGACTGGATTAAGAAAATGTGGCACATATACACCATGGAATACTATGCAGCCATAAAAAAGGATGAGTTCATGTCCTTTGCAGGGACATGGATGAAGCTGAAAACTATCACTCTAAGCAAAGTATCACAAGGACAGAAAACCAAACACCGCATGTTCTCACTCATAGGTGGGAGTTGAACAATGAGAACACATGGACACAGGGCGGGCAACATCACACACCAGGGCCTGTCAGGGACTGGGCGGCTGGGGAAGGGATAGCACTAGGACAAATACCTAATGTAAATGACAAGTTGATGGGTGCAGCAAACCAACATGGCACACGTATACCTATGTAACAACCTGCACGTTGTGCACATGTACCCTAGAACTTAAAGTATCATAATAAAAAAAAAAAGGAAAAAAAAGAAAGAGGAACTCTGATGGATGGCAAGTGTGTACTAGCAGCTTCTCACCAGTGATTCTCAACCATGGGACACTCTCAAAGTGTGCTCCCCAAGCCTACTGAGGCGGATGTGGGGGGCAGGCACGTGTGTCACTAAGCTCTCTGGGCAAGACTCCTGTGATCCCTGCACACCTGGCGTCCACCTGGCCAGCAGGCAGATCAGCAATGGTTTCCTCCAAAGTCAGTGCAAATCACTGTCACATATAATTTAGACCCCTTTCTGGAGTGAGGGTGGGAATCCGAGGTCCCCTGCAATACGGGGAGTCAGTGCTGCTGCAGTGGTCATCAGAGAGCAGGAGGACTCCTCCGGTGCTGACCAGTCCTTGGATCCTGGAAGGTGCGAGCCCCACTGTTTGGGATAACACATTAACAACTCTACTCTCTGAGCTCTTCTCGCTGGCTCTCATTTAAAGGAAACATTTAGGTCTCCAAGTTGATACTGCATCCCACCAGGGAACAGGCTGCAGCCACCAATGCGCAGACCTTGGCAAATTCCTCCAGTTCACGGGCCTCAGTCTCCCCTTCTGGAGAAGGGGCTTGGCTAGAAGAGTTTAGGGTTTCTTTCCATCTTAAAATACAAAGGTGGGGTAAAACTTGGAATGGGAGGAGTTATTGTCTCAATTGGACAGAAAATTCCACTTTTCAGACAGAATGCTGGACATGATTAAGTTATTACCAGTGTCTTCTCAATCCCTAAGCGACAGGCCAAGAACTGGTCTCCTCCCTGGGTAGGACAGAGTGATATCAGGACAAGGCAGAGGCAGGAGGGGGAGCACTAAGCTGTAGCTGTCCAGGCGAGAGCGGGCTTGGAGTGTCAGCCCTAATCCGGGATTAGTGGGAATGGAGGTGGGGGAGGGCAGCCACGAATGGACACAGCAGCCCCTGCTCTCCCACACCGCCATCACTGTCACAACAGCGATGGCCCAGGATGCTGGGATGTGTGTGACAATCGCTGGACTCGGGGCGGCCAGGAATGCAAACACCACTACCTGCTCACCCACAATGCCATCACTGACACGGCAGCGACGGCTCAGGATGCCGGGAGGGTGTGTGACCGTCACTCACAGGGAGCCCAGTCACCCAGATCCTATCTGCCTGCAAAACCTTCCATTTGAATGCAAATCAAATGACATTCCCAGGCATCAGGGCTGTGTTCCCCCACCCCCGTCCCCAGGAAAGTAAGCAATACCAAAAACTGACATCACAGAACTAATGGACTATGTCCATGCAAAAATGCCAGAGATGGCCCTGGGTTGCTTTGAGCATGAATCCGGGACACTGTTGCCTCTTCCAGGCAGGAGGTCAGGAGAGACAGGTGTCTGAGACTGCAGTGTGTGGCCAACAGCAGAGAGAGAACAGAGAAGGCGCAAACAAGGTGAGACCCTCTCTCCTCTCCCTGAACGCAACCCCTCCCTGCTCCCACACAAAGACTCAAGTAAAAAGTTTTCATCCAAAACTTTCAAATATTTCTTTCAGTGTTCTCAGATTGACTTGACCAGCCTAAGACAGATGCCAGGGACATCCTCTTCTCTGCCTCTCAACACTTCAGTCAGATGGGAATATGGAAGGATCATATCCAAGAGGATCATATTTTCTGAAGCCAATCCATAGATGTCAGGAAACGAACCATCCCAAATATACAGGAGGTAGGGTCACTGCCTCTAAGCCTGAAACTCCAGAGTTAGAAGCTGAACTTAAAGGTCATTCACCCAACACTTGCCTGCCTCCTACAAAGGACACAGATGAGACTGGTGCCCAATCAAGCCACCAGCCTGGAGGGGACTCAGCCTCAGAAGCCTTGATTCCAGGTCAGTCAGGGGTCAGTGATGGCAGCTTCCTGGGGAAATACCTGCATTTGCTCCTGGATGTGAGGCCAACAGGGGTGGAGGGCTCCCACAAGAGACAGCTGGTTTCCCTGAGACACTCTCCAGCTCTGGACAGCTGAGGCACAGATTCTGGGCACCAGGACAAAAGTCAGTCAACTGACCCTGAAGCCTTTTTCCTCCAAAAAGTACAGTCATTTATGTTCTTTTTCAAGAGTTCAAAACAAGGTCTCTTGATTTGTTGGATGGCTGCTAACTGATAGTCAAAGCTTTTTTGTTTTTTAATTCCATGGCCATGTCTTCCAAGGCCATGCACAAGGACCAGGCACAGGGCCCGCCATGGAATATTTTGAAGGTTGATGGGGCCGGACATTGAAAATGAGCAATTCTGCTATTTCCACAGCGAATGACCACTGAGCTGCACAGGCATGTGCAGGAAACTGTGGCCTGGAAGGGCGGAGCAGCGGCCAAGACTAGGGGTGCCTCCCCAAACCCACCCAGGCTCCAACTTCTCCTGTGAAATGCCTAAGAATAGTACATGCCAGGAGCTTGTCGTTATACTAAGATGTCTTAAAAGCAAAAATAAGTCAACGAGTAATCAGCGACTACAGAAACACCCACAGGACTGTGAGGCAGCAGAGGTAAGACACGAGGCCCTTAGCTTGCAGGCCAGGGCAGCTGGATTCACATGCCAGCTCTGCCGCCCACGAGCTGTGTGGCACTGGGCAGGCTGCTTGCCCTCTCCGGGCCTTGGTTTCCTCATCTGTAAAACAGTGATAACACCCCTGTCCCGGGAGTTGTGAGGATTCAGAGATGGCAGACGCACCGAAAGCCTCGGTAGGATGTCTGCCCAGCGGCTGGCCCTCAGCAAACGGTCACTATTTTTATATGCCAAGAAATGCAAGTCTTTGGAGATAAATTCTTGGTGAAATTCAGCTCTATGAGAGGCGGAAGCACATTGGGGTCACAGCTATTCATGTATCATGTGCAAGCTCAGTAAGTGTCCGATCGGGCACGGGAATTCGCCCCGGGACTCCAGGCAAGGCAGGTACTGGCTGGCGCGGATGAGCACTTCTGACGGTCCCTCCAACTGCCAGCCTGTCCCTCGCGGAGCCCAGGGCCTGGAGCACCTGCCGTTTGGAGAATAAAATCAATCACTTTGTCTTGTCTCTCCGTCAAGGGGCCTCGCTCCCCCGTCTCTCTCCTAACTCTCGAGGATGGTCTGCGCTGGGGGGAGGACTCCCTTAGCCTGGGTCAGGGGCTGCAGCGACGCCTCCAGGAAAGACCTCGGCCCGGACCGCCCGCCCCGGCATCTGCCGCCCCCCGGCCCGCAGTCCCGGAAACTCACCCCTTTCCTCTCGGCCTCCTCGTTCAGGGCGGTCACCCAGGCCGCCTGCCACTGGCTCCTCCAGCTGCCCAGCGTCAGGATCCAGGAGAGCAGCGCGTCGGACCCCGGGCGCGGCCCCTCTCCAGGCTCCACCGCCCGCCGCTGGGGCTGGGGTCGCGCCCTGGCCAGCGCCCACTGCGCCAGGTACAGGCCTACCGTGGCCAGGGCCGCGACGAAGAGCGACACCAGCGCGAGCCACTGCGCCTCCCCGAGCCACGAGCCCAGCCGGGCCATGGCCATGGCGCATCCCCGGCCCGCCTCGCCCCAACTTCCCCGGCAGCCCCGGGCCGGAACGGCGGACTCAGGACACGCGCTGGCTGCGGCCACAGCGCGCTGGGGGCGTGGAGGGGGCGCGGCGGGGTCGGAGCCCGGCGAGGAGCGTGGCCGGGGGCCTCTGGGCGGGCAAGCGGGGAGGAAACGCGCGGCGGCCGCGGCCCGGGCTGGGCGCAAGCCCCGCACACCTGCGGAACAGGGGCGCGAGCGGACCCCGCGGCCCGCGCTCCCGACTCGGCGTCTGGGAAGTTCCTGGGCCGCTGCGGGCCGCGCTTCCTCCTGCGCGCGCCGCCCCGGGCGTCCCGCCCGCGGCCCAGCGGTGGCCGGAGGAGGCTCTGGCCGCGGGGCGGGGCGGGGCGGGGGCGGTGCCCGAGGGAGGGGGCGCGGCCGGGCCTGCGGGGGCCGCAGTCCTCCCCCCTGCTCCCAACGCGGCGTGCCCCCGCCCCCCTAAAGGCCCGGCCTTCCCGGCCCCGCCACGTGCGCGCGTCGCCCGCCCCTCCGGCGCCTGCCCGCGGGCCGCGAGGTGACCCGGGCCTCCGGATTCATCAGCCCAACCCCGGCGGCTGCTGTGCGGCTGCTTGGCTTGGCTCGTGTGCGCGCTTGCACAAGTGCGTGTGTGTGCACATGTGTGAGTGTGCGTGTGCACAGCGCGCAGTCAGGGTGATTTCGAGGACTGCCATTTGCTCGCCAGCGAGACAGGATCCAGGCTCAGTCCTCGGAAAGTCCCTGGAAATCCGTGGCTGCCCCTGGAGCCAGGGGCTGGGCCTGCCTTAGGGGGCGTGCTTCTCAGAGGCAAGGAGGGGCTCAGCACCAGGCCCAGGCCCTGCCTTCTGTGTGGCTGTGTCATTCATTCAGTGTGCGGGTGGGGCGGGGGTGCATGTGGTGTGATGTGTGTGGCGCATGTGGTGTGATGTGTTGTGGGTGTGGTGTGTGGTGCACAGGATGGTGTGAGTGTGTATGTGTGGTGCATGGGTGTGGTGTGTGTGTAAGCGTGGTGCATGTGGTGTGGTATGTGTGTTGCGTGCCAGTGTGGTGCATGTGGTGTGTGTGATGTGTAAGCGTGGTGCATGTGGTGTGGTGCGTGTGTGGTGTGTCGGTGTGGTGCATGGGTGTGTGTACGTGTGATGTGTAAGTGCACAGCATGTGGTGTATGTGTGTGGTGTGTGGTGCACAGGATGGTGCGAGTGTGTATGGTGGTGCATGGGTGTGTATGTGTGATGTATAAGTGCAGTGTGTGTGGTGTGTGTGTGTGGTGTGTGTGTGTGATGTGTAAGCGTGGTGCATGTGGTGTGGTGCGTGTGTGGTGTCGGTGTGGTGCATGGGTGTGTGTACGTGTGATGTGTAAGTGCACAGCATGTGGTGTGTGTGTGTGGTGCATGTGGTGTGTGTGGTGTGTATGTGTGATGTGGTGTGGTGTATGTATGTGGTGTGTCAGTGTGGTGCGTGTGTGTGTGGTGCACAGGGTGATGTGAGCGTGTGTGTGTGGCACATGGGTGTGGTGTGGTGCTGTGTGTATATGTATTGTGTAAGTGCGTTGCATGTGGTGTGGTTTGTGTGTGTGGTGAACACGGTGGTGTGTGTATGTGTGGTACATGGATGTGGAGTGTGTGTATGTGTAATGTGTGAGTGCGGTGCATGTGGCGTGGTGTGTGGGTGGTGTGTCAGTGTGGTGCATGTGGTATGGTGTGTGTGTGTGTGGTGTGGTGTGTGGGACATGCCCCTGTGCCCTCCTCTTGCAGAGTGGACGCGGTCCTTAGGGAGTGCCATAGAAACATACTAGCCTGAGATTCTCCGGGGCCTAAAACAGGCCTAAACCATAAAAAAGTGATTCCCCTGTTATTTTCTGCAGCTGTATTAAGGGGACTTGACCTTGAAAGGAATTAGATAGACTGAGCATTTGGCCTTCTCTTCCCTAGCCAGGAGTCTGCTGCGGGGCCAGTGGATGGTCCATCAGAGGGGATTCTGGCCCTGAATCCGTGGGCCCGGATTTTCTTCAGGAAAGAGGAAGGAATGGCACAGCAGCTGGACGGAGAGCCTTTGTGGGGAACAGGATAGGACGCTGTCAGGGAGGTGAAATTAGACGGGGATTGCCCAGGTGAGCTGGGGATGGACCCTTGCGAGCCAGGTCTGTTATCAGAAAGTGGAAATAAGAATGAGACTATCCATCCTGGCTAACATGGTGAAACCCCGTCTCTATTAAAAACACACACACACACAAAACTCAGCCGGGCGTGATGGCGGTCGCCTATAGTCCCAGCTACTCGGGAGGCTGAGGCAGGAAAATGGAGTGAACCCGGGAGGCGGAGCTTGCAGTGAGCCGAGATCGCGCCACTGCACTCCAGCCTGGGCGACAGAGCGAGACTCCGTCTCAAAAAAAAAAAAAAAAATTAAGAATGAGACCATCAGCATCCTGCAAGTGACCCATGTGTTACACACGAGCGCTCCAGTCTGCCGCAGCCTCTTAAGGGTGGGGGGAACTGCTCTTCTTTTCTTCTATTCTGTGTTATTTTAGGCAGAAACAAAAGAAATCCCTTCTTATTTGGCAGAAAAGTCTAATTATGTTCTGACCTGTAGCTAGACCTATGCAGTCAGATAATTCGAGTCCTGCTGGTCCCCTTGCCAGAATAACCGGGGTGAGGAATCCGAGGGCCCAGTGTTCCCCGTGCCATGTGTGCACACAGGCCGCCTGCGGCTGTGTGGGCAGTGACGAGAGCCTGTCCTGTGTGACCGGTGGAACCCGTCTCATTCCTTCAGGTCTCAGGTGTGCTGGCCCATCCCACTTACTTATTTAGAGGCTTGTAACAAACTGTAAACTAACCAGCACCCCTAGTTTGGGATTTGTCACACTTCCATGTGACAAATTTTCTTTTCTTTCTTTCTTTAATTTCTTTCTGTATTTTGAGGCAGAGTCTCACTTTGTCACCTAGACTGGAGTGCAGTGGCACAATCTCGGCTCACTGCAACCTCCGCCTTCCAGGTTCAAGCAATTCTCCTGCCTCAGCCTCCCGAGTAACTGGGACTACAGGCGCCTGCCACCACGCCAGCTAATTTTTGTATTTTTAGTGGAGACGGGGTTTCACCATGTTGGCTAGGCTGGTCTTGAACTCCTGACCTCAGGTGATCTGCCCACCTCAGCCTCCCAAAGTGCTGGGATTACAGGTGTGAGCCACTGTGCCTAGCCCCGTTAAGTGTTTTCAAAGATAATGTCAACATGTAGATATTGGATTACTTACGTGTAGAAGCAAATCGAGGGAAAATAAGGAATGATGCAGGCTTGCAGGACAATGCAGTTGGCCAAAACACGAAATCGGAACAGAAACATCTTATAAATCTATGAAAAAGAGCAGGCTCCCTTTACACAAGCTCCCAGCCCTACACATCCACCAACTCCCAGTCCCCTTCTCCCACTGCAGAAGACACTGGAGGGCTGGGTTCTCCCAGAGCACAGGATTCTGCCTCACCCCCAGTGACATTTCCTGCTCCCGGCACCTCTCTCTCCACCACATCTCCCTTCCACCCAAGGAGTGAGACTGCAGCTCTGCCCGGGGAGGGCTTCTGTCTCCACCAAAACCTTCAAATGGGTCTCTGTCACTCTGCAGTGGTTGTTTGCTATTTTTAGCTGCTCATAAAGGGAAAGCACTGTGGCTGTGGCCCCTCCTGCATGCTCACCTTGAGCTCCCAGCTCCCAGCTGTTTAGGTCAAGCTAAGCCCGCTTCCCATCCATCTGCTGGGTCCACCAGAAACCTTGAACCAGGGCTGCCTTCGCTAGCATGGCAGGCCTCCAGGCGGGAAGGAGGAAGCCAAGTGTCTAAATTCTTCATAATGCTTTACAGTAGCTGGGTTTGAGGCCACAGTCAAGAGCCACTGTTCTATTTTTCACTTTAAAACATTTCTAAATGCTGGTGGTGGAGATGAGAATTGTCTGTTGGATGATCTCTGCTGAGTCACCCAGTCTTGGGTGCAGTGCCTCATCCCTGCCTCAAAGCTGTAAGTCTTTGAACGTCTTCCTCTCCCAAGCCCAGGAGGTTCTGGGATGCTGTGACATTTTTAGAAATTAATAGATATGTCTAGTGTCATGTATGTCATGTATCGCACGTCTATAAACAGTTATACTTTGTTATACTTTTGGGTTTTAAAAAATTCTTTTAGAAAAATGTGGGACTTTTGTTAAGTTTTCAATGTCATTCTTAAATTTCTAGAAGCAGGGAAAAGAAGAGCGTCCAAAATGTTTATAGTTTGTCTCTGAGTGAAAAGTTTCCCCTTCACCCTGAAGCAGTTCACATTATTAGTATTGCTTGAATTATCAAGTTGTGCCCCAATATTGTGAGACCAGCACCTTGGGGGCCCCGGGGAGCTGTGATGGTCACTTCACAGGCCCTACCAGGGACCTCTAGCAAGTGGAAATACACAGCTTCCCCCCAGCAGCACTTGGGGGCAGACGTTTCGAGAATTCCCTCTTAGCAAAATGCTTTTAGCACTTGGCTCAGTGCCCTCGGCAGCTGCTGTGGGAAGCGAGATTTCTGGAGACCAGAGAGGCTGTGGAGACATTTGACCCAATCTCCTTGGCTCCATCTCACTGGCTTAGTCATTTCCACCACCTGGAGGCTGGAATGTGCTTCGAGTCTATTTCCTGTACTGCTCACAGGGTCAATACCGGAGCCGGCGGACCCAACCAAAGGTCACCCGTGGCCAGAGCCTGGCCCGGCGCCAGACAGGGCTTTCCCCCCGAAGAGGGGCCGTGAGTTCTTCTAGTAATCATTTGCATGACTTATGGAGATGCTGTTCATGATGCCTTCCCCAGGAGGAAAGCAGCAATGCTGAGTAACTGCACTAACTCCCCAGGTGAGCCTCAGATGCCGCGTGAACAGTCTCTGAGAGTGAAGACCAGACTGCACGTCTGCCGTCCCTCCCAGGACCGACTGATGGAAATGGTAGTGCCATCGGCTGAGCCCCTGCCACCCTCTTGCTCCCTCCCGGGTCCCCACAGATGCACCAGGCACCCTAAGTCACCTTACGGGCGTTCAGAAAGTCATGGCTGTGTGTACCGAGCATTTCCCACCATCAGATACCACCTGGGTACTCAACTTCATGGACTCGCTTCATTTTCACAGCAACACGCAAACGAGAGCATCGCCCCATTTTAAAAATAAGGAAACTGAGTTCAGAGAAGCTCAGTAACTATCCAAGGCCACCCAGCAAGAAAGTGGCTGAGGCAGGGTTTGACCCCAGGGGCCGTGTTCTCTCCATCTCCTTTCATAAAGGTCAAGGCAAACAAATTCTCCAAAAAGAGAAAAATGTTAAAAGCTGGAAATAGAGGCCCCATTGCTAACATTCATGTGCAAAGATCTGCCTGAAGAATTGTCTTTTGTGTTCTGAAGTCCAGGAGACATGGCCTCTCAAACCCAGAGGGGAAGTTCACTCCCGGAGCTTCTGTGAAGTCCCAAGTCCTTTCTGGGAAAGACGAGAGATGAATCCAGCCCTAGCATTTGCCGTGATCAGTGTCTCTGCACAGGCGCCCACCTAGGAGAGCCTCCCAGGGTGTCCACCACCCACCCTAACAGTGAACAGCAGATACGCTGCTCCTTCAAATCCCACCCTGGTGGCGGCTCCTCAGGGACCCTGAGTCACGCCATGATGCTGGGAGGCGGCCGGGCAGCGTCAGAGGCAGGGCCTGCCAGCCTGCTGCAGGCCAGCCAGGCCTGCCAAGAGTCTGCCCCGGGCAACCCCGATGATGCATCCTGCGAGTCTGTGCCCATGCCGGGCAGACGAAGGAATGTGGCCCAGATGGCTGCCCTGCCTCTGCCAGGTGGCTTGGTTAAGCCTCCCTTGGGAATGCCCAGGAGCAAGGTGACTTGACATTTTTGCCTGTACCCAAGGCTGGGACCAATTTTATGAATGAAAATATTTAACTTCGATTCTTTTTTTGTAGAGGCGGGGTCTCACTGTGTTGCCCAGGCTGGTCTTGAACTCCTGGGCTCAAGTGATCCTCCATCCCCCATTTTTTTTTTTTTCTTGAGACGGAGTCTCACTCTGTCGCCAGGCCAGAATGCAGTGGTGCAATCTCGGCTCACTGCAATCTCCACCTCCCAAGTTCAAGCGATTCCCCTGCCTCAGCCTCCTGAGTAGCTGCAACTACAGGCACCCCCCACCACGCCCAGCTAATTTTTTGTATTTTAGTAGAGATGGGGTTTCACCATGTTGGCCAGGATGGTCTCGATCTCCTGACCTTGTGGTCTGCTCACCTCGGCCTCCCAAGGTGCTGGCATTACAGGTGTGAGCCACCGTGCCCGGCCTCCGCCCCCAATTTTTAAATATATTTCCAAGGAGGCCGTTGCATAAATTGTCTATTTTCTCCAACTCCAAAGAATGCTGGTCCCACACCTATGCACTGATAACCAAAATCACACTGTTGCAGGAATTGACCTAGAGGAATTGACCTCATGATGTGTTCCTGGGCCGGGCCCCTGTAATCCCAGCACTTTGGAAGGAGGCCGAGGCAGGAGGATAGCTTGAGCTCAGGCATTCAAGACCAGCCTGGGTAACAAAGTGAGACTCCTTCTCTATTAAAAAAATAAAAATAAAAATTAGCCAGGCGTGGTGGCTTATGCCTGCGGTCCCAGCTACATAGGAGGCTGAGGCAGGAGGATCATTTGAGCCCAAGAGGTTGAGGCTGCAGTAAACCATGTTTGCACCACTGCACTCCAGCCTGGGCAACAGAGCAAAGACCTTGTCTTGAAAAAAATAAAAAAAGATGTGTTCATCATGTAGAAGTTGAGTTTGTAAGGATGTGTCAGGTGGCAGCAGGAGTCTGGAGAGAGGGTGCACGGAGGAAGAGAGAGATGACTTCGCTGGAATGAGATGACCCCTCCCCATGCTGAGACTCTCAATGAATGCCATGCACAGCCTCCAGCTAGGGGTGGCCACAGCGGGGCCTTGCTCGCCTTGCTCGCTGGGGACAGCCCCTAGGCTGCAGGACTAGAGTTGCTCCTAGCTTCTCAGAACCTGCGGGATCTGCTTCTGCAGCTCCAGTGATATGGCCGTTCCCAGCACTGACTCTGGAATAACACTTGATCTATAGGCGGCTCCACTAGAAAAGAGCCAAGCCCCGCAAGTCAGAGGGGTCTCCCCTTACCCAACACAGGACACAGGAAAGCTGCCCTTATTCCCTGCAGGACAAGGCACATTTCTTGTAATTAGTGCTTTGCCTGTCTTCTGGGCTACAGTTTTCCTTTCTACTATTGTTTTTATTGAGCACAGTGAGTAGAACCAACTAAATATCTGGAGGGATATTTAGTCTCTTTAAGAGTTAAAGGAAATCCCATTAAAGGGCTTTTAAAAACAATCCAGGAGCATGCATTTATCTACACATAACTAAGTACTAATTACAAATAATTATTATATATTCCAGTGGTTACCCCAAATAGTGCAATAAAGACGAAGGGAATAATTTTCCTGCTCCAGGAAATACTCATGCTTCTGTTTGCCTAGTACTTTGTAAGAAATCCTATAACAAGTAAGAGGCAGGAATTATCACCCCCATCGTGGGAATGAGGGGTGGAAGCTTAGAGACGCTGAGCAACTTGCCAGGGGCAACAACAACGTGGTTGGGGTTAGGGTTAAGAGGCGGAGCTAGACCTGGACTCCAGGTGTTTGCTGCGTGATCTCCCATGTTGCACCAAGCAGCGAGTCTATACGACACCCCCATGGAATTAGAGAAGAGCAGCTCATTGACACAGATTTATTGCAATGCGTCATTTCCCCCGATTTCGATGGATCATCATCTCCTCTAGCTACTCAGAGCAGGGAGCTGGGACTGAACTATAGTACGTGAAGTCATTGTGTATATTCTCTTAGTGTGTCATTTCCCCGCGGAGTCACCTTCCAGAAGCTCTGCCAGCTCCAGCTCATGGGGCCCGAGGGAGGGATGGACCCTGCAGAGTGGGCGGTCACCACTATCGGGGCATCCATGCTGCCTGCCAGTCCAGCCCCTTCCCCAGCTTGTTCTCCTGTCCAGTCGGCTAAAGGGGCAACGAAGAGGAAGCCAGAGACTCTCAGGAAGGAAGCAGCCCCAGCTCCTCCTCCGGGCTCTCCTTTTGTTAGTATTATGGCAAAAACCACAATTACATTTGCACCGACCTAGTAGAAGCCCCAGGTGACAGGGAGAGGGGCACTGGTGGGTCCCAGTGGGAGAGAAAACAGCCTCACAAGCCCTTCTCTTTCAGTCTGTGAAGCGCATCACGGCCTCCCTCGCAGGTGGGTGAGGCGTGGCTGTCCTCATGATCCTCACAACTGTTGTTTGAACCAGGTACCTCTGTGTCCAGCAAAGGGGTGGGGACTGTCCCCATCTCAGGGCGCTGCATAGACTCACAAAAGCAGCCTTCAAAAGGCATGGCTGGGCTTGATTTTAAAAGGAGTCTCAAGTCTCTCCCCGAAAAAAAAAAAAAAAACAGGAAAAGGGTGGCCAGGTTAAGCCCGCTGGGTCCCTGGTGTTCTGAAGCAGGGCAGGCTTGGTGGCCTTCTGTCACTGAGAAGCAGGGGGTCTGTAGAAAGGAAAATCACAGAAAAAGAAAACTGTAGGCCAGAACACAGGCTGTTGCTGAGCCGCTGGACGCTAGCCCCACACATTGAACAGTGCCCTTCAAAAGGGAACTGGAGAAAGAATGTTCCAGGATTAAAAGGTGAAGTCAGGGAAGCTGCACAACCTCATAAATCCATGCAAACATTCCTAAAAAAAGAAGGTGTCTTAGTTCAGGCCACTAGAACAAAATAACATCCCGGGTGGCTTGTAAACAACATTTATTTTTCACCAGGCTGGAAGTCTGAGATCAGGGTGCCAGAAGGGTCAGGTTCTGGTGACGGGTTGCTGACTGCCGCCTTCTGGTTGTTTCTTCACATGGTGCGAAGAGAGGGAGGGAGCTCTCTGGGGTCTCTTTTGCAAGGGCACTAATCCTATTCACGGGGGCTCAACCCTATGACCTCAGTGTCACTTCCCAGAGGCTCCATCTCCTAATACCATCACACTGGAGGTAAGGACTTCAACATGTGGATTTTGGGGGAACATGAAGGGTCAACATGTGAATTTTGGGGGAACAGGAAGGGTCCTTCCTCTGCAGGGGATGTCAGGGTGGGAACGCTCAGGGAACCTGGCAGAGGACCCTCTGTGGGGCAAGATCCTTAGTCGGTGCCCAGAGACTCCTTGGCTAGGCTGCTCCAAGGAACGCAGGTTCCAGGGCAAGTCCGCAGAAATAGCGAGGAACCGGGTTAAAGCACCCAGAATCTCAGCCAGTGCAATGGACGCTGGGCTGTCCAATAAATGATTGACCAAAGATCCTTTAAAGGGAATTGAAAAGATGAAAAAGAAATTAGATACTGCCACATTTTTATTTTAGCCCTCATCAAAATGCCAAGGCGGGCAGATCACGAGGTCATGAGTTCGAGACCAGCCTGGCCAACATGGTGAAACCCCGTCTCTACTAAAAATACAAAAATTAGCTAGGCGTGGTGGCACATGCCTGTAATCTCAGCTACTCGGGAGGCTGAGGCAGGAGAATCGCTTGAACCTGGGAGGCAGAGGTTGCAGTAAGCCGAGTTTACCCCACTGCACTCCAGCCTGGGCAACAGAGCGAGACTCCGTCTCAAAACCAAAAAAAAAAAAAAATGCTATGAGGTGGATGAAACAGATGTTATTATCACTGTTTTGCAGGTGAGGAATCCGAAGTCCTCATCAAGGACCCTCCACTTATTACAAATTCAGCTGGGACTGAAGCGGTGTGTCCGCAGCTTGGACACCAAACAGGCGACCCCTTTACTAGCTGAGAATACGCCTCTGTGAAGACAAGTGACTGCAAAGCAGCGAAGCCTCAGTCCTGAGAGCATTTTTCTAAGACATCAGTTCCATCAGATATGTCTTTGGGAATCATTTCATACTCAGCCAAGTGTTAGAAAGGGCTGGTTGGCATTATTTGCTCCAATAATAAATCCATGTGCGCTAATGTTCGTCAATGCTGCTCTGCAGGGAGAAGTCAAAGCACGCAAGCCAGGCCTCCATGGGGAGGCCCGAGATGACTGGAGGGTTTGTGCCTAAGCATTTGTTCAGATGCAATAATCCACTACTCTTGGGGAGAAAATGATCCTTTTTTAAAAATTATTTTGTCTTTTTAAAAAACTGATCTAACAAATTTTGCAGAATTGAAGGAGCAACTGAAGCAAAGTTTTCTTGTTGATAGAGGTGTGTCCGGTGTGCAGATGTGTCCTTTGGAGACTGGGTCGACATGTCGCCATGGCACTGTGCCTGCTCCAGTCCCTGGCCAGCCCTCCATCTGTCAGCGACAGCACACGAGGTCCTCCTGGACAGAGAGTATCCAGTACTATGGACACTGTGGACACAGAAAATGCTTCCTTCCTCTCTAAATCTCCCCAGGAGGGCTCCCTGGTGAGGCCCAAGGGAGGTGATCCAGACAGCCATCTCCTCACCAGAGCTTCTCCTCCCCCCTCAAACGATGGAGAGAAAACATGGAGATGCTTCTTGCCGGCAGGTTTATAAGATTCAAAGCTTCTGGTGAGAAGCAGAGACAAGGTAGTATCCTTCTGTGTTGGGGAGAGCTGGCCACTGCTGATGCCATAGCTGAGAGTCCCCTGCAGAAGCTGTCCCAGGAGGCCACAGGAGGGGTTGTCCTGGTGCATGCCGACGGTAGCAGAGCTGCTACTCCTGCCGGTCCGTCCCTGGTGTTTAATGAGCCCGTCCTGAGATGAAGGAGGGAAAGTGGGGGCAGGCAAAAGAGAGAATGTCCATTGTGCCAGGAGGCATCCCCGCCTTCCTCCTGTAGCTCTGGGACCAGCTGCAAGAAGGCAAAGTATCATACCAGCCTTTTGAGAGGGGAGGCTCAGAAGCCCATCAGCAGACGAATGAGCAGACAGAATGCGGTCTATCCGTGTGATGGAACATTATTCAGCCGTAAAAAGGAATGAAGCACTGACCCAGGCTACAACACGGTGAACCCTGAAAACGTGATGCTGCGTGAAAGAAGCCACTCACAAATGCCACACGTTGCGTGATTCAAACGCCACACATTGCATGATTCAAACGCCACACATTGCATGATTCAAACGCCACACATTGCATGATTCCATTTACATGAAATGCCCAGAATAGGTGAGTGACGGGGCAGAAAGCAGGTGAGTGGTTACCTGGGGCTAGGGGTGGGCCGACAGGGAGTGACTGCTGATGTGCACAGGGTTTCTGTGGGGGGAGATGAAAACATTCTGGAGGACTAGATGGGGTGACGGATGCACAGCCTTTGAGTGTGCTGAATACCATCAAATGATACACTTTAAAATGGTGGTAATGGTACATGTAATGTTATGTGTATCTTACCACCGTTTAAAACAGAGCTTGACCGGTTAGTTTAACAAATATTATGAGTGGCTTTTGTTATGGGCCGGGTGTGGTGGTTTGTTCACTGATTTGGCAAATATTTGTTGAGCAGCTGCCGTGTGTCAGGTGCTGGGCTAGGTGCTGGGGGTTAGTGATGAGCTAAATCAATTCTCATGGGACCTGAACTCAGCAGAGGAGACAGAGGGACTATTCCACAAGTAACTGTGTAAACTGCATGGGTGGCAGGGCAGCCGTGCAGCTAGGAGTAGTGACCAAGAAGAGTCCAAGGAAAGCCCTGCAATGCCACTGGATAGTGGGCAGGGGGCTCAGGCAGGACTGCAATGAGCCTGTGGGTTTTGTTCCTACAGCAAAAGAAAGGAGTGGCTGACTTGGCAGAGAAGAGATGAAATCATATTTGCATTTGACCAAGATGGAGACAGTAGGGGGAGGAGGTGGGTGACCTGGAGGCTCACCTGGGATGGTGAGCCAGGCCCCTCAGGGGGTGGTGGGTGGGAGTGGGCTGTAGAGGTTGCCATGCAGGGGTCTCCCTTAGGCAGCATAGTGGGTGTGTGGGGCAAGGCTTGTGAGAAGGGGCCACCCCAGCAAGGATAAAGCGATGCCTGCCCACGGGAGTATCACGTTGGTCTGAGATGCAAGAAGAAAGAAACGGAGAGGACCATGGAGGGGGCTAAGAAATTCTAAAGGCAAGAAACAGTCAGGGAAAAGAAAGGATTCCACGGTGGGGGTGGCAGAGACCGAGTGCTGAGCCAGCGCCAGGCGCCCACCCTGTGGGCACATGTTATAAAGCAGCACCATGAAATGGAACGGCGAGGCTCCCCAACAAAACAGACTCTAGAAACTGATGGCTGGGTGTGAACATAACAAAACACTGGGAAGGGACATAATTAGTAAATCTTGGGATGAATTATCAAATGGGAAGAGACCAGTGAAGTCAACCAGGGGGGCCCACCATGCGATTGTCCGGGTGAGGAGGGGAGGTTGGGCGCCTTCCCTGGCATGCAGGTTGCCCCCATCCTGCCTCCAGGGCTCAGGGCTCTGAGAGGACATGGTTGCAGCATGAAGGGCATGGGCTTTGCCTCCTCCACTGTAGGGTGGGAGCCAGTCCTGCTGCAAAGAGCCGCTATGGGGTTGGAGGTCACACATGTGCACAGACATGGCGCCTGGCCCACGGCAGGTGCTCCATACAGCACAGGAATAATGGCTTCGTTACACAGAGCCAAGAATAGGGAAGAATTTGTTTTGCTCTAAGTGCAACCTTCACGCCAAGCATATTTAACTTCGATGAATAAGCAGCAAAAACAAACTTTGGGTTTTGTTCCTACAGCAAAAGAAAGGAGTGGCTGACTTGGCAGAGAAGAGATGAGATCATATTTGCACTTGACCAAGATGGCCCCAGGAGATAATGGGAGGAAGGGGGTGACCCTGGAGGCTGATCTGGGATGGTGAGCTGGCCCCCTCCACTGTCGAATGTTTAAAAAACATTAAAAATGAGTCAAAAGGAGAACAGAGGAATCCGCCCCTAGCTGGTGATGCTTCTTTTTGTTACATACAAGTGAAGAGAGTATAGAGAGTCATTCATTCATTCATGCAGCTCATCTGGACTGAGCATCTACTGTGTTAGAGAGACCACGTATAAATACCCTTTTAAATGTTTATTCAGTAACGAAGATATTCCTGCTTCTGACTTCTCCATCCAGGTCTTGGAATCACCACCTCTCACACACACACCCAGGAATCATCTCTGTACCAGCCTCCTTTTCTCTAACCTCGATCCCATCCCATCTGACCAATCAGAAACCAAATCCCACCAGCCTTCTCTCTGTGATCGAACTGCATCTTCTTTCTTCTTCCCCACTGGGTCCATCTGCTGGCTCTCTAGCTGGAAGCTTCTCCACACCACCCCGCACCCACCTGCCAGCCCAGCTGCCGGGACTTTGGAACAGACCTGGCTGTGGATCCCCCTGGGGGGCTTCCAAGCTGTGTGACCTTGGACATGTTATCTCGCCCTCCTAGTGTTCATCTTCCCCATCAATAAGACAGGCATGAAGCTGCCTAGCTCACCAGGCTGTGGAAAGGATGGAAGACCACAGCAGGAGGCGTGAAGCTCCTGCATGGTGCCCAACACAGGCGAGAGGGCAGGTAAGGTTTCCGGGGCCTACCTCATGCAAGTGTCACCCATGGCTACTTAGGAATAATTTCTGGCACTGGGCTCCCCTATGTTCCCTCCACATACACATTTAATCACCTTCCATTCCCCATCCCCCAGACCTGTCCCCTAGATCCTTGGCCAGTGCTCTTTGCCACAGTTTCCCTTCCCTTGGGCTTCATCCTGCTGAAGACACTGCTGACCCGGCTGCCTGCAGTGACCTGCAAGCCTGCACCTGCTGCTTCCTGAACTCTCCTTAGGTGCTGCCCAGAGACACCTCCTCTATCCTGTGGAATGTCATGGGGACCTGGATTGCTATTTCAGATTTCATGTGTGTGCCTATCGCCCCGGCTGGACTCAGTTCCTTCAGGATTAGGACCAGGCCTTATGGTCCTTTGAATTCCTCCTCAAAAATCTGCAGGTTTTCCAGAAACATCTCTTGATTTCAATTAGAGGTTTGTAGCTCTAGCACCAAAGTTAAGTTGGATCTAGGGCTGCTGTTTGCAAGACGTACTTACTAATCCAGGTGGGCACAGGCCATGCAGCAGCCAGGCCCTCCAGTGCTGGGCTGGGGCTGCCCTGCCCCCTCCCCTCTCAGGATCAGTCCTCCCGTGGAGACGGGGTGTCTTTCTGGGGTGCAGAAGCAACCACTCACTCCTTGGCTTTGAGGCTTCATGAGACCACAGGGAAGCGCTCAAGCCCCTCAGCCTGGAAAACAATGCCAGGCTTCCTTTCTCAGATAATCCCTCTGATCCCTGCCCCCCTGACCCTCCACAGGCACATCCAGCCTCCTGCAGGGCTCCTCAGACCCCAACCTGCCCAGCTGTTGGCATCACCCCTACCATTTTCTGCCTGCAGATCCCTCTCCCTCCTCACCTGAAAATCTCTCTCCTCCCTCCAAGAATCAGATCACGGTTACCCCTTAGCAGTGTGAGAAATAAACTCACCTGTCCAAGCCCAAAGAACAGACTCAGAGACCTGGAGAACAGTGAGAGTGAGACTTTTTTTTTTTTAATTGAGACGGAGTCTTGCTCTGTCGCCCAGGCTGGAGTGCAATGGCACGATCTCAGCTCACTGCAACCTCTGCCACCCCAGTTCAAGTGATTCTCGTGCCTCAGCCTCCCAAGAAGCTGGGATTACGGGCCTGCACCACCACACCCTGCTAATTTTTTTGTATTTTTAGTACAAACGGGTTTCAACTTGTTGGCCAGGCTGGTCTCAAACTCCTGACCTCAGGTGATCTGCCCGCCTCAGCCTCCCAAAGTTCTGGGATTACAGGCATGAGCCACTGAGCCTGTGCCATTGGGCCTGAGAGTCAGACTCTTAATGATGGTCTTGCAAAATCAAGTGTCTGATGGGCAGAAACACCCAGCACGGTTTTAACAAGTAATTTATCCCCTGGTGTGCAGGTCCCTCCCCTGCTTCCTCATTGCTGCTAGTCATTAGCACACCGGGGGTCACAATCTTCCCAGACGTCGCCTATTGGTTGTTGGGCAGGGACTTCAGGTGTTTTTTTTTTTTTTTTGTAGGATTGTACTGCTGCACTTTGTTGCAGCCCACAATGCATTGCAATCGTAGTTAGCTCAAGGGCTCTTCAAGTATTTAATTTATGACCGAAGTAGCCGGGCAGGCTGGTAAGAACAGACAAAGTGAGCTATTTTGAAGGGTAGTAAACTTTCGTCTTAGACTAAACTTTTTTGCTTCGGGTGACAGCAACTGAGGGCAGAGGCAGCAGACAAGCAGGCGTTGACGATCCAAGCAGGGGCCTAGTGTATCCTGTTTCTTCTGTAGTTTGCTGACCTAAGCTGATTCAAGGCGCTTTGTCTTGGAAATGGAGCACCGTAGACATGATCTCCTTCAGCAGGAAGTGTCACACATGGATTAACACCCCTGACTCCAGGTCTGACTGTTTGGCGTCAAATTCTGGCTGCTGTGATTTTAGGTAAATCATTTCGCCTTGCTGCCCCTCAGTTTCCTCATCTGTAACATGGGAGGAATGAGACTGCCCACTTCTTACAGTCTCTGTGAGAACCAGATAACTAATAAGCACATGTGCAAGCACAGGGCCTGGCACAAGGTCACTTCCATCTGCTCTCGGTGTACAGTAGACGGTCACCCCAAGATCAGGTCTGTCTCCTTCCCTCACTGTCTTGTTCCACTTCATATCCCAGCATGGGATGGGGAACTGGTCAGATGGGGTAGCCTCAACAGATGGTTGTTAGATAATTGAATAAATGGGTGAATGAATGAATGAATGAGTGAATGAATGCAAATGACAAAAACCAAGTAGCAGGTTTTCTTTTCTTTTTTTTTTTGAGATGGAGTCTCGCTGTGTCGCCCAGGCTGGAGTGCAGTGGCATGATCTCGGCTCACTGCAAGCTCTGCCTCCTGGGTTCACGCCATTCTCCTGGCTCAGCCTCCTGAGTAGCTGGGACCACAGGCATGTGCCACCACACCTGGCTAATTTTTTTTGTATTTTTAGTAGAGACGGGGTTTCACCATGTTAGCCAGGATGGTCTCGATCTCCTGACCTCGTGATCCTCCCGCATCGGCCTCCCAAAGTGTTGGGATTACAGACATGAGCCCCCGCGCCCGGCCGAGTTTTCAAGTGCAATTTTGTTTGGAGTCCCAGAATCTAAAGTCACCCTGTTGGTGAAAAATATGAACTTCCTCTTGCATCTTACTCAGGGCAGGGGGTTAGTGGGACAAAAGCTGCTTTCAGTCTCCTGGCCAGTGCCTCTGAGTAACAGCCCTTTTGTGAAGGGCAGAAAGGAGAGTGTGTAGTTGTCAGGAATATTCAAGCAGAACCAAAGCTGACATCACGCCTGTAAATATGCATGCATGCCCACAGCTACCCTGGTATTGGCTGGCTCAGCCTGTGCAGTGATACCACACACACACAAACACACACACACAGCTGGTTGTCCCTAACTGCTGCTAGTCACTAGCACACCGAGGGGGCCAGGGTCAACATCCTCATGACCGTTCCTAGTGGCTTCCACAGAGCGGGGACACAACAGCAAATCAGCGCTGGCGAGAGGTTTGCAGTGCAGAATTCATCCACCCCCTGGAGCTGGGATGTTAGAATGTGTTCCCCAATTCAATATGCTTCTATTTAAAATAAATACAATCTTGGCTTCAAAATCATGGGTCATGGCACTGCTGTGTCTGGAGGTAGGAAGCCTCTTCATCAGGGCAGTTTCAGGCCATTCATCTTGCTAGAGTGTGGATAACACACATCAAAAGCAAAGTTCCACATATTACATTTATTTTAAATCTATAAAGATGGAAAATGATTAGAATAAAGGTGCCAGCCTATAGTTAGCTGTTTCTAGATATTCTTTTGTCCTCGGCTTAGATGTACCACAGGAGGAATTGTTCTTTCTTCTTGCTCCCATTTCTTTTCTTGGAGTTAGTGGGGTAGGTCTCCCACTCGTGACACCTGCTTCATGCCTTTTTGCACCACACAGAGATGGTGGTAGTGGCCTTGGAGGCTGCAGTCTCTTAGCTCTCATGACTGCTACCACATTTGTGTTCAGTTGCTCAGGCCGTTCACTGCACAAGGACACCTGGCAGAAGGAGCAGTGGGGCCAGTGTACCTCCTGGTGGAAGGCTGCATCTGCCTGGAGGAAGGGGTGTCTTTTTAATGCAGGCAGAGGCCTGTCCAGCCAGCGGCAGCCCTGGCTCCCTCGTCCTCCCGGGAGTACCATGGCACTGCACTCAGGGGCTTCTGAGGCTGCTGTGCTGACTAGGAAGTCTGAGACCCCCAGTGATGCACAAGAAACTGGGGCTGGGTGGTCTGTCAGCCGACTTCGGGGGAGCTGTGTTCAGGAGAGAAGGGCTTGGGAAAGCTGTGCTCTATTCCATGCTGGATAAAAGGAGCAGAGATAACCCGGTCAGGGTCATGGGTAGAGGCCATGGAGACAAACAAGACAGAGGAGATGAGCTGCAGCCGCCTCTAGCTGGAAACGCAGTGCAGAGGCGCCCAGGCCAAAGCAGCTTCTGTTCACAAAAAGTCTCCCCGAGGCCCTGCAAGGAGGAGCAGGAGCCAGTGCTCCCCTCTCCCCGCTGGGAGGAAGTGCCTGCCTGCTACCCAGGCAGGGGAGGGGCTTGCTGGCATTTTCCCAGGAGCAAATGCAGCACAGAATGGGGGTTCCTTAGGCCCCAGTCAATGAATTCCACCAGGAATGCGGTGAGACCTCAGGGGCAGAGGCCCACAGAGGACATCAGGCATCCGAGAGACGGACACACGGGGGAAAAGGGCATTTCCAGGCCCTCTGAGCAGTCTCTGCGCTTGCATGACGTTAGATGATGAGGAATAAAAACCCAAACCTTATTTCAGCGCTGCATGGAAAGAATTTCCCTGAGCTGATATGAATGACATACCTTCTGCTTTTAATGAGGTCCAGTATAAAGACGATTTATGTGAAGAATATTTTGGTCTTAAAAGACTCTGTTATTTTGGCCAGGTGTGGTGGCTCATGCCTGTAATCCCAGCACTTTGGGAGGCCGAGGTGGGTGGATCACGGGGTCAGGAGATCAAGACCATCCTGGCTAACACGATGAAACCCCATCTCTACTAAAAATACAAAAAATTAGCCGGGGGTGGTGGCGGGCGCCTGTAGTTCCAGCTACTTGGGAGGCTGAGGCGGGAGAATGGCGTGAACCCGAGAGGCGGGGCTTGCAGTGAGCCAAGGTCGTGCCACGGCACTCCAGCCTGGGCAACAGAGTGAGACCACGTCTCAAAAAAAAAAAAGACTGTTGTTTTACCAAGGCCCCTTTAGTTTAAAGTGTATAATAAACTCTTCCTTTAATATTAGTTGGAGTTTGTCTCTCCAGTTTAACCTGAAAGGTTACTGTGATTGGGCAACCATGAGGCAGTTTCCCCAGATGCTTCTTGATCAACAGCTGTTCTGTTCCAAGGGCCTGCTCCTGACTGGTTTTGATCAGCTCTTGGATTTTTATTTTTATTCATTTTTTTTGAAACAGGGTCTTGATCTGTTGCCTAGGCCGGAGTGCAATGATGCCATCTTGGCTCACTGCAACCTCTGCCTCCAGAATTCAAGTGATTCTCCTGCCTCAGTCTCCTGAGTAGCTGGCATCACAGGCGTGTGCCACCATGTCCAGCTAATTTTTGTATTTTTAGTAGAGACGGAGTTTCACCATGACGGACAGGACGGTCTCGAACTCCTGGTCTCAAGTGATCCCCCGCCTCAGCCTCCCAAAGTGTTGGGATTACAGATGTGAGTCCCTGCGCCCAGCCAGTTCTTGGATTTTTAGTCGTTCTGGTTTATATTTGGTTGACTTTGATAAGGCTCCTTATAAAAGGGCACGACCGATAAACCAAAGTGTCTGGATTATTACAGAAAATAAAATTCAGGTAAGAGCCAGATGTTGGCTGATAAAGGGAGTGCCAGGAACCCTCTGGCTCTGTAGATTGTGCCAGAGCCTCAGGGATCACCGGCCGAGCCGGGGCTGCACCCTGCTGCTCAGTCTTCTCTTGTCGCCCTGGGAGAGGGAGATGGTGGGATTGGGCCGGGGGTTAGGAGACAGTGCCACAACAATGCTCTTCGAAATCAAACATGCGAGAAAGCAACGTTTAATTTTGTTTTTCATTTGGCGTATTCACATTTCCGTCTTTTGCTTTTGGTCCATGTTTGCTCTCCTTTCTGTGCTTGTCACGGGCATCTGGTCACTCCCGGCCTACTGCATTCCTACTCTTTCTCATCCCAGTTCAAGCGTGTTCCCCAGGCCAGCCTGCCCCTTGCATCTCTGCCAAGACGTTGTTTCTCACGCACCTGGGAAGGTGTTTCACATGCCCGAACACGCTGAGGGTCAGATGGACCCCAGGGTCTCAGCCGGCCGACCCTAACTTCCCAGGCTGCATGTAAAGCCGTTGTGCAGAGTCTTTTCTGGAAGTAGAGCCTCTTCTCCACTAAGTTATTTTTTCTTTTTAACTTAGGCCTTGCCCACGAGATACTTGATAGTCTTCCAGCTTTTATTTTATCTGTCCACTTTGATCAACTTTGATCAGCATCAGCATGATTTCAAAGTCTTTGTCAAGAAACAGACGCTGGCGTTGGATGAGGCATGGGAAAGATGAAGAGAGTTGGCTGAGAAGGACGTGGTCCCCAGCCCTGTTCTTGAGGCTGGGTCTTTAGGGGGCCAGGAGGTGCGGAGCTGAACGCTTCCCGCCTGAGGCTTCATCCGCCCGCAAGTGCATCAGGACTCTGCTTGCAAAGCGACGATCATTTCCTGGGTTATCAGTCTGGAAGCTGCATCCACAAAGAACAGGAGGCTGTTGGTTTTTGCTCATGCATTCATTCCTTCGTTCATTTGGCATTCCTTGGAGTGCAGCCAGCAGCCACGGGGCGCAGGTGCAGTCCGTTCTGGGCCACACCTGAGAAGAGCTGCAATCCTTGCCTCTTGTTGGAGGCTTTAGGCCCCACCTCGTGTCCTCCTGACCTACCTTTCTGCCTCAGCCCTGCTCTGGCAGCCGGCAGTGCACAGGTGGGGCCTGGCAGCCCTGTGCCTACGCAGCCCCACGTATGTCCTGCTTCTTGCCTCGGGTTTCCCTACTGCCCCTGCGTGGGACTGGCGTCACCATTCTGGGGGACAGGTAGATCTTGAAATGATGAAACATTAATTCCCTGGGGCCAACCTTGACCAGTGAGTGACAAGAGATGGAGGACAAAGGACAAACACTTGCCACTTGTATCTTCCTTCTCAGAGGCTTCTCTGTGGGTCTCCAGGGTCCCCAGCAGGAGGCAGCGAATCCCAGCTGCCCACAGCCTAGTAATCCAGTGTGGGTTCCCTTCTTCCCTGTTTTCCTCCTCCCAGCCCGGACCTGTTCCTGGAATCACTTCCCAGAACTCACCACTAGGCCACAAGCTCTTGTTATTTGAGGAAGGTAGCTAAGGCAGCCACAGGGAGCTCACAGTGTAGGGAGATGGAGCCAGGCACCCAGGAACCATCTCAACCCACGTGGTGAGGGCCACGAGGCATTTCCCAGAGCCTGTGGCACAGAAGAAAGCCAGCCCGGTCCCCTGGGGCAGGTCAGGGGAAGGCTGAACTGGGTCTTGAAGAGGAAGTGGGGGAGGGAGGGACACTCTAGAGCGCAGGAGCAGTGAGTTCAAAGGCCAGGAAATGTGAGGAGGCCGGGCTCCATGGAGACTGGGCCCTATTCTTCTGGTAGATCTGCCCGGATATCCAGCGTGTTTGATTGGACCTGGTTGAGATGAGTTTGGAACTGAAGGCATTTCCTGGCCAAAGTGCAAAGTGACCTTGGAGAGAATTCAGTTTTCCTCAGAGGGGATGAGGAACTCCCACCCTGGGATCAAGCGAGGAAGAACTGCCATCAAGTTTGTGTGTCCTCTACAGCCTCGCTATTCCAGTGTGTGGGCCAGGACAGCAGCTTCCACACCACCTGGGAGCGTGTTGGAAATGCAGAGTGTCAGGCCCCGCCCTGGACCTGTGGAACCAAACCCTGCAGTTTCGTAAGAGCCCAGGGTTTTGAATGCACATTAAAATTTGGGAAGTCCTGTCCTAGGGCACTTTGCAGAAGATGCTTTTGACCGGGCTTGGGGCAGGGCAGCAGAGTTCTGTAAGGGAAAGGGTCTTCGATGAGAGAGGAGAGGAGGGACTCAAAGCACCTGCTGGGAACTGGGGAGGGTAAGGCAGGGGGAGGAGCCAGAAGACGCTGCCAGGTCTCATCCATGGGTGAGGGGTGACAAGCTTCATGGAAATGCAGGGTGGGGGGAAAAGGGGAGGGGGCGATGGGCTCTGCCTGGGGCTGCCCCATCTAAGGTGTCCATGGAGATAGGAAACCAGAGACGTTCACCGGGAGTGATTTTAGTGAATCCTTGCTTCCCTTGAGTCTTCACTGTTTTCCAAATCTTTACAAACCATCTGCTTAATGATTAGGTCTAGAATGTTCTTAGAGATCACTGTCAACATTACCAGACTGAAATTTCTGGAGTCATCTTGTAGACAGTTGGGATATTTATGTTTTCCCCTTTCATTTGCAACTTATATTAAGGTCCCTGCATGGGGCCCCAGTAAATAGCACCCATCTTCCTCACTTGGGTGCTGGAGATGTTAGATATTGGATAAGTTGAATAAGCTGAGTGAAGTAATGAGTACCCAGGGAGCAAACTGTCACGATTTGTCCTGTGAAGGTAAGTTGAGGATGCAGCCTGAGATCTCCTGGTCAAGTTGGGTTGTGAATCGGGTAGATCTAGGCACCCAAGCACTGGCAGGGCTGATGGGGCCGACGGGCTTTCTGCAGGCAGCAGATTCCTAACCATGCCCATCAAATATTCTTCCAGAACTCCTCCTAGGAGCAGGGTAGCCTGGGGTCACTGGAGGCCAGGAGATGGGTGATTAGAGCCCCTGTCCCAAGGAGACGTGGGGTTGGGGGATGCTTTTCCGCTACTCACCTGACTTCTAGATGAAGGTCGGGTGTGTGGTGGGAAAGTTCGCCACACCTGCAAGCTCTGGCAGCATTTCATGCAGGTCCACCTGGGCCCAAAGGCCTGGCCCTAGCAGCATCTGAAGGCATCCCGGTTCTCTAGTCTCTGCCCCACTCTGGTCCCTGCAGACTGATTTTACCTTGTGCACCGCTGTCTTTAGTGAGGAGATTATGAGCAAAGTCAGAATAGAGGATGGAAGCCCTGAGCTCCAAGGACGGCTGTCCCCAAGCTCCTGACCCTGAGGAGACACATGTGCTGCGTGCTGGGCACTGGATAGTCCTGGTCGTCTCCAGCTGGTCCTAGGATCTTGGACAAGTCTCCATCATCCTGGAGCCCTGCAGGGCCCTCCTGAGGCAATGGGGGCCCAGCTGCCCTTGGGACTCCTCCAGCCGCCGCTCTCCAGGGTCCTGTCCTCTGCTTCTCTCAGGCCAGTGTGGGCAGCACCTGCCAAGCCCTGCTGCTCTCGGCCACCTCCCGGCTAGGAACATGTGCTTGGGCCTCCACCTGTTGATTTTTGAAAAATTATTATTTTTATTATTTTCTATTTTCTTTTTTTTTTTTCTGAGACGGAGTCTCACTCTGTCGCCCAGGTTGGAGTGCAGTACCACGATCTCAGCTCACTGCAACCTCCGCTTCCCGGGTTCACGCCATTCTCCTGCCTCAGCCTCGGAGTAGCTGGGATTACAGGCGCCTGCCACCATGCCTGGCTAATTCTTTGTATTTTTAGTAGAGATGGGGTTTCACTGTGTTAGCCAGGATGGTCTCCATCTCCTGACCTCGTGATCCACCCACCTCGGCCTCCCAAAGTGCTGGGATGACAGGCGTGAGCCACCGCGCCCAGCCGTAAAATTATTATTTTTTTAAAGCAGTTTGTGAAATCCCTGAAAAGTCAACTTTCTCATCTGAAGAAACACAGTGAATGTTATGGAACTCCTCACCATCTGATGAGGCCATTTGGAACTTGATCAGTGTTTTTCAAATTTGCCTAACCAAGAATAACCAAGGTGTTGGTTAAAAATGCAGCCCCCAGGCTCTCCGGGGGGAGGACAATGAATCGTTTAACACGGCTGCTCAGTGTGGGCCTGCTTCCAGCAGCCTGGGCTTGGCCTGGGCACTTGTTAGAAATGCAGACTCCTGGGCCCCGGCCAGGCCTGAGAAAGCACAACTGCCCCGTAGCAAGCTCCCCGGGGGGTTCCGGCCACTTGGAAGTTTAAGAACAGGCCTTGATTGATCAGCGGTTCTCAATCTTGGCTGTATATTAAAATTTATTGGAAACATCCAAAGAGTTAACAAAATTTTCTCATGTTTGGGGCTTACCCTGAGAAATTCTGGTTGGTCCGCAATGAGGCTGGGCACACAAATACCCTATATTTACTTGTAAGGTATTTTATTTTAGTATAATATATGTAAAGAAACGGGCGTATATCATGTGTTCAGCTCAGTGAGTTCTCTCCAGTGGGTCAAACCTGTGTAACCAGAACAGGAATGGGAAGGTGACCAGCACCCAGGACCCCTATACTGCCTCCAGTCGAGACCCCTGGCACCCACCAAAGATAACCATGTATTGACTCCTTACGGCATATGTGTTTCTGCCTGTTTTTGTTCCTTACACAACAGAATCATGCAGCAAACACTCTTCTGTGTCTGTCTTTTGCTCACTAGGTGTGGGACACAGCATGTGGCTTATCCACACTCCCTGCCCAGCAGAAGTCATTGTGTGAACACACCTGTCTATCCCTCTGTACTGCTGTTGATGGGCACTGGATGGTTGGCACTGTGGGGCTATTATGAATACGGCAACTTGTGTCTCGACAGCTCCCCTAGGGACTTTATGTAGAGCCAGGTTTGCCACGGGATGCCACCACACCTGCTGGACACCGCCTGTACCTTTGTGGTAACCTGGGGCCCTTTCCCGTCAGCTCCACCTTCAGAGGCCACCGAGTTACTGTGGCAGCTACTGCTTCATCTTTGTGTCCTGCCACCCAAGGATGACAAATGGCCACATCCAGAAGCCCCCGCATTCTTCCAGGATAGCGGGAGCCGCAGGGTATTTAAAGTTCTGCCTCACTTTCTTTCAGTCACACTCAAGGGATTTGAAGAACACTGCCTTACGCACTGGCCCAAGAGTCGCCAGGCATCTGGCCAGGGAACGGGCTGCAGTGGGATACCCTGCCCAGGCTCCCTGCTGCCAGGAAGCTGACGCTTCCAAACAGAGATGGGTGAGGGGAGTGAGGTACCTGTCTGGGTGTAAAATGGAAGAGGATGCCGGAAACTCAGTAATCAAGATAAATATTTTAATGTAATATTAGAAAAAATCAAAATTAATGCAAAACTTCCATTATGAACAAAAAACCCCATCATTTTAACTAAAGACCAGTGCTGAGCTGAGCCACACTGGATCATAGGCAAAAGGAAAGATGTGCACCCCTATACGTATGTTTTATATTTTGAATGGTTTTGTTTTATTCTAGAACATTAAAGAAGTTGAAAAATCTTGAAAAACAGAAAAGTAGGTAACATTATCATAACATTGTTTCAGGTTTAAATATTTTACTAACACTGTAAACAAATTTATTATAATTTTGTTTTTCTGGCTTTAATGGAAACAAACTCATCAATAGCATTGTCAACATCTACTTCTTTGTGTGTCTCATTTTCTTTTCTTTTTTTTTTTTTTTTTTTGAGATGAGGCCTCATTCTGTTGCCCAGGATGGAGTGCAATGGCCTGATCTCGACTCACTGCAACCTCTGCTTCCTGGGTTCAAGCGGTTCTCCTGTCTCAGCCTCCTGAGTAGCTGGGATTAAAGACGTGTGCCACCACACCAGACTAATTTTTGTATTTTCAGTAGAGACAGGGTTTCGCCATATTGGCCAGGCTGGTCTTGAACTCCTGACTTCAGGTGATCTACCTGCCTCGGCCTCCCAAAGTGCTGGGATTACAGGCGTGAGATAAACCAGGCCACGCTTACCTCATTTTCAATTCAGATAGCTGCTATATTTGATAATTTCTCTTGACCAACTGATGATCTCAAATCATTTTAAGTTCATATATTATTTTCAATATTAATAACATTAAGTATGAAGTATTTCAATAGCATTAAAAATTAAAGTGTCACTTGATTAAGAGATATTACAAGTGACAATCTCTCATTAACATTAAATATTATCAAATATTAATATTAAATAATACAAAATATTTACAGTTTTACTAACATTAAAATGATTTAACACTGGGAGGCTGAAGCAAGAGGGTCACTTGAACCCAAGAGTTCAAGGCTGAAATGTAGTAAGACTGCACCAGTGACTAGCCATTGCACTCCAGCTCAGGTGACATGGCAAGACCCTGTCTCTAAAAACAAATAAATAAATAAAATAATTTAAAATTTATCACTTCATTGCCTGGGGTCCTATTGCCTGGAGAACTATTGGTTTACATATTTTATCTGCTGTTTTAATTGTTTTAGGTAGGAAGGCATATGCTGTCTTTGTTACTCTATCTTGGTCAGAGCAGAAATCCCCCATAACTCTGAACTTTTCCTTCATATTTTCGATCCTGTCTTGGCTCATTCTGTGTAATTTTTTCCTGATATATCTGCTTCTTCATTAGTTCTCTGCAGTCATATGCAATCTATTCTTTAACTCATTCATTGAGATTTTTTACTTAAAACCTCTTTTCTTTTTTAGAAATTCCATTTGTTCCTTTCTCAAATCTGCCTGTTCAGTACTGATAGTGTCCAATTACTTGTCATCTTATTGTTTCATGTTTCATTTATTTAAACGTTTCATAAGTATCTGCTGTGTACCTGGCACATGACAGTGGTGATGTCAGCCGTCTCTGATGGTCTAGTTCTGTTGCTGGTTGTTTCTGCTGACTCTCATTCAAGGGGTTGCTTGCCTGCTCATGTGTTGAGTGTGAGCCCTTGGCTCGATCTGCTGGAATCATGAAAGTCTAAATTTGTGGTGCTTTCACAAATACAATTGTTGTTGGATTCACTGCAAACCACAGGTGTCACGGACTTGAAACCATGAGTTGGGGAACCCCAAGACCAACCCTGGGTTCAATGATTGGCTAGGAGGACTCACAGGACTTGGTAGAGAGTTGCACTGATGGGTGTGACTGATTACAGTAAAAGGACACAAGGCAAAATCAGCAAAGGAAAAAAAGGGCATGAAATCTGAAAGAAACCAGGAGCAAGCTTCCAAGAGCCCTCTCATAGTGAAGTCACACAGGATGCATTTAATTCCTTCAGGAACTACTTGTGGCAACATGAATGAGACATTGCCCCCAGGGAAGCTCGTTAGAGACTTGGTGCCAGGGTCGTTACTGGGGGCTAGTCATATAGGTGTCTTCTGCCCAGGACGCATCAACATTCCAGACTCTTGGAAGGAAAGCGGCTGTTCAGCATGAAGTGTATGGTTTGTACACGTTTAGGCGCAGTAAGCCACTGGGTTTATCAGGGACAGTGAGAACCTCCCCAAATCCAAGTTCCTAGATGCCAGGCAAGACCTAACCTTGCCTCCTCTCCCAGGAGAGCTGTGGTTACTCTTCTCTGTACACCTTGTCAGTCCCCACCCACCTTGCAGGGTCCCGATTCAATGTGGGTGTCACAGGCTCAACTCCCCTACTTTGTCAGTGTGCCCAGACAGTGACACTAGGAGTGTCCACCATCAGGTCACTGAGCTCTGCCTAGCTCAAGAGTTTTGTTGGCTTCTTGGAGGTAAGTTGAGGAAGGGCTTGGAAAACTCCCTACTCTTATAAGTCTGGCATTCATCAAAAAGTGTGTTTTGTCAAGAATCTGAGTGCTTCTCAGAGCACCTAATTCATCCTGTGTCAGCTATAAAAGCCCCTTATTTTTTAGAGGATAAAAAAAATGTCAATAAGAATTCATAGTCACAGTTATCCAGGCTAAAAAATACACATGAATGTTGGGAGGTTGTCATCCACTGGACAACTTTTCCAACAGAAACTTTAGAACCCCAAGTTTCCATTTATCTCTATTGGAATCTGTTTCTCCCTGCTGGCTGCATGCCTGCTTCATTTCTTCCTTTAATCAGGGCCAACTTATTCATTAGGCACAGGAGACAAAGTGCTTAGAGCCCCTGGCACTTTTAAGGAACCATAAATTTTTTTTAATGGACCACAATGTTTTAGTTTATTTTAAAATCAGAAGGAAAAAAATGAGTTGTTAGGGGTTGAAGAAAAGTTTATTTTTAATACAGCTTGGATTATATTTGCCCTTATATCAATGTAGTTGCAAAATATGACTTTGTATATATTTTGTGGAGGAAGTGTGTCCCCAAAGTGTCTAGGGCCCACAAGAGTTATGATGCGACCCTGCCTTCATGGTATTAAAAAAAAAAAAAAAAACTAAAACCACTTACTGGGGACATAATATGCTCCTAGACCTGTGTCCTAGCATTGGCAATGGAAATATGGTTATTCCAAATAACAGAAATAACAGAATTTCCAAATTGTATAAATTTTAATATTTTTCCTGAGCTCTGGTAACTCTTCAACTATAACTCTTTGGATCATCAAGTAAGTTTCCAGCGAAAGAGCTTTAGCTCCTCAATTATTGGTAGCCTTTTCTTAGTGACAGGCTAGAGATTTTTCCAAACTATTCACTCTGACAAATCAGGAAAAGCTCCCACTCAATGTTTCTAAAATAATATGGCTGTGTAGGGGCTAGACATGAAGCCTAACACTTCTTAGAGGACCAACAGCAGTTGATGTAAATCATTTTATTTAAAGGGCTAGTAAGTTATTTTGTACTTAATGCTTTCACCTAACAACAAGTCAGACAGACATGTTATTTTTATAACATCAAACTTATACATTATTCAGTAATCTATCTTTGGTCTTTGGTTTTGTGAACAGAAACTGGCTCTTTTGTTCCATGAACTCCACTTGGAAACCCAACTTTCATGCCCGTGAAAACCTACTTTTAAATAATAATGGGGACCCTCAGAACAAAATCTCTGCTTCCTTACACACCAATTTCTGTTTCAAGTGGTAGAAATAAAGTTTGCATCCTAACTTCCTGATGTCTTTATCACATGAGAGAAAAGATCTAGTGTTTCTGCCATTTTAACTACATATCATCGGTCACCAAAAACACTGAGAACCCAAAGCAATGGCTCTTCCTCCAGCCATCAAGCTGGACACCACCCCAGCCTGGTTTTGTAGAGTCCATCCTTGCCACCCAGGTCATCTGAAGACCTGGCCAAGGGAAAGGGCTAATGGCAGATTATGACCCATTATCAGCTTATAAAATCCACATACTGGATTGTGACCAAGGTTTTTCACTGTGAATGAATAAAATAGGCAGATTTACTGTGAAGCTGAAGTTCCAGGTGCCTCAGTTGTCAGGAAATTTCCAGGTCATAAATATCTCACTATTTTATAATTTGTAATATTTTATGGCTTTGTAAAACTGTGACCGTGCATATACCAAACAGGAGAGAGATGCCTGTCTCTTTCCATCCTGACCTTCTCTCCCATAATTTCTTTCATGATGGTTGCTGCTAAAGTGACCATAGGCTTTTTCAGACCTGACTAAAGGTGAGTTGAGGAGGAGATAAAGTTCATCTGAATTTAGTGAGATGTGTGTAATTTTTTTTTTAAGTTTGAGAAAATCTCTACTGAGTTCTTTCATAAATAAGCTGCTTAGAATTTGGGAGAATTTTCCACTGGCAAACTTCTGGCATAGCATCCCCAGACATACAGGGCTAGGTGCTTTAGGACATATTAGCTAACTTATCCATGACAAAATAACAAGTTCATTTCCACTTCTGGGCAAGATGAAATCATAGAGCCTTGATTTTCCATCTTGCGTGAAATGACTAAATTCCAGACAAAGCATATGAGTGATTTTCAAAACACTGAACATAAGGCAACAAAGAACAGTGATCACCGGGAGATGAGAAAGAGATGGGATAAACCAGCAGTGTTCCTGAGTTGAGGAGATGGAGCTGGGAGTCCAGGAAGGGAAAGGCGGCTAGGGTTCTAAGCATAGTGTGCTGGAAAAGGGAAAGCCTGAGAGTGAGCGAGCGCGCGCGCGAATGAACAAGAACGAACTCTGGAGGTCTGCAGAGAGGTCCCTTGACTCTTCAACATGTAAGGAAACTTCTTGAAGCTGGTTAAAAAAAAAAAGCAAACAAACAAAAAAACTCAACAAAACACATAAGCATTAGAAGGAACAATCCCTGGAGTTCATACAGTGCTTGAAGTAATTCAAGGGCATTGAGTACAGGGGGTGTACTTGCCTCAGTAACGGAACAAAATTAGCCCGCATTTAAATTCTGCTCTGATCCCATTTAATACCATTTAAAAGCAAAACCTGGATAAAATGGTTTCCAAGTAAGTTAATTACATCCCCCCAATAAAGCTCCAGAATATTTATAGAAATACAAAAACAACCAGCACCCATGGGGTAAAGTTCACAATGTCTGCAATTCAACAAAACATTACCAGACATGCCAAGAGGAAACAAAAAGGTACCCAGAATGAGGAGAAAAATACATCAATTTAAAACAAACCTAGAAATGGAGTAGATGATAGAATTAGTAGTCAAGGACATTATAAAGGTGTTCTAACTGTATCCCATATGGTAAAGAAGCCGGAGAAAAGATGGAATGTGTTAAGTAGATACATAGAATATATACCTAAAATTCAAATCAAACTTCTAGAGATGAAAACTACACATCTGAAATGAAAAATACACCAGATGGCATCAGTGGCAGATTAGACATTGCAGCAGGTTAGTGAACTAGAAGACATAACAATAGAAACTATCCAAAAGGAAACACAGAGAAAAAAGAGAACAATGCACCAGAACAATAGTGATTTCTGAGACAATTTCAAATGGCCTAATATAAGGTCATGCATCCTAATCAAATTGCATAAAACTGGTAATAAAGAGAACTTTAAAAAAGCAGCCAGAGTAAAAAAGACATACTGTATACAGAGGAACAAAGGTAAGGACAGCAGGATTTCTCACTGGAAATAAAGCTAGAAACAGTGAGCAACATATTTTAAGCACCACAAGAAAAAAAAGCTATCTAGAATTCCATGCCCATCAAAAATAGCTTTCAAGGTTGGCAAAATAAATATTTTTTAGATATACCTGAGCTGAAAGAACCCAGCATCAGTAGACCTACACTAAAAGAAATGTTAATGTCTTTTGAGCAGAAGTAAAATGATATCACAGGAAACTTGAATCTGCAGGCAAAATAATGAGTACCAGAAATGGAAACTTACATAGGTAACTATAAAGACTTTTTTTAATTAAATATCTTTAAAAGACAATTGACCATTTAAAGCAAAAATAATAACAATGTATTTTGGAGCTTATTACATATACAAAAATAAAATGGCTGGTTTCAGGGCTCTGGCAGGGAAAGAGGGAGATGAGTCTGGAACATCTTGTTGTGCCAGAAATTAAGAAAAAAAAACCTCAGGCTCTTTAAGCATTTTTCTTACTTTGCTGAGAGGATATGTCAAAGCTTGCAGCAGCCTGGTCTGAAACTCCTACTAAATTTAGGATAATTTGAACATCAAAAAAATAAAAAAGGTGGCAACTGATTAGAAACCATTGAACAGAATAGGAATCTATGAATCCACAACACATACACATGTAAATTAGTAAGTTAATGGGAATTACAGAACATTTTTTTCCTTGCAGTAGAAAGCCCACAAATAAATGAAGAGGGAACGATGGATGAGAAAACCTCCATTTGGCAACAACTGTAAAAATAAATTAATTCAGGCAAGGAACATCAAGAGATGCTAAAATTAGTGGGTAGAATTGAGATGAGGAGTAGAATTTTACATAGTCTCAAAATATCTCCCCACAAAATACTTATTAACTACAAATGGGGGCAAACATAGTGGAGACGTTGGCAGAAGTCCACCTTAGTCAAAGGATTAAAATGAATGCCATCAGCAACAGGGCATACAGGCATCAGATGCCATCCATAGGTTGAAATGAAGAGAATAGAGCTTCTGTATATTTTGACCCCAAAACGCATAGTGATGGTCCAGTCATGAGGAAGCATGGGACAAACTCCAAGTAAGAAACACTCTACAAAATGACTGGTTCACAGTCTTCCAAATGATCAAGGCCAAAAAAGCCAGAGAGAATAAGGAATATTCCAGACTGCAGGAGACTGGGATACCTGAGAATGGGGAATGGGAGTAAAAAGAAAAACAAGTCTGTTAATGGTTTACAAATACCACCACACACCTGTACAGTGCTTCACACACAATAAGCACTCAGAATTAGTTACTATTCCTTTTCTTAGGTTTACTGATGAGTTTATTAGGCAACTTTCCATACTTGGGTGTCCTAAGGGGGACCTTGGCAGTGCCAAGGATGCACATGGATTGTCACACATCCAGAACAATCACAGCAGCACAGAGTGCCCGGGATTCACAAAGTTCCAGGAACTTGTCAATCTAACACCAGCCATTCAAACATTTCCATTCTCCCTTGGGCTTACTGAGAATCACATGAAATTAAAATACACTATGGATCTCTGTGTAGGTGAAATCAAAATCTGGAGACCATTTGCAGAGATCTTCACTAACTTTCCTATATTAGCTAAAAATAAATTGGTTGACTGTTGCCTCAGACAAAATTTCTTTGCTGTATTTATCAAATACTTAATAGGCACCTTCCCTTTGCCAGGTCCTGGAAACACAAGAATAGCCCCTATCCCTGGGTCCCTCCTAGTCTAGCAGGATAAACCACACGCAGATGAAACAGAAAGTAATAAGTCAAATGACAGGCCGATATCAGGGTGTTATGGGGAACACTTAGGAGGGGCAACTGCCGTGGGCTGGGGTGAAGAGCACCTGGAAAGGGACCAGGAAGTATTTTCTGGAGGAAATGATGCCAACCACAAGTGGGATTTAAGACACTGCACAAAAGGCAGACTTGCATTATCATGAGGTGGATGAGCTGACCAAGGGCTCTCCTGTGGAGGACGGGGTCTGATGGCCAATAGCATGATACCCAAATTCATGCTGCAGCAGGGTTTCCCCATGCTGTATTTGTAAAGTGCCTCTATGACAATATGGCAAATCTCACACATACACCATGTATGAGGAACACCTGCCACTCAACTTTCCAAGTTCATAGAACTCAAGTTCATAAGAACTGAGCCAAGATTTTGCCTCTGGCTGGGGAAAATATTAAACACTGGGGACATGATTTTGCCACCACACTATTTACTGTCTTGAGTATGTGCCAAAGATTGAGAGGATGCAAAGGAGTGCAGCAATCCCAAACCTCACAAAGCCTGTTATTGCTAAAAAAAAAAAAAAAAAAAAAAAGGGAAACCTAAAAACAATAAAAAGAAAATAAAACCACCACCAATAATTGGTGACGAATTGAATAACAGGGTTAAAGCAGAAGGTTTATATATATATATATAAAATTTGTTCCTGGTACAGTGTGTTCCAGACACTTTGGGCAGAGGCTCCCGAGAAAGGCTAGTTTAGGATATCAGCAAAGGAAAACAGAACTGTCAGAAGCCAAGAAGTACGAGTCCAAGCAGGTGAGAATCAGCACTGATCAAACCACTGTGGGTCTCTGTACCTTCTAATTCTTTATTTTCCAGTCAGCTTGGTAGCATTAACTTGATTATCTACAGTTCAGCTGTTCACGTTACAGGGAGAGCTAATAAAATTTTTAAAAATGATATACCCCGGTTTTACAGAAAAACCTCATTAGAATGAAAAAAAAAAGCTATGACATTAAATTCTTTAGATTATCAAATAAAACTGGTTTATCAACTGCTATGCAGAAATATCAATGCAGGGTACTTAAAAATGTTATTTTTCTGCATTTACCCCCCTGCCCCATCAACTTAAAAACTACCAGTTCGAATAGTAAAGGAAATGGCAGATGAGCAAAGATGGTTGCCTATCTGGTTTTAATCATCGTATTTGCGATGCCCAAATAACTAAAGCTTTAATACAACCTTAATTCTATAAGCAACCTGGAACGGGGGAAAATTAAATCTCTCACAGCTATTCACATTACCCAAATAGGAAGATTTTAACTTTACTTTCACAAATGTAAATGCTACACCCGGTTACTATCAAAGTACAGGGCATACCATTGAGACTGACTCGAAGCAAAATACAGTACAAATTTATTGACTCCAATCATTCTTAGTCAACATTTAAGCAAACTGTAGACAATGGAATTGAATACAAATAAGCAATGGATTAACATTAGATAGAAATCCTATTTTACCATGAATTTTCAGTTCGAAAAAGCTTATTCCTAAGTAAAATGGAAAAATGACTTACTCTGCTAAGGCATATGACAAAATACACAGAATTATAAAACCATTCGTTTTTCTTTTAACCATAAGCATATATTCAATGGAAAACTTGAAATAGCCTTGGACTAATGTTCTGAAAACTAGTATTAACTGAGTATAACTGTGTGAAAAATCTGGACAGCATTAACAAATGAAAGAGCACTGAATTCTGTTATTTTAAAGATTTACAGTAAAATACTTTGGTTCCCAAAAGACTGTCTCTAAAAGGAATTTTTAAAAACACCTGACATTGTAACTCATTTTTTCTCCTCCAGAATCTAAACACCAATTTTGTCTTCTCCCCAGTCACATGGGAATGCCACAAGCTGGAGTACCCGCTGAGATACACTGAAAGAGCATATTAAAAATTACAAAAAATTAAACTTCTTAAAGTGCTAAAACCACAAAAAGCCATAAATGAAAACCTATTTTTTAAAACTTAAAGTTTAGTAGTCAGTGTTAAAGAACACTTTTAAAGAGTACGTGTCAGCATTATTTAAATCAATAATGCATTTCACAATTATTGCAGAAACATCACTGAGACATCGTAAATTGTCAAACTGACTTGTAATCCAGTTAGATACAATTTATACAGAAATCTATTTGGAATTATACCTAATTACTTTTTACTAAGAAACTTCAAATAATTTTACTTCCTGAAGTTCCAGATTACAGTTGTATACACACATGCATGCATGTGTGTACAAACCCAATTTGAGACAACAAAGGCCAACTTTAGATCTGTTAATTCTTCCATCTCTCCCTCACCCTGATCAGAGAGTTGGCCTTGTAGGTGCATCCACACCGCACCTCCGTGAACAGACACATTTTATTCCTGTTTCACAGCAGCTACTCTCATTAGCACCAATGGGACTACATATGGATTCAAACGGTCACTCATTAAGTGCTGGGGCACATTTTTACAGGCAAGGCTATAAACGTTCCATTCCAAACCAGAAAACCAAGAACATCACACATCTCCCCACAAATGCAAAGAACATCACTGTTGAATTGTTAGTTGTATATTCTGGTAAAATTATAAATGCATACTAACTAGTTTTAAAGGTGAATATTCTACAAATCTTCAAATATTACTGTTAAAATGCACAATATTTGTTACCTCCATTGCTTACTTTGAGTGATAAAAACATGTTTTATGTTACTCCTTCCTTCTCCCACATAAACGATTCAGTATCAAGTTCTCAGATTAACAAAGAATATATTAAAACATTTTACATTCTTTCCACAACTGCATAAAAAAGCAGGCATCCTGCATACTTACATGGAATAAAGAGCTTTCTACATTTTCAAAATTAATTACAATCCTAAAATATATTTACATGAATATCTTCACTAGCTAATGAGTTGCAACAATTTAAGACCAACTTGTTTTACACCAAGTATTTGCCTACTGGCTGAGATAAACATTCTTAAAAAACTTTACTGAATAAAGTAATTAACATATCTTTCATTATTTTACTTCTTAACATTTAAAATAGTTACATGAGTGGAAGCATATTTTTTTTGACCACCAAAATAAACTCTTTCAGCCTAATGCTTTTAAAGTACAGTATAAAAAGTAATAGAAAAACCAGAACGGCATTATAAATGTTTTTGGTTCAAAATTTTATTTGAAATCTTATATTCCTTGCTTAGACAAAAATGTGAAGACAAAACACCAGTCATTTTTAAAATCTAACAGATATGCAGAACCTATGTTTAGATCAAAAATATTTTTTTTTTTTACTGATTAACAATATTATTTTTAAAAAATCTTCGAAAATGTAGCATAAAGGTTTAGGTCCTGGGATACTGAATTTATAATGCCAAGATACTCTGTATCATGGAATTATCACCGATAGATACTCTAATGGCCATGTAGGTGATGATTACTCAGGGAAACTGTCTTCTTTTGAAGTGACAGCTACCAAGATGGACAGAGTAAGAAATACCACATTATACGCGGAATGAATTCAATGTACAATAATCCATCCTGATGTTTCATGTAAACCCATATGCTTTAGTTTTATCCTTAAAATGCATAGATTTCTTTAAGAAAACAAAGATGGCAAGAATCAATAACTGCAATTTATTTTCCCTTCTCCATCAAATTTAAGAAAGAATAGGAAGTTAACTACTAAAATATTGTGGAATTTTGGAGTTTTTTCAAGTGAAAGAATACAAGGCAAAATTTCATATATAATATCCATAATGTACAAAGTCAATCAGTATTTTATAAAAATGTCTGGTTCAATAAAAAAAATGAGAATATCTTTCCTACCACTGGTATGGAATGTTGGCAATAAGATTGATGGGTACAGAGTTATTTTCTGCTAGAGCACAAATCTAAAATTATTTCTTAATGACAGTAGTTGGCTTTTAAAAAAAATTTGAAAGAATACCTCGTAACACAAACTAGAGTCTAAATTGGTATTACTTTCTTAAAAGGATTTTGTAGTTTCGTTTTTTTAATACATCTAACTCCCACCCCCACAAGTAAAAGTTTTCCCTTTTGAAACACATTGAACTTTGGATATCCTACTGAAAGGCTTTCAATTACAAATTATACATAGTATTCTTTGAAAAGCCCAAAACCCATGGAGCAAAATAAGTAGCTAAAACTAATTTTGGACCACTGATAGTGCTCTAATACCTATTTTTGAAATATTAAGCAATGATGTAGAGAATGGCCTTGCCCATGATTTTAACCATCAGACCCCCAACAAATTCTAACAGAAATTGTCACAAGAGAGAGGCAGGAAAATGTATATGTCGTATATATTGTTCTTGGAAAGCATGTTGAAACTGCAGTGAGGTGTTTCTCCTCTGCTCTATCTGGAAGTAAATGGTAATTTAGAATTTTACATCAGCTGTGCTAATTCTTGAGTGTCTGGGATCTATGTAAATATATGTCCCGACCTTATTTGTTACACTAATGTTAAAATCAAAATTAGTGCCATATGGTTAGCTTTGTTTTTTGTCCTAACTACACTCAGATTTTCAATTTGTGACAGCATAAATCAGAGGAAATGAAATATGTGCAGTCCTTCAAATGCTGGTCTGAATTTAGACTGTGGTGCAGTGTACATGTAACATGGTACAAGTTTTTATAACAATGTCTATCACTACTGAAGCCCTTATAAACTGACTGTAGGGGACTTCCATAAATTGTTTTCATTTCCCAGGTCTTCCTTAGAGTTTAACTATCATTTATTATATTGACTGAGAGCAAGTTTTTGTTAGTTTATAAAAATCTAAGTGTTACTATTGCTGATTTAAATTTCTCACAATTTTCATACAAAAAGAAGTTTTACATGACCACAAAATACCAAATATTTATTTTTATCAAGTGTCAGGATAACTTATTAAAGTTGAGATTTATCTTTTATTGCTAAAGTAGTCTAAGATATAAATCAATACTGCAAACTACTCCACTTCTTCCTATTTTGGACTTAAGAACATGGTTAAGATTTAACTAGAACTCAAGTGTCTAAAATAATTAAAAGAAGGAATACTTCGACAGTATTCCACTAATCAATAAAAAACCAAAAACCTCAATTAAATGATTATACTGACACCATGGAATGAGGAACCATGCACACAATCAAGACTAATCCAATTTCAACATTAATGAAATCAAACCATCTTGTTCTTGTAAGGTCCAGAACCACAATATTTTAAAAGCTGTATTTCTAAAGTTAAGGACATTACTAAGTAATTATCAATTTGCCTCCAACTTAATTTCAAGCGTAACAATCTCCAACCTTTATTATTCTTGTTTAAAAAATATTTTGTTTCTTATGACACATTTCACAATTCAGGTTGAAATCTGGGGACTGCCTCCCATAGGTAAAAAGTGTTGGTCTTTCAATTGTGTGTTTGTTCGTGACTCCAAAGACTAAATGCAGTCTTGAATGTCCTGTGGCAAAGTTTACACATAAACTGTCTTTTAAATGTGATTGCTGAAAGGGGTGGGGCATGGTAAAAAAGGGTGTCTGATTCTTGGGGCACAAACAGTTTTTCTGTGGCTGGAGTTGGGTTTTCGGACAGGCCTGTGGGGCTGTCAGGCTCCAGAGGCTGGATCTTGGGCAGTGGTGGTGGCGGTGGCAGAGGTGGTGGAGAGGGAGAGTTTGTGGGAACAGGGCACACCTCAGATTCCTTATGTGCCGATTCCTCTGAAGCCTGAGACATGTGCGATTGGAAGTGACTCCAGAGTCGAAAATTAGTGCGAAAAGCTTTGTTGCACACGTGACAAATAAATGGTTTCACAGAGCACAGAAGCTCCTGGTGACGCTCCAGCTGCTTATGCACCGTGAACATCTTCCCACACTTCTCGCAGGGCCACAGGCTGGCTTCTTTGCTAGGACCCGCTTCTTTGGGGGCTGTGCTGGCCTCGGGTGCCTCTTCTTCAGCCTCCTCCACAGGCTCCTCTTTGACTTGGATTTTCAGTTGCTTGGAAAGACTAAGGTCTTCGGGAAGACAAGAGGAATCTTCCGAGTCGAAGTTAACTTGTTCTGAAGAATCACTGAACACGTTGTCGTCTTTTGTGGTGACGATGTGGTTTACTTTGTTGGGCTCAGGCTGGGATTGGGGCCTTGAAGAACCAGTCACATCACCATTGTGGTCCAAAACGGGCAAAGAAAAGTTTTCGGTGGGTGCCATGTTGTTCTGATTATGGACTTCAACCTGGTGCCGCCAGATGCTGAAAGAGGACTTGAAGGTGCGCATGCACTCGAGGCAGGTCAGCTTCTTATACTCACACTTGCTCTCGTGTTCTTGCTTCAGCTCGGGCGAGAAAAACCTGAGGCTGCAGTAAGGGCAGACGGCCGCGTTCCGGCACAGCCGCTCGTGGCTTCCTTGCTCTAGGAGAGAAGAGAGCTTAGCATTACAGAGGCGGCACTGGTAAACCTCCTTGTTTTCTACTGGACTTGCAAGAGGAGCATGCTCTTTTGGTTTAGCAACTTTATTTACTCCAAGGGGTTTTTCTCCTGGATGCATTTTTATATGCTGCTTAAATTGAGAGAGAAAGCGGTACGCTTTTCCGCAGTAAGTACAAATGTAAGCTCCTTTGGCTCGAGATCTCAAGTTCCTCTTGATGACTTGCTGTGCTTGGGAGCTACTCTGTCCCTGAAAACCAGGCTTGCCGCGCCTTAACTTAATGATCAGGGCCTTCTTAATTTCTCTCTCTCTCACTATGTCAATCAGCTTTCTTTGGAATTTTTCATCCAAAACAGCATGTGAACTAGAGGCTGGTGATGGGTTCTTCACTATGCCGTGTTGGGTCTGACAGTGTGTCCACACTTTGAAGTTGGTGTGAAACCTCTTGTGACAGATGTCACAAGCGTAGGGCTTTTCTGGGTTATGGTACATGTTAACATGACGGTGAAGACCTGCTGTTGATCTAAAGATCTTAAGGCAATGTTTGCATTTAAATTTTTTGTTTGGTCTCGTCCCCTCCAACTCACCAAATTCGTCTTTATTCAAATCAGAATCTGGAAAATCTGCATCAAGGAGAGTAGGGCTTGAGCCTTCCTCAAAATTATCTTCTGACACAGGAGACCCGTGCTCATTCACCTTTAACTTCTTAAACGGCAATCTTCGGTCCGCTTGGAACCTCCTTTTTGCTGGGAGTCTGCTCATGTCTTTTTGGTCATCTTCTGTTTTCAGAGACAGGTCTCTTGTGACCGACGAAGATGAGGCAGCTGCTGTTGTTGCCGCATCTCCCACAGTGACGCGGATGATGTCCGAGGGGTCCGACAGCGGGCTGCTGGGCTCAGTCTTTATGCGCACCTCAGTCACAGGGGAAGCTCCCTCCCTGTCTGTTGACTGAGAAGCACTAAAGGACCTGAGGCGATGCGGTTGTAGCACTTGAGGCCTGTCATCTAGGGCTGTTTTTTCACTACAATCTTTTAAAGATGACTTCTGAGATAAAGCACACAACACATTCCCTGGTGCATCACTGGACACCGAAGATGATCCCTGGGAAGATTTCAAATCTATGGAAGGTGAATAGACAGGAACCTGGCTATCCATCGACAATGACCGTCTGAGGAGACTCTTAACAAGTGGGCCACTCCTGTCAATGCTTTGGTTTCCAGAACCAGATCCACTGGATGGGATCACTAAGCCTAACTTTGAATAGTACAACAAGTTTCTATCTTCACCTTGACCATTTCCTTTGTTAGTTTCTTTTAATAGATAGGGAGTCTCTGATGAGCTACAAACAGACAAAACAGGTGGCCGTGGTCTCTTCAAAGCCAGCTCTAGAGCTTTTCCTTTTGGAAGCTGACCACTCACACCTGGTTTATCATCCATAGCTTCTCTGTCTTGCAGAGGCTTTGAAGGCAACACTGCATTTCTTTTCACCAAACTGATTCTATTAGGATCATCCAAAGATCCAGAATGCTCAAGAGACTTTGCATATACCACAGAACTATCTTTCGGCCAACTCTTTTCAGTTAATGACAAATTATGAAGTGGTTCTATTGGTTTTGGGACATGTGGCTTATTGGTATTGGCCTTGACTGCAATGCTAGGAGAGGGCCGGGAAGTATGGCTTACATCGGGTTGATTTTGACTAACAGTTTTTCCTTGCGCTTCGTTTCTACTTTGACAAACAATGACACTTCTCTTTTGAGAACTGTTTTCATCATCTTCTACAAACACTTTTTTTCTATTAGGACACGTTGGAAAGGGGGCTTGAGGTGTTTTAGAAACGATGTTAGTCAGAAAGGAAATCCCAAGACTATAGCCAAGTTCTTGCACAGCAGCAAGGCTGCTCTTCTCAACAAATAGAGAGGAAGAATAAATGTAGTTTAAAACATTATCAAAAGCATCTGGCTCACAGAAGTCAAGCTGAAATACAGTTTGTGACTCATTTTCCTTATTTGTGAATAAACTCTGAAAGTATTCGCTGCTGGCAGCCAAGACGTTTTTATGAGCTCGGAACTTTTGGTCTCCAACAATCAGCAGCACATCACACAGCTGTCCTTTGAGACGCTCCTCATTCAGGGCACTTAGGAGAGAAATGGCGTGTGCAGGGTTGATGTAATGCAGTAATCCCTCCATGGCTTGAGTTTATCTAAAAGACAAAATGTAAAATTACTACAGATATTGCAGTGAAAAGTTCCCCTGGCTCCTCAAGAGCAGGGAACATCAGCTGTCTTTGCATAGGTACCAATATTTAGCAGACCGTAGGCTAACAGAAGCTCTATGAATGAACAATCTTATTTAAATAATGGTGAAAATGTAAAATAAGTCTCGTGGTTTAAGTAGGTCCTCATTAAAATAGAAGAATTGCAGGAACTATAATATAGGCATTTGTATATCATCAAAAAGGCTGCCAGAACTTGGCAGGTAGATATGGAAGCAATATTTGAAAATAAAGGTTTATTATTTAGGGTCCTTATCCATTTGATGCTTGGCACTATTCCTTACCAATTCAGAAAACAAGTACGAATTATCAAACCCCTGAAGTCTATAATTCTGAAAGAAAATCAGCTTTATTACTACATATACTTAAACATAATGTGAACTGTTAACAATTGGTTGCAAAGCAGGTCTTGTGAGACCCTTGTTTTTATTTTGAGACAGGGTATCTCTCTGTCACCCAGGCTGGAGTGCAGTGGCACCATGATGGCTCACTGCAGCCTCAATCTCCTGGGCTCAAGCAATCCTCCCACTCAGCCTCCTGAGTAGCTGGGACCACAAGCACATGCCACCTTGCCAGGTGATGCGGTTTGGTGGTGTCCCCACCCAAATCTCCTCTTGAATTGTAACTCCCACAATTCCCACGTCGTGGGAGGGACCCAGTGGGAGGTAACTGAATCATGGGGGTGGGTCTTTCTCGTTCTCTTCTCATGATAGTAAGCCTCATGAGATCTGATGATTTTATAAAGAGGAGTTCCCCTACACAAGTTCTCTCTTCCCTGCTGCCATGTGAGATGTGACTTGCTCCTCCTTGCCTTCCACCACGATTAAAAGGCCTCCCCAACCACGTGGAACTGTGAGTCCACTGAACCGCTTTTTCTTGTAAGTTACCCAGTCTTGGGTATGTCTTTATTAGAAGTGTGAAAATGGACTAATACAGTAAATTGATACCAGTAGAGTGGGGCACTGCTGAAAAGATACCCGAAAATGTGGAAGCGACTTTGGAACTGGGTAACAGGCAGAGGCTGGAACAGTTTAGAGGACTCAGAAGAAGACAGGAAAATGTGGGAAACTTTGGAACTCCCTAGAGACTTGCTGAATGGCTTTGACCATAATGCCAATAATGATACAGACAATGAAATCCAGGCTGAGGTAGTCTCAGATGGAGATGAGGAACTTGTTGGGAACTGAAGCAAAGGTGACTCGTTATGTTTTAGCAAAGAGACTGGTGGCATGTTGCCCCTGCCCTAGAGATCTATGGAACTTTCAACTTGAGAGAGATGATTTAGGGTATCTGGCAGAAGGAATTTCTAGGCAGCAAAGCATTCAAGAGGTTCTCAGGTGCTGTTAGAGGCATTAAGTTTTATAAGGGAAGTAGAGAATAAAAGCTTGGAGAAGTTGCTGCCTGACAGTGCGATAGAAAAGAAAATCCCATTTTCTGAGAAGAAATTCAAACTGGCTGCAGGAATTTGCCTAAGTAAGGAGGAGCCGAATGTTAGTCACCCAGACAATGGGGAAAATGTCTCCAGGACATGTCAGACCTTTGCAGCAGCCCCTTCCATCACAGGCCCAGAGGTCTAGGAGGAAAAAATGGTTTTGTGGGCCAGGCCCAGGGCCCCCTTTCTGTGTGCAGCCTAGGAACTTGGTGCCCTGTGTCCCAGGTGCTCTAGCCATGGCTGAAAGGGGCCAAGGTACAGCTTGGGCCATGGCTTCAGATGGTGCAAGCTCCAAGCCTTGGCGGCTTCCATGTGGTGTTAAGCCTGCAGGTGTGCAGAAGTAAAGAACTGAGGTTTGGGAACCTCCGCCTAGATTTCAGAGGATGTATGAGAACACCTGTATATCCAGGAAGAAGTCTGCTGCAGGGCTGTGTCCCCTCCATGAGGGGCAGGGCCCCATGGAGAAACTTCTGCTAGGGCAATGCAGAAGGGAAATGTGGGGTTGAAGCCCCCACATAGAGTCCCCACTGGGGCACTGCCTAGTGGAGATGTGAGAAGAGGGCTACCATCTTCCAGACTCCAGAATGGTAGATACGTCGACAGCTGGCACTGCGTGCCTGCAAAACTCACAGACACTCAATGCCAGCCCATAAAAGCAGCCAGGAGTGGGGGCTATACCCTGCAAAGCCACAGGGGCAGAGCTGCCTAAGACCATGGGAGCCCACCTCTTATATCAGCTTGACCTGGATGTGAGACATGGAGTCAAGGGAGATCATTTTGGAGCTTTGAGATTTGACTGTCCTGCTGAATTCTGGACTTGCACCGGGGCCTGTAAGCCTCTGTTTTGGCCAATTTCTCCCATTTGGAACGGCTGTAGTTACCCAATGCCTGTACCCCCACTGTATCTGGGAAGTAACTAACTTGTTTTTGACTTTGCAGGCTCATAGGCGGAAGGGATTTGCTTTGTCTCAGAAGAGACTTTGGTCTGTGGACTTTTGAGTTAATGCTGAAATTAGTTAAGACTTTGGGGGACTGTTGGGAACGCATGATTGGTTTTGAAATGTGAAGACATGAGATTTGGGAGGGGCCCAGGGTGGAATGATACAGTTTGGCTGTGTCCCCAGCAAAATCTCATTTTGAATTGTAGCTCTCACAATTCCCCACATCTGGGAGGCACCCAGTGGGAAGTAACTGGATCATGGGGGCAGGTCTTTCTTATGCTCTTCTTGTGATAGTGAATAAATCTCAGGAGAGCTGATGGTTTCATAACGAGGAGTTCCCCTGCACAAGTTCTCTCTTCCCTGCCACCATGTGAGATGTGCCCTGCACTCCTTGCCTTCTGCCATAATTACACAGCCTCCCCAGTCACATGGACCTGTGAGTCCACTGAACCTCTTTTTCTTTGTTAGTTACCCAGTCTCAGGTATGTCTTTATTAGCATTGTGAAAATGGACTAATTACACCTGGGTAATTTTTTTTATTTTTTATTTTTAGAAATGGGGCCTCACTATGTTGCTCAGGCTGGTCTCCAACTCGTGGGCTCAAGAGATCCTCCTGCTTCAGCCTCCCCAAGTGTTGGGATTACAGGCATGAACCACTGAGCCTGGCCAAGAGACCTTTAAAAATAGAAAAGAATTTGGAAAGCAAAAAATTATTTGCTAATTACTAATGAAAGTGTTTACGCCAGGCACGGTGGCTCACGCTTGTAATCCCAGCACTTTGGGAGGCCAAAGCGGGCAGGTCACTTGAGGTCAGGAGTTCGAGACAAGCCTGGCCAACATGGTGAAATTCCATCTCTACTAAAAATACAAAAATTAGCCGAGGGTGGTGGCATGTGCCTGTAATCCCAGCTACTCAGGAGGCTGAAGCATGACAATCACTTAAGCCTGGGAAGTGGAGGTTGTAGTGAGCCAAGATTGCGCCACTGCACTCCAGCCTGGTTGACAGAGCAAGACGTTGTCTCAAAAAAAAAAAAAACAAAAAAACAAAAAAACAAAAAAAAGATTAGAAGTGTTGAAGAATAAGTTTGTTTTCTTTCTTATGCTATTTGCCTTGCAATCTCATGAATACTATTTTCTTACCAAATCACATTTTCAACAATAGCACAAAGGAAACTTTAGCCTAGTTCTAAATTTAATTAAAGAGTTTAAACTGATATTTCACTGAAATGCTCTTCAAATCTAAACATGAGAAGAGGAGGCCTAGTGGTAGAGTGCAAGCTCTGGTGCCAGACACTTGGGTTGAGATGCCAGTTCCTTGCAGGCTGGCTGATTGTCCTTGGGTGTTTCTGTTAGCCTCTCGGTGTGGCAGATCCCTCACCTGAGTTAGGAATGACAACTGTGCCCTCCTCTTGCAGGGTTGTTGCAAAGAGTTCATCTAAAGAAAACTCAACAAATGTGCACTTAACTTTCAGAAATTGCAGGATTAATAGGCATCTAATTCAGTATCAAAGAAAGTGGGCAGATTAACCCCACCATACTCTCGATGCAGACAAAGCCATTTCATGCAGAGACAATGCCTGACTCTGTGTATTTGACCCTTTATTTAGGCTTCTGTTCCTCTAACACCTCATCCTTTTCATTTTTTTTTTTTTTTTCTAGACAGGGTCTCGCTCTGTTGCCCAGGCTGGAGTGCAATGACTCAGTCTTGGCTCCCTGCAACCTCTGCCTCCTGGGTTCAAACGATTCTCCTGCCTCAGCCTCCTGAGTAGCTGGGATTACAGGCGTGCACCACCACGCCCAGCTAATTTTTGTATTTTTATATAGTTGGGGTTTCACCATATTAGCCAGACTGGTCCCGAACTCCTGACCTCACGTGATCTGCCTGCCTCGGCCTCCCAAAGTGCTGGGATTACAGGTGTGAGCCACCACAGCTGGCTCATCCCTTTCATTTTATAATGCCATATTTTCTTTCAAATATTGTTAAGACATTTATTTTTAAGATTACATGAATCCCAAGTAACTATCTGTGACGGTTTTATCTTTCTCTAGCGGGCAAACTGTAGATGAACCAAACTTGACCCCAGCTCATTTGTAGGTTCTCTTCTGGCCTTTGCTGGTTACCCCAGCCACCAGGCTCTTCAGGAAGAGCCCAGAGTCTCCTAGGCTGTCAACCTGGGAGTGGCCACACACGGTATACAATTCCTTCTGACTCCCTGATAAGATGCGACTCAATTTAACCGACTGAGACACAGGACTTTGCTTCTAGAGATGATGCCTTTAGCCTGTCCACAAACAACTACTTTGGTCAGACTGTACCAAGTTTCTGTCCACTCCCGCCTACCATCCTTTCAAAGTAAATGGTAAATTTTAATTCCTCTATTTTTTTAAAAAATTATTCTATTTGTGACTACTTGATAATTTCCCTTCCTTTTTCTTCTCTTAGTCATTTAAATTTTCCTTAATCCTACTATACTTTCTTTACATCTATTTGTATGAAGAAACCCTTACCATCTTTTACAGAGATCAGCAGAAAAAGACATAAGCTTATAATGTTACACGTATTGACTCAGCTGGGTACTGAGGAGTTTTTAGCACTAATAATTTTTGACAAAGCTAGTTCAGATGTTGCCACAGGGAAAAGCTGTAACACAGAATTAAAGGTACAGATTTAAAGGCTTGGATAGTCTTTGTCAAAAGGGGTTCTTAAACTCAACTTGGTGGTTTAAAACTAGCAATTAAAAAATAAATGACTAGGACAGAGTAGAAAATATCAGAATGCATCAAATGTCATAAGGCTAATTATGAGCTTGAGAAACTTTTGTTTCTATTATATATATGTACATACCCACATAAGCAAGCATGGACTGGATTGAGATGTAAAATGTATTCCTTCCTGTGGGTCAGTCAAAATATTTTGAGAGCCACTGTTCTAGGCTAACCAACCTCTTTGAGCCTCAGTTTACCTCGCCATAAAATAAGGATAATACTAGCAGCTACCACATAATGCTATTGTGGGAATTAAATAAGATAATAATAGTCGCTACCATTTATATAGCACCTAACTGTACAGGAACCTACACTACAAACTATACCAGAAACTTCTCATGTCATTCATTCATCAAAATGGGATCAAAGAAGGTGTGAAGGAGGCGAGGGATGAGCCATGGAGATAAATGGAGGAAGAACATCACAACAAAGGGAGAAGCTAAGGCAACAGGAGGGATGGAGCAGTGTGTGCTGGGAGCCATGTAAGATGACATCTGAGAGGCAATAAGAAGTAAGACCGTCTAGGGCTGGGAGACCTCCAGAAGAACTTTATTTTTTACTATGGATGAAATGGACAGCCATTGAAGATTCTGAGCAGAGGAATGACAAAGACCTGAATTACATTTCCAAAGGATTGCTCTGGCTCTGTTGTTGAGATTAGACAACAGAGGGTAGGTTATGGGGGAAGCTGCGGGCCAGCTTGCAGTCCACTGTAATGACCCAGATGAGAGAGGATGGTGGCTGGGACCAGGGTGGTAGCAACGGAGGTAAAGGCAGAGTCATTAGAATTTCTAGTGGACAGACTGCAGGAGAAAACAGAAGGTGTGGAGTTAAGTATTCTGCCAAAATAACTGGAAGGGCATCCTTAGGAGAGATGGGGTTTGACAGAAAAACCAGGAGTTCAGATTTTTTAAAGAATTCAGTTTTGATATCCTACACGTGAGCAGCAACCTGTTCATCAATGTACCCTTTATGAGCCTCCATCTCCGCCTTACTGTCCCTACTTCCTTTCTTGTGCTTCCTGGGATCAGTTCCCAAATAAACGTCTACCTCTGAATCCTTGTCTTGGGGTCTACTTTTGGGGGAATCCAAACTAAGACACAAACAGAACTCGAAGCACAGGTAACGGCTAACCACTTCACACTAAAACCTCCCTTCCAAGGGCTTGTCCTGGCCCTTTAGTGTGAAGACTAAACCAAGGGGAGTTTTCTACATCCCTGGACCTGAAGCAAATGGTATTCCACAGACCGTATGCATCCCGTTGCCAAAAAAGCAACATTTGTGTCCCTTTTGTTTAGAAAGGTTTCCTTCTTTATGCATTATTCAAAGTATCATGATCCCTATTTCTGCTCTAAGTCACTGCTTCAAATTTCTTGGATCACAGACCTCTATCTTCTTTGGATGAAAACATCTATGGACTAGGGGACAATAATAAAGTCATTCAAAGTTAAGTTGTAAGAGAAATACTCACTGTCCCTGAAAATTATTGGGGATTTAAAACTTAACTTTCCTATAACCTCCATTTAGAGCCATCACACCTGCCTGAAAAGTGCCTCAAGATGTCCAAATTCCTGATACACAAGTGCAGAATAACTTTATAGAGTATTTATTTTCCATTCCATTCAGTAGAACAGTAACTAGGTACTTAATAACAGCTAAAATTTGGGTGTTTATTCTGTCACATACACAAAAATAAAGAAGTTATTTTTATGTATTAACTCAATATTTACATCAACCATAGGAGGTAGGTACTATTATTATCCCCATTTTACAGATGAGAAAACTGAGGCACAGACGGTCAAGTAACATGCTCAACGTCATAGAGATAAGTAGCAGAGCAGGATTCACATCAGCTGGCTTGGATCCAGAGGCTAAGCTCTTAACCCCTACACGACACTGCCTCTAGTTTCCTCTTCCAATTCTCGTATCATCTTCTGAACTAGACAGTGTCATCAATCCTTTTTACAAACAAATGAGAAAACTGAGGCATTGAGAGGTCAAGTCATTTGCCTAAGGTCACCCAGACAATTATAGACTTATGGCTAGCATCTGTCTAGTGTGTGCTAGAACCCTTCTAGACATGGAAGATATCAATTTAACAAGTATGGCCCTGCCTCATGGAGCTTAAGGTCTTGTGCAGGAAGAGAACAGGTCAATTCATCAGCCTAGTCCAGTATGCTGAGCAGCAGACAGGATGTTTGCAGAGGTAGAGACGCAGTATAGATGACAGGCATCAGAGCCAGGTGAGATGGAGGCCAGGAAGGGCGTTCTACGAAGAAAGTTTTATAGGGAATGCTGGGAAGAGATAGGAAGGATGAAGGACATTTCGAGGGACGAGTATTTATTTTCCATTCCTTTCAGTAGAACAGTAACTAGGTACTCAATAACAGCTATAATTTGGGTGCTTATTCTGCCACACACACAAAAGAAAACACTTTTAATGTATTAACTCAATATTGACATCAACCCTAGGAGTTAGGTACTATTATTATCTCCATTCTACAGATGAGAAAACCGAGGCACAGAGGGTTAAGTAACATGCTCAATGTCAGACAGATAATAAGTAGCAGGGCAAGATTCACATCAGCTGGCTGGGCTGCAGTACATGCAACACTACAGAGACAAGACAGAGCAGGAGGAATCCAAGGGAACCACAGGTGGCTTTGCCTGGTGAAAGGTAAAGGTACACATAGGGGAGGAAATGCCCATGAGGCTGGAGGAAGATGGAGGCATGAGCGCCCTGGGGGCTAAAATATGTCATCTGAGGATCTTGCACAGGAAAGCAACATTGTCCATTCTCCCCAGTACCCCAGGATCTAGAGACTCTAGATGTCTAGATAGGAGACAGGGGTAGCTAGGAGATGCAGATCCCTCACCTTCACATTAAGGCCCTTGTTTTTTTTACATTTTAATTCAATTATTAAGTTTTGAAAACAATGTACCCTTTCCTAGTCTGGCTGCAGACAGACAATTAACATATTGAATTTTTGTGTTTTAATGACAGTCAGTATATTTGAGTTTAACAATTACCTAAAAATATAAAATGCTCCATCCATCAAGAATGTAAGTAAAAAGGGGGAAAATCACAACTGCTGACGATCACGAGATAATCCAGCAAGACTGTTTGTGGCTGGTGGCTGTGTACACCGAATCCTCAAAAACTTTTGATTTCTCTGCTCTTCTGCTGTCAGATAAGGCGAGCTTTGTTGCCGGGTGTACTTTCTCCTCAGTGTATTTTTCAGATCTAGACCGATAAGTTTGCTGGCACATCACTCCAAATTTCCATGCAGGTTTTCATTATGAGTAATCAGGGCCTCCGACTTACAGAAGCAGTGCATCTTACACATAAACACGCACTGCTGCCACCACCGTCTACGCCCCTCCTTTCCACGGCTCATCTCCACCTGACTCATCACGGCAGAACTTCTGCCACTTCAGTCATGGTGGAAAAACCTTGGAGCTCTTAAAAGACCAGTGGGTGAAATTTGGAGAAAAGGTCTATTTACGAGCAACAGAAAAAACTAAGAGGAAAACCCCCCAGGAAAACCAGTTTCTAAAATAGGGCCGGCTTGCTTACCACTTTGATCCTCGCACACAAATAGCTTCCCAAAGCCTTCCTGGATTGTTTCTACTTCATGTCTTCTGAAATTTCAAAATGAGAGAATCTTTATGGTTAACAATTCACAGAAGACCTTACAGTTCCATGGAAAAGCCTTTCGAATCAGTCTATTTGTCTCAAATCCTGGCTCCGCCACCTATTAGGCATGGAACCTTCTAAAGATGACTCAACCTTTCTGACTAGTTTCCTTACCTGTTAAACATGGCTAACACTACCCACCACATAGGATTTTTATGAAGGACAGAAGAGGCAACATGTTTGAAAGCCCCAGTACGTTCAGCACTTCCCATGTGGCACATGCACATCTTCCTTCCTTCTCCACTTCCCCTCACAGATGCTTGCGTGGGCCTGCTACCCACCACACATCACAAGAGGTGCTGGTGATGGGGAGATGAGTAACTGGCCTGCTTCTTGTTCTCCTGTAGCTCACATTTCCATGTTAGGACAGACAATAATTAACAAAGGATGTGAAGAATGCTACGGGAATACTGATTCCAGGAAGCAATTAATTTGGCCAGGGTGTAGGAGGGTGGAAGAGTGAATAGTGGGAACTATTCACTATTAACTATGAGTGAATAGTCCTAAGGAAGGCTTGGGACTCATCACTCCTTTGACAATTATAATACAAGCTGAATATCTCTAGTCCAAAAACCCAAAACTACTTTCTGAGCAACGACATGATGCACAAAGGAAAGGCTCATTAGAGCATTTTGGACTTTTGGATTAGGGACGCTGAACCACTGGGTATAATGAGAATATTTCAAAATCCCAAACAATCTGAAATCTGAAACACTTCTGGTCCCAAGCATTTCAGATAAGGGATAGTCAACCTCTAATACTAAAGGTTCCATTCTTTACATTTCTACTATAGACGCTTTTCAGAAATGCTCATCTGGCCTTGCTGGGGCTTAAAACCTTCCAAGGGCTTGCCCTGGCCTCAACTTCCAATTCCCTGGAATGGCTACAAAACCCTTCAGAACTGGATTCCAGAAGATTATTTCATACCATCACTTCAAATTCCTCAGGTAATAAATGCTAAGGGGGTGGGGGACTCATATCTCACATCTTTTTTTTTTTTTTTTGAAGAGTCTCACTCTGTCACCCAGGCTGGAGTGCAGTGGCATGATCTTGGCTCACTGCAACCTCCGCCTCCTGGGTTCAAGCAATTCTCCTGTCTCAGCCTCCTGAGTAGCTGGGACTACAGGCGCCAGCCACCAGGACTGGCTAATTTTTGTATTTTTAGTAGAAATGGGGTTTCACCATATTGGTCAGGCCGGTCTCGAACTCCTGACCTCAGGCGATCTGCCCACCTCGGTCTCCCAAAGTGCTGGGATTACAGGCCAGCCACCTGTAAGATATGAGCCACCGCGCCCGGCCTCATATCTTAACATAAATTAATTCAATGCAAATACTTTCCTCTTTATAGAGTGTTAAATCAGTTGTATGGAATTAAGATTTTTGAGGGAGAGGGAAGGTAGGCAATTTCGAATATAGAGCATTCTAGTGAGAAGCAGAGGAAAGCAAAGCGACTTGGCACTCAGAAGGGTACCAGGGGGTGAGTGAGGGGGTGAGAAACAGAGATGGAAAGGGATCAAAATAATCTCACCTACTTGGACTAGTGTCATAGCTAAGGTACACTATAAATTAAGTTGGCTCCCAGACTAGCCACAAAACTGCTACTACCAGTTCTACAGGAAAATGGCTCTTTACATCCAGCATCAACCTAGATTTCAACTCTGGGAACATGGGTCCTTTGGAATGTTGGGGATTGCTTCTATAGTCCTAACCATGATACTAGAAAAAAGAGGGAATGCATGTAACACAAGGCAAATACCTAGTTAAAAAAACAAAGCATCTACATTTGACTTTGGAACATAAACACACACACACAGACTGCTTATCCCCAAACCCTCATTTCAGGATTTAGCCGTAACACCTACCATTGGATTTTACTATTTGATGGTGATAGGAAGTTGCCTCTGAGTTTCGGTCTTATCATCACTCACTTGGTGACAACGCAAATATCCTCAGATTTCAAACCTAGACTAGCTTATCCAATCCTTCAAGAGGAGTCATGTTACTATCTTGTATTCCATTTCACCACACTTTCAGTCTCTAACAAGGGGGTTTGATTTTGGTTTGATGGTTGTTCTTGGCCACATTCAGGAGAATGATCCTACTCCAACATAGTTCAAGCTCCTTTGCACCTTAGCAGAGCAGACTCTGGTCACAGCCTTTGCTGTTTTCTTCCAGCCACTACACAGCCATTCCACCTCCTGTTAACAGCCCCATGATTTTGCTATAGAAGAACTGCTCTTGTCCCACTGTGTGCTACAGCCTGATGTGCTCCTCTCCCCTACCTCTGGGCTAACCATACAACCAAAGCCAAACCAATCAGAAACTTTGTCCTCGGAATATGAATCCTGAGAAGAATGACAAAGGCAATAAATAAATGAAGCTGACTTATCTCAACGGAGGCCTGAAAATGCAACCTTGCTAGTGCCTGCTACATAGATTCCTGGAGTTAGCTTGGTTTTTGTCCTTCTTCCTGGCCCAGTTTTTTAGCTTTTCTTTTAAGTCCAAGAGCAACCCTGTATCTTTACAATAAACTACTTTTTCCATTCAAGCCAGACAGTTTCTGTTCTTGTTATTAAAGAACCCTAATATATTTCCACGTGGTATTCACTGTTCCTTGTCATGCCTTCCAAACCCATCCTAATACAGCTTCTAGACTGAGCTTCTTAGAACAAAGCTTTGATCGCTCACCCAACATACACGTTAAATATTCCTATTATTAATTCAACTTATTTACTGAATTCCAATTCTGTACAAGGCATGGTTAGATTTATCTGAAATATAGGGGTGCACCAAACAGACAAGACCCCCACTTTCTAGTGAGATAAATCAGATGCTAAGGAAACAAATAAAAAAGACAACCTCAGATTCTGCTAAAAGTTATGGTGGAAATAAATAAGGTGCTATATCGCTGGATGCAGTGCCTAGAGAGGATGGTCAGAAAATACCTTGATGGAATATTTCAGCTGAGACCTAAGATCTGAATGAAGAGAACCAGCTTTGATCCTGTTTAAAAATAAAATAATAAAAACAATTGTTCTCCATTAGGCTAAAATTTTTAAAACAATGACTAAAGGTCTCTATAAAATCTGGTTTCAAATGACTTTTAAAATTTTCTTAGCCAGGTGTGGTGGCTCATGCCTGTAATCCCAGCACTTTGGGAAGCCAAGGCGGGTGGATCACCTGAGGTCAGGAGTTCGAGACCAGCCTGGCCAACATGGTAATACCCTGTCTCTACTAAAAATACGAAAATTAGCCGGGTGTGGTGACGGGCGCCTGTAATCCCAGCTACTCGAGAGGCTGAGGCAGGAGAATCGCTTGAACCTGGGAGGTGAAGGATGCAGTGAGCTGAGATCGTGCCACTACACTCCAGTCACCACTGGGTGACAGCTGAGCCAGAGCGAAACTCCGTCTCAAAAAAAAAAAAAAAATTTTTTTTTCTTTCCCTTAGTTATTCCCTAGTGATCCCTTTCTGCTCCAGATACTCTGTCTCTAAGACCTAACCTGCACATCTGACTTCTCCCACTCCCCAATCTGGAAAGTCCTAGAACTCACCTAAACCCCTCCTCAGCACACTACTCAGAATATTAATCACCTTTCAAAGCTCAGGTCAAGTTCCAGCTACTCCATAAAATCTTCCATTATGGGTTGAATTGTGTCCCCACTCTTCCCTCCCAAATTTATATGATAAAGACTTAGCCTCCAGTACCTGGAGAATGTAGTCATACTTGGAGACATGGTCTCTAAGAGGTAATTAAGTTAAAATGAGGGCTTTAGGGTGACCCCTAAACTGATGTAACTGGTGTTCTTACAGGAGAGGAAGATTAGCACAGAGACATGAACAGAGGAAGGACCAAGTAGGGACAAGAAGATGCCATCTATAAGCCAAAGAGAAGCCTCAGAAGAAGCCAACCCTGCTGACACCTTGTTCTTGGACTTCTAGCTTTCAGAACTGTGGGAAAAGAAATCTGTTGAGTCATCCAGTCTGCAGTACTTTGTTATAGCAGCCCAAGCAAATGAATATACCTTCCTTGACTACTTCATCTTATAACGTGCAAATACCTCAACTTCAGCACCATTTACATGTTTATTCACTGCCTTTATTGTTAGTCATTTGTGTCTCCCCAAGAGGACTGAAAGCTATTTAAAGACTGATAATCTATTTAATATCTTTTGGCATTATCAATGCTCAACATGTTATCTTCCACAACAATAAAGATTTGACTTTTCTGTACTCTTCACTCCAATTAAATGCACGAGTGAAAATTATGGCTGTTAGTTGTTTTGCTGAAGTAAAGCGTATTACATCACTGCCCTGCTTTGGAGTACTGTACTGATTTTTCTATTCCTAAAGAAAATCCAAACTACAGACTGGCATACAAGACTTTTCATACTCTGGTTACAATTCATCTCTCCACCCTTATTGGACACTACTTACCATCTACTCTACAAACTTGCATATCCAGCCTCTGCCACCCAAAATCTCTCTCTTCCCTCTCCTTTACTTGGCTAACTTCTTTCGAAAGATCCAGTTGAAATGTCACCGACTCTACAAAGCTTTTGTAATTTGCCCCTAGCCAGCAGCTCAGTCATCTAAACTACCACAATACTTCATCTCTCTGTAATAACACCACAACTTCTTCAATTAATCTTCTTTTACATGTGTCTCCCCCAAGGGACTCCCTAAAGAAAGAACCCTTGTTTGCATGCACGTATCCCTGATGCCCAGCACAAGGCCTGGCAAGCTAGGTACAGGGCAAAGAGAGAAATCATCAAACTTGAGGCTCAAGACCTGGACTGGCTCACCTTTATTTCTCCAGCATCCGTTACAGAGCCCCAAAACGTGGCAGTATTCTTTGCTTTTTCTATTAGACCTTGTGACTTTAATCACTACTGGACGATGATTCCCAAATCTGTATCTCTGTTTAGACTCTTGAGGCTCCAGCCTCTCAGGTACCTACTGAACGGTTCCATCACAGTATATCCTCAGGTCCAGCATGGTACTTAAACTCCACAACTCTCGTCCCTGCTCCCACATCTGTTTGTCCTCACATATTCCCGATTTACTTTGGTGTGTTGCCAGACCCTAAAATTTCTTCTCTTTCCCTTATAGCCTATCACTGTGACCTGGTCAAACCTAGCTCTTACATAGCTTATAATCTGCTCTCTCTACTTCCATTGGCTTTGCGGACAACTAAAACTGTCCCTTCGGCTGGGCGCAGTGGCTCATGCCTGTAATCCCAGCACTTTGGGAGACCAAGTGGGGTGGATCACGAGGTCAGGAGATCTCAAGGCCATCCTGGTCAACAGGATGAAACCCCGTCTCTACAAAAAAAAAAAAAAAAAAAAAAAAAATTAGCTGGGCGATGTGGCGGAAGCCTGTAATCCCGGCTACTCAGGAGGCTGAGGCAGGAGAATCGCTTGAACCAGGGAGGCGGAGGTTGCAAAACCAGGGAGGCGGAGGTTGCAGTGAGCCAAGATCACGCCATTGTACTCCAGCCTGGGGCAACAAGAGTGAAACTCTGTCAAAAAAAAAAAAAAAAAAAAAAGAAAAAAAGAAAAGAAAAGAAAAAATTGTCCCTTTAATTATCTCATTTCCATCGAGAGACCTTCTTAACTTAACCCCAATTTTGTTATTTACAATTTTTCCTTCAGAGTGTACACATCTAATATTCAACAGTGTAAGTTCCTCGAGGGCAGGGGTTATATCTTCTTCAACTTCTATTTCAACAGAATGAAGCACATTATACTTTCAATAAAGTGTTAAAAAGGAAAAATAAACAAAAAGTTACTTTTAAGTAAACCAGCACTTCAAATTTTGACTTTCTTTTTAACATCAATATTTAGGGGTGCTTAAATTTAAACTTAATGACTACTAGTCCTTAGAGATCATCATTTACTCCAAGTACACGAGGAAAGCTTTAAAAGATAATTTTCCATGAGAAATCTTTCTAAAATGGATTAACCCACTTTCTTGTCTTCTTAAACAAGGTATGAGGACCGTAATGTAAGCTGCTTAATTGAGGACTCAGGGTCATCGTGTGAACAATCGCTGGACTATTTTGTAACACACGCGTGCCCTCGGAGGCTCGGTGCCAGGGCTGTGAGCGCTTGCACGAAAGGAAAAACCCCAGGCCGTGTGAAGTCTAACTTTCCCCGTCCTCTCGGTCAGGCAATCCCACCGGGGCACCTGTCTAAAAACACCCCGCCTCCGAACGCGCGCTCTTGCGGAATTCTCCCGAACCGCAGAGCCCTCGTGGCTGGGACCGCATAGCAACCGGGGGCAGAGTGCGAGCCCCCAGCGGTGTGCTGGGATGGAAAAGCAGGAGCCGCTGAGGATGGACTACGGGGCGTGTTCCCGAAAAGCCGGGAAGAGATGTGGCGGGGCTGCCGCGGGCGTCTCTAAGGCCGGCACGGGTGGCGTCTTGACTCCCTGCCCCTCCAGCCGCGGACCTCGGACGGGGGGAAGGGGGCTCCTCCAAGCGGGGAGACGGTCGCCGGCCGAGCAGCAGGGCTCCTGGCCGGCGGAGGGTGCTATGCTCTGCGGGACCGCCGGGAAGTCCCAGACAAGGTCTGCGGGGGCTCTGGAGGAAAAAAAACGCGCTGTGAGGTCCAGGCGTCCGCGGGAGGGGCCGGGGGCGGGGAGGGAGCGTCCAGCGGGCACCGAGCGGTCACGCTCCGGCCACCGGGCCGAGGACGGGGCGGCGGGGCTAGGTCCCGGACCGTGAAGGGAGCGGCGGGTCGCGGCAGGTGCGGGGTCCCCAAGGCCGCCGGCCAGCTTCCGCGCACACCCCGCGGCCCGGGCCGCCGGCCCCCAACCCCTGCCCGGAACAGGAGAACGCGCCCTTCTCCACGAGGCGTTTCAACCGCTCCGCGCGAGGGGCGCGCGCCTGGGCCAGGCGTGTCCCCTACCCCAGGGGCAGCTCGGCCAGGGTGAAGAGTGAAGCCCGTGAGGGAATGGAGCATGCGCATTCGCGAGGGCGAGGCCAAGTGCTGGCAGGGAGCGTGCGCAGTGTGAAGGTACAATCGGCTACGTGGGAACCCGGGACATGCTCGGTGAGCGCCCAGGTCCCGCGCACGCGCAGAAGCGCTCGGAGCCCGCAACCCGCTGGTGGAGAAAAAAGAGGAGAGAAATCACCTCAGAGTTACGTCAGGAAAGGCCGCGTTTTGCGGGGAGGCTGTAGCCTCCCAAGGAGCCCCGCAGTTCTCCTAGAGCTAGGGGCGTGACAGTTACTCACCGGTCTTCAGTCTCGAGGCAGACGCCGGGCCCCTTTCCGCTCACACTCGGCTCGCGCGCGCCGCAGCCGCCGCTGCCGCTGTGATTCCATCCATCTTGAATTTGACGTCATCCCACACCAGGGATGAGGTCATCGCAGGCATCGCTCGTCACGTGCGCGGCACTCTGATTGGGCGCCGGGCGCCGGAGGGCGGGGCGGGGGGGGGGCCTCGCGGCGCAGGGGGACGGGGGAGGGCGGGCCTGCCCGGAGCCGCGCGCCGAACGGACGCTGCCGCGCTGCAAGCCCGCGCTCTCGGTCCATGAGGGGAGCCTGCGGCGGCCGTTAGGGGAGGCGGCCGGGCTGGGGGCCACGGCGAGGAGGCTGAGCGCCCCGGCCGGGTGGAGTCCGTCGCGGCGAGGAGCGCGCCGATTCTCAGGGGACTTTGCCGCCTGCCGGAGGCGCCCTTGCTGCGGGGTCGCCCCGGGTCATTCGGCCGCGGTCCTGCCCAGCTGGGCCGCCAGTAGTCCCCGCTTCCGGCGCGGCGGGATGCGTGGCGCGAGCGCTTAGTCCCTCGGAGGGGAGGACGCGCTCCCGTTCACCGGTGGACGGCGGGCGACTCCCCGAGCCGACGACCCCGACAGCGACGGGAGCGACGCGCGGCTTTCTGACGGGCGCGGGCGGCGAGCGGGGCCCTGCGGTCCTCGGGTCGGCGGCAGACGCTCCCGGCCCGCGAGGAAAGCCCGCGGGAGGCGGCTCCTGCCGCTCGCTAGTCGCTCAGAGCGCTTCCATTTCCTCCTCCCGACGCAACCTGGCCACCTGGCCCCTGGGCGGGGACCCGGCGGCCGCGGCCAGGGCGTCCGGGCTCGTTCGCCGCGCAGATGGGGGTCGGTCCTGACCCCCGCCGGGGCGTCCACAGCGGCCCGCAGGCAGCCGGAGACTTCGCATAGTGCCCGGCTCATCGGAGGGCTGTGATCTTTTTTTTTTTTGCAGAAATATTACAACTCCACTGATGAGAAAACTCACTTCGCTTTCAGTCAAAACCAGAAATTAGATAACAGAAATGCCACACTGTCAACACCGACCGGGAGGAAAGCCTCGCTGGCGGAGACCGCTCAAGGGAGCCCTCCGCGCGTTCTCCCAGCCCGGGTCGCAGGTGGAGGGGGAGTGCCTCCTGCAGGGACGGTTCTCCCGCAGACACTCAAACTCCGGGATGTAAAACCCCTGTTAATAATTGTCAGGGGTCTGTTAATTGCCAAATACAGTTTTTGAAAGTTGTATGCACTAGGTAAAATAATTTATGTAATGTTTGGAAGTATGTGAAAGACAGACATTAGATTGATACAAATTAAAAATTTGTTGCCAAATTAACAGCTCTGTTGTAGATTATTAGTTTGACTAATTTTAAGAGGACTCTTAGTCTTACATAAAGAATCTTGCACCTAAAAATTTTCTCCTACAACTTTAAAACACTTTAAATTTTTTTTTTTTTTTCCTGAGATGGAGTCTCTGTCAGTCCCAGGCTGGAGTGCAGTGGCATGATCTCAGCTCACTGCAGCCTCCACTCCCTGGCTCAAGCCATCCTCCCGTCTCAGCCTCGGCAGTAGCTGGGACTATAGGTGCATCCGTCACACCTAGCTGATTTTTGTATTTTTGGTAGAGATGGAGTTTCACCATGTTGCTCAGGCTGGTTTCAAACTCCTGGTCTGAAGCAATCCACCCGCCTCAGCCTCCCAATGTGCTTGGATAACAGGTGTGAGCCACCATGCCCAGCCTAAAGAGTGTCTGTATTTTGAACTGTATGGTGGAAAAGCACAAAGTGACTGTTCTGAAGGTAGAAGGCAACAGTGATTATAAGTCTTAAAAGAACCTTGAGTTTTAGGTTCCCCTGTGATTAGGCTGGGGGAGTGTGTGCTGTTATCCTAGTTTTATAGGTGAGAAAACTAGTACTGGCTTTACCGCATGCTGGAAGCAGCCTCCCTTGAGCGATCCCTTTCTAGCCACCTGCTTAGCTGTTTTTTTGTTTTGTTTTGTTTTTTGTTTTTTCAACCTTCCTCAGGACGATACACATTGGTGTCTCTGCTTTGAGCTATATGATCAGGCTTTTGGCCTCACCATTTCACTGGAATTGACCTGACTGCCAAATCTGGCAGAAACCGTTGCATCTTTCAGTTGCTCTCTTTGATTTGTGACACGCTTCCAATTGCTTCAGCAGTGATTGCTTCAGTTACGCCTCATTCCCTGGATTTCCCACCTCTTGGCTGACTGCTCCTCCTGGGCCGGCTGTGTTGGCCCTTCTGCCCCTGCCCATGCTCGCACTGGGTTTCTTGGCACACACACCCTATGCAGTCTCATCCATGCTTGGAACATATGCCCAGTTGCTGGAGCCAGGAATGTGGGCACCATGGTGGGCTCCTCCCTCACTTCCAGTATTGGGTCTATCCCCAAGTCCTGTCCGTCCGACCTCCTCAGTGTTTCTCTGGTAACGTAACCGCTTAACTGCTCTCCCAGCCTCCAGGTTTCCTCCTTTAATCCACTCTCACATTACAGCCAAAGCGATTTTTCTAAACAGCAAAAGGGATCATGCCACTCCCTTGCATAGGGTTTAATGGCTCTCCATTGCCTAGGTGAGAGTTCAAACCACAACGCACAAGTGCCTGAGGACTTGGCCCAGCCTCTCCCATCTTTCCCCCACCTCCACTCTGACATGCAGGCCTCTAAACTAGTCTTGCTCTGTCTCTTGCCTCTGGGCTTCTGGGCTTCAAGTGTGTTGTCCCTTCTGCCTGAGCTATTGCCCCCACCACTACCACCCTGTTTTAATGGGATAATTTCATCTTGATTGGTGTTTCTTCCTCCAGGATTCCACCACCTCCCCACCCCACCTGACTGGCATCTTCTCAGCTGTATCTAGGGTTGGTGCTCCCTCCTCTGTGCTCCCATAACACCTGGTGCAGGTTTTGTTGACACCACTTGTGTAGGTGATGTTGGATTTGCCAGCCAGCACCCTCTCATCCGCCCTGCAGGTTTCTTGTTTGCCTCTGCCTGCCCAATGCCTGACTTTCAGTCTAAATTCCTTACCTCTTTCAGCTTCTGGTGGCTGCCAGCATTTCTGAGCTTGTGGCTGTATCACTCCAATCTCTGCCTGTGTGTTCACATGGCCTTCTTCTGTCTGTCAAATCTCCCTCTACTTCTTAGTGTTAGCCGTACACTGAAGCACCCCAAACAGGATCTCTCACACCATAGACACATATGTTCTTTTATACAAAATGCACATTGTTTATGCAGCCACCTCATTAGACACCCTGCGGACAACCCACAGCTGTGCACACAGCAAGCTCACAGCTGGACTTCCTATCGACATTCTATCTGCCCTTGAACCATTTTTTCCATCCTTGACTGTGTCCTACTTAATTAAAGATGCTGCTGTCTGCCTTGCTACCCAAGCCAGAAACTTGACGGTTATTTCTCAATGTCTGCATTCAACTGTCACTAAGTCCTATCAATCTACCTCTTAAATGCCACTTAAACCTGTCCTTACCAGCCTTATTTCAGCTGTTTCTGGCCTGCAGCAGCTCTGTCCAATCTGTAGCCATTGCAACCAAGTTCCTGCCTCAGTTTTGCTTCCTTCCCTTCCCAGCCTAGTGCGTTTTCAATCAAATTTATCTTTCCAAATGCAACTCGGGTTAACTTGCATTGGTGCTGTATACCCACCCACCCTCCCATGTGGCTTGCAGATGCCTGCGGCCTCATAGCTGGGCATGGCCTGTCCAGTGCTGCCAAGGTGGCTTTGCTTTCTGCTTGCCTCGCCTTTGCCAACCCCTCTAGCCATGTAGTCTGGCATAGGCACTTCCTGGGATGGCCTTTTCCTATTCAATCTGCAGGCAAATCCAATTTCAAGTGTCAGACCGAGGCTGCCTCCCTCTGCGCTTCAGTGATTCCACTATACCATCTATTTCACCTATTCCCATCTGCTCAAAGGCCGGTTTCTCCACTAGTTTGCATGCCCCTTGGCACAGAGACCATGTCTGTTAACTTGTGTATGCCCGGAGCTTTGGACCTGTTGCTAGGGCTGTGTCCTGGGCCATCTGTTCCCGATGGCTAGAGTTTTCTCTCTGAAACTGTTACAGTGGTAGCCGATTCTCCAGTGTTCATGCTGTTAAGTTGGTTTGCATTTCTTATAACAAAAAAAAACACAGCCCTTTTATAATTTGGGGGAGGGAAGTCTCTATGGGGTTTAACATATCTGCTTCTTCATATTTGGAAGCGGGAAGTTTTAATCAGCTGTGATTCTCTTAACCATCATTTCATTGGAATGGGTACCTGGCTGTCCAGATTTGCCCAATCTATGGGTTGGGTGGTTATCTCTTTAAAAAATTCATTAGTTTCCTGTGGCTGCTGTAATAGCTTTCTACAAACTTGGTGGGTTAAAACAATAGAAACTTACTCTTTTACAGTTCTGGAGGCCAGAAGTCCGAAATTGGTCTTATGGGATGGAAATTCAGGTGTGAGCAAGGCCACACTTCCCTTGGAGGATATAGAGAAAGTGCCTTGCTTTCAGCCTCTGGTGGCTGCCAGCATTCCTGGGCTTGTGGCTGCATCACTCTGATCTCTGCTTCTGTGTTCACATGACCTCTTTTCTGTCTGTCAAATCTCCCTCTACCTGTTTCTTTCTTTGTTTTGTTTTGTTTTGTTTTGTTTTTGTTTTAGACACCTGGTCTTGCTCTGTTGCCTAGGCTGGAGTATAGTGGTGCACTTATAGTTCATGTAACCTTGAACTTCTGGGCTCAAGTGATCCTCCAGCCTCAGCCTCCCAAGTAGCTAGGCCTATGGGTGTGCACCACCACACCTGGCCTTCTCTGCCTCTTTCATAAAGGGACACTTGGGAAGGCATTTAGGGCCTACCAGGAGAATCCAGCATGATCTCCCCATCTCAAGATCTTTTCATTTAATTACATCTGCAAGACCCTTTTTTCATATAAGGTAACATTGGAGGTTTCAGAGATCAGGACTTGATATCTTTAAGGGTCATTAGTCAGCCTACTGCAGATAAGAACAGTATTCCTGTGTAGCGGCATGGGAAGGCCTTTGAAAAGTATGTGAAACAGAAAAAGAAAAAAGAGAAGAGAATGGGAAGTGGGGAAAGTGAGGAAGGTAGTAACACTTTGGGTTGCTGTGTAAATGGTTTCCAACAACCACCTTCACAGTGAATATCACTCCGCGTGCTCAGAACTGGAGTGCCCCGGGCCATAGTGCCTCTTCAGCATGGTTGAAGTTGGGTGGGATTAAGTGTTGATCACACTGGGTTCTCATAATTGAGAAGCCCTATCTGTAAACATTATCATAAACAAAAAGTGGTACTAAGCTTAAGGACCTCCCAGCCAGAAGCATTAGTGCTGGTTTTCTCCAAAGGCCGTAATTGCCTCTTCCTCTCTCTTCTCGCCACCCCATCCTTGTTCTTGAAGAGCAGATGCCTGGAGGATATCCTTCCAGTTCAGCATACAAACGCCACCAATAATACTTGGATGGCATTAGATCCACACCAGTTTCTAAGAAACCCTTTTGTCTTAAGATTGGGAGAGGACTGTGTGTGTGTGTGTGTAATAACAGTAGTAATTCTATTTGATTATAAACTTTGTATGAATTAAGAAAATTCTTATGTGCTATTCCTTAAGTTGCTATCATGAAAGGTAAGGAAGACCGTTGCATTCAGATCTGCACCATGGGCATCCTTTGGTTAAAAAAAAGATGGATTCCACATCCCCAAAGCTGTGAAGTGGGGTGAAGAGTGACTGCTTCTGTTGTTACAATTATCTGCTACATGTCCTCAACTGTGATCCCATCTGCACCGTGATCCTGCTTTTTAGGAATAATTCCCATTTTACACACCAGGAAAGGGGGCTACCCCTTTCTACCCTCAAGGACTGTAAAGGTGACTACCAGATGATCTCTAACCTCAAGGAAATGGCACCAGCTCTGTCTCCTGGAAATAGACACAAACTATTGATACAAGTGGGAAATGCTTGGAGACATGTATGCTCTCAAGGTTATGAGGCACAGAGGAGGGGAGACTCTTCTGCCTCTGCCAGGGACCCAGATGCAGCTGGCCTGAGCCTGGAGATGGTGGTGCCAGGCCTTGGTCCTCTCAGTGCATCGAGCTCCCTGGGCCGGGGCCTGACGAGGACGAGTGCTGAAGTCCATCAGTTACCCCCTTCCATGCAGTGGCCACAAAAAAAGCGGGGGCAGCTTTGCCCCAGACAGAGGCTTTGCTGATTCCTGGACAGGCCTGAGGGGGCTGACAGTGGCTGCTCTGGGTTCACAGCCTGGGACATCAGACTGTGGGCGAGAATGGTGAACTCACCAGAAGGCATTCGTCTACGTGGCCTTTTCCAAACGGAAGCACGGATGGTGCATCTGCAAGGCGAATGGTGGTGTTTCTTTCCCACGATGTTCTGAGCAGCCAAGGCCGTTTGTTCAGTTTGGATATCAAGCTTCACGAGCCCCTGCACACATAATGCATCAGTGGTGAAAAGTACTCACTAAATTATCCGATCCAAAAGCTATTAAAAAACAACAACAACGCATAGCTGGTTTTTGTTTGTTTTTGCTTTTAAATCTTGGAGATTTTAGAGCTTTACTCCTTTTGTTAAGAGTCAGCCTTGTTGACTCATGAATCACCTGATTGAGAAAGACGTGAATGTGCGTTTAGATTTGATTTAAAAAGCGTTTGCTGTACTTTTTTATTTCCAAAATCTATTTTTTTATATTTGGCATGCTTATATTATAACTTTGATACATTTAAATATCTTAATAAATATATACCCTCAAATTTGAATTAAAACATCCACTTTAGAACTAGATTTAATAAAACATTATAGAACTTATACTTGAAGTTTGCTTATAAAGCACTCTCACAAAAACTGGGTCAAATGATTTAATCTGTTTTCTCCATTATAGAGCAGCCTTTCTCCCCGTCCCCCAACCCCTCCTTTTAAATGTGACTCAATTGATTTGGTACACTGTCTGCTTCTCTGATATCTGTGAAATTACTATGTCTAAAAATAGAAACTCAGTTCTCTTTATGCTTTCTTTCTGAGGTAGGCCAATTGTTAATATTGCAGCACTTTAAAAATTGTTAGCTGGTGAAGACCAATGATCAAGAACCACAGTGATGTCATCTGAGGTTTTACGAAGTTTGCATATTTAATTTGTTTTACATATTGTTGACTATAATAACTCTAGAATTTTCTTTCCTTTTTTTTTTTTTTTTTTTTCCAGACAGGGTCTTACTCTGTCACCCAGGCTGGAGGGCAGTGGTGCGAACATGGCTCACTGCAGCCTCCAACTCCTGGGTCAAGCAATCCTCCTGCCTCAGTCCCCCAAGTAGCTGGGACCACAGGCGTGCACCACCATGCCTGGCTAATTTTTGTATTTTTTGTAGAGACAGGGTTTTGTCATGTTACCCAGGCTGTTCTTGAATTCCTGAGCTCAAGTGATCCTCCTGCCTCGGCCTCCCAAAGTGCCGGGATTACAGGCATCGGCAACCGTGCTCAGCCTAAGTCTGGAATTTTAAATGACTCTTGGAAATATTCCCCCAAATTGTGCTTTATAAAAATCAACTAAATTTGAAAAATGAGATGACTAGGGCACGTGATAAGGGTGGTAAGGGGGAAAAATGTCTGAACATCCCTATGAAATCTGACTTCCTTTTTAACTTTAGTTCTGTCCTTGCAATCAGTGGACTGGAGTGATTATTTGATTTCATTACGGTGGCATGGTTATCAAGGTAGTATTGTTACTAGACCATATTATCAGCAATGTAATACTTATTCTAAAATTAAGCCCTGTGTTCTTTCTCCTGGGCTTGAAGTTAGTTCATCAGAATTCTCTGTTAAAACTGAAATCCCCATTTCTGCATTCACTGTCTTTTACTGGCCAGCACAGTGACTGGCCTATCCTCGATTCAGGTACGAAAACCAACAACCAAAGAAACAACCAGGTAGGCGGCCACCATGACAATAAAGCTACAGTAAAAAAACACCAATTGTTTTATCAGGTGTAAGCTACCCTTCAGAATAACATTGCTCAGAGGTTTTGAATAGGACCAGATATGTGCAAAAATGTCAAAAGACCATAAACACGCAAAAATTACGTCAAATATATTATAAAAGACAAAATATCACAGAGCAAAGTTGAACTACTGCAAAGAACTTTGAAACTGAAATGCCTTCAGGCCCGAGAATCGACGTTAATTGTATTGGAAGTGAAGAAGCTTCAGTTGACGCACGTCACAGGATCTGAACGGGAGGTTTCCAGTGTCGTCCCCACTGTGGAACTGCGATGTGTTGTCACTGTAGCCCCTTGGAGCACAGGCCCAGCAGCACGTGACTGAAGGCAATCAGCAATACTGAGACGAATCGCTACTCCGAGGCTTCACTGAGTTAACCCCAATGATACTCGCTCAGTTAACAACCTCAAAATCATTTTTGGTCATGGAAATCATTACTGAATTATAGTGAGGATCCAAAACTTGACCATAGAGTTATAATAATGGAGGGGGGATGGAGATTCTTTGATAATCAGGAAATTCTAAATTATCTTTCAGAGTTTTCTAATATGTTGATGACTCAGAAGATTTTACATGCAAAAACTAGAACTCTGTGGAAGGATTTTACAGTGCAGAAGACAGACCTTACCGTTGCCCTTCTCTGATCCTCCAGTTGGGCAAGGCAGTTACCACTAGGCAATACTAGAAGGCAGTAACACCCTAGGAGTGTAGCATTGTCCTATCTCCAGGGCAGGTGGGCTGGAGAATTGCAGCCCATCCTTCTAGGCCACGGGCAAGTGTTACTGCCTTGTAGTTCCCTCTCTGATCCCTTCAACTGGAGCAGCACCCACCAACACCTGGGGACCCGGGACACACCTCTCTTAAAGCACTGGGCTGGAATGTTGGCTTATGAGCTGTCTCTACTTGTAGACCATGAGCTCCTACGCAGGTGTGCACCTGGCCCCGGGTGAGGGCTCCTGTGGTATTTGCGGGCGGAATGGGATTTGCTTTTGGGGAGAGCAGCAGAGACTTTCTGTGCTTCTCTCTGGGTCATCTCCCTCCCCGTCAGGGCAGTCATGATACTGACATGGCTAGCCTCCTGCCCTTAGGTAGGCTGTGTGACCAGTGGTGGCTGCTGGATTCTGAGAAGTGACATTGGTCAGCTCCTGATTGTTCATCACGTGATACCTGTGTTTGATGAACATTCACTGAGCACGTGCCAAGTGGCGGCTGCATGCTATGCTGGCTGGCAGGGTGTAGAGACGCATGGGGCTCAGGCCCCAACCCGAGGGAGCACATCAGCCCAGGGGTGTGCAAACACTTTAAACACAGTGTGCTGTGTCCCCTTCAAGGCCTATGTGTCCCTGTCTCCATCTCACCTCCCGACTGCCAGTCAGTCTTCTGGAGTCTCCACGACTTGTCAGGGTCACCAGTAGCCTCTGTGTGACCAAATCCCGGAGTCATGTATTTGTCTTCACTCATTCAATCATTCATGGTGCTGCACTCCCGACACACACTGTGTGCATGGTTCCATCCCTTAGGATACTTCAGTAAGCAGAACAGAAATTCCTGCCCTCATGGAGTCTCCGTGCTTGTGGACATCCACAGGTGTTGAGCCCAGAGCAGTCCCTCATTTACCTCCTGCAGGAAGCGCCTGCTCCGGGGGCACCCAGCCCCGGACCATCTCTGCTGTCCCTTTCACCACCTCTAGCTGCACTGTTCTCTGCCTTCCCTCCTGCCCAGGGGCCTTGTGTGGGCTCTTTTCTCCACCTGGGATATCCTTCCTCTTTGTTCTTCTTGTGTCTCCTTCTTTCATTCAGTTCTTCCCATCCTGATCCTGAATTTGACTCATTGTAGCTCTTACCAATATCTGCTGTGTTCTTGTGTCTTTGTTTACTGTCAGTTACCCCACCCAAATATCAGTTCCACGGTGTATTCCTGGCACCTAGGATAGGGCCTGGACATGGCAGGTGCTCAGTGAATACTTGAAAGAATGGGCATCGGGAAGGGAGTTCTAGATAGAAGGCCTGGCATGGGGCTCAGAGGACACTCTGGACCTGAGGGTTTGGGGCCCAGCTAGAGCCCTGGTGTGAGGGCTGAGGATGGACAGGTGGGGGCCTCTGTGCACATGTGTCCAGGTATGGACTCCCCTTGGGTAACAAGAACACAGGGTGGGGTTTCAAAATCAGGAGAGACATGTTCAGGTTTTGAGCCTTCCACAAGCCTTCTCCTTGTGGAAGTTCAAAGGAGAGGAAGAGATTAGAAGTGGGGTCGGAGGTGGGGGTCTTCTGCAATGCTGGCAAGGAGGAATTAAACAGCCTGAACAAGACAGTGGTGATGGTATGGACACCAGCATCCAGGGCAGGCCTGTGGCTCATCGGATTTGAGAGGAGCCTGCGACAATGACGGTTTGAGGCTGGGGGACCAGGTATAACCAGAGCCCTACCCTCAGAGAGACGCTTCCTCACTCCCCACTTTCCTTCTTCATGCCCTGTGCCTGCCCCGGAGCTCTACGCAGAACCCTGCCCCCAGCCCCAACACGCCTGCCCATTGAACCCCTGCCACAGCTGCATTAATCAATCCTGGGTGTTTATCCAAAAGAATTGCAATCAGGCTCTCCAGGAGATGTCTGCACTCCCACGTTCATTCACAACAGCTAAGATGTGGAGTCAGCCCCAATGTCCATCGACATGTGAACGAATGGAAAGCGTGGTGCGTACAGCCAGTGAAATACTATTCAGCCTTAACGAAGACAATTCCGCAATACACAACAACACGATGAGTGACACAGGCCAGTCACAGTGGGACAAATCCTGCAGGATTCCACTTATATGAGGTGGCTAAAGTAGTGGAACTCATAGAACCAAAGAGTGGGAAGGTGGCTGCTAGGAGCTCACGGAGGGGAAATGAGGGTTGCTGCTCAACAGGCATTAAGTTTTAATTAAGCCAAATGAATGAGCTCTAGAGCTCCGCTGCAGGACATCACACCCATAGTCGCGATGCTGCGGTGGACACTTAGCATTTTAGCAGGACAGATCTCATGTGTTCTTACCACAATAAAAATAAAATAAAATTCTGGAATTAACATCACCAAACAGGCACGATGGGATTTGATTATATTGCAACGTATGCTAAGAAGGGGTTATTCATCTGGTGACAGTGGCATACATCCTGCCACGGTCTCCTCTGGCAGCTGCCCAGAGCACACAGCAGTCCAGGAGATGCGCTTTGAATGCTGTACCCAGCACTTCATGGGAAATGTGACTTTTTAAAATGGAGGGTGAATACGCGAAGTCACAAGTGTCCCTGGAAATCAGGGATGTGTGGCTGTTCACATGTCACTACTGGGGAGCGTACTGTGTCTGGGGAGGGCCTTTGTTTGAGACAAGACGTGGACTGAGGACAAGAGAGCCAAGCCAAGTCCTGCAAAAGAGGAACAACAGGGCAGGGACCGGGTGACCAGGTGGCGATGGAACGTAGAGCCCGGACTTTGCTGGGCAGTGGGCAAAGGGCAGGAGTCAGGCTCTGGAAGCCTGGGATTCCGAGCTCCTCCAGGGTCTTTAGCCCCTGGGGTGAAGGGGACAGGGCACAGAGCCGTGCGAAGCCCCACACTGGCATTCACCTCAGGCTGATGACAGTGGCAGTGCGCAGGGGCGCTGCAGGAGGCCGGGGAAGGCGAGGTCACAACAGGCACAATAGGGAGTCGTTGCCAGGCAACCTCTCTAGGCTTCTGTTGTGATTCTGCTTTAGTTGGGTCTGGGGGGGTCTCTCTGGAGAGTGGCTATAAATGCTAGCCTTTGTGCTGGGCAGCAAAGCAAATCATCGGGAATAACCCGGGAGCCTGGCAGGGAAACCGCTGCACTATGGAGAGGACGCTTCCAGATACAGAGGACAAATCAAGTGAAGGGACGGAACAGGTCACACCCAGAGCGGCACAGAGGTGTGTGAGCTGTTCCCACGGTAGTCAGAGCCTCTGTTCCAACTGTCCTCCCGCTGGGCTCTCTCCGGTCCCCAGTGCATGGGCTGGAGTGTGGCCCCTGGCAGAGCCCTGGAGGCCGGCTCTGCTTCCTGCCCCCTTCCAGCCTGGAGCAGCCCGAGGGCGCAGCATTCCTGGGGCAGGCCTGAGCCCTGTGGTGGGCTGAGTTGAGTCCCCAGAAAGGTAGATTGAAGCCCAAACTCTCTGTATGTTTGAACGTGACCTTATTTGGAAAAAGAGTCTTTGCAGATGTGTTCAGGTTCAGATGAGGTCATCCTGGATTAGGGTGAGTCCTAAATCCAATGCTGTGACCTTATAATTGGGGGATGCACAGGGAGAGGCCGCATGAAGATGCAGGCCAAGACTGGGGCACTGCTGCTCCAAGCCAAGGAGCACCAAGGACTGAAGACGCCCGCGGGGCGCTGGGCAAGGTGCAGAGGGATTCTTCCTGGGGGCTTCAGAGGAGGGTGGTCCTGCCCACACCTCACTTTTGGACTTCTACTCTCCGGAACTTTGAAAGAACACATTTCTGTGGTTTTCAGCCACCTGGTTTGTGGGAATTTGTTATGGCAGCCCCAGAAAACGAATACAGGCAACATCACTTAGTGCTTAAGAAAGAGCCTGTGCCCGGGCGCGGAGGCTCACGCCTAGAATCCCAGCACTTTAGAGGCTGAGGCAGGAGGATCGCTTGAGCCCAGGAATTTGAGACCAGCCTGGGCAACAAAGTAAGATCCTGTCTCTACAAAAAATAAAAAAAATTAGCTGGGCGTGGTGATGCGCGCCTGTGTTTCCAGCTACATGAGAGGCAGAGGCGGGAGGATCGCTTGAGCCCAGGAAGTCAAGGCTGCAGTGAACCATGTTGGCACCACTGCACTCCAGCTTGGGTGACAGAGTGAGACCCTGAAAAAAAAAAAAGTCTGTGGGCCCACGTCTCACATCCTGACCCCGCCGGCGATCAACTGTGTGACCTTGAGTGAGTTACTTAAACTCTCTGTGCCTCGGTCTCCCCATGGGTTGTGGAAGGGTTGAGTTGATGAGTGTAAAGTATGCAGACAACAGCCAGGTGCCCAGCATGATGTAAACACCGCAAGAGCACTGGCTGTTGTGAAAGGTGCCGTGTTTAAGAATTGGAGTTTCCCAACGGGTTCAGTATTAGTACCTGTTCTTTAGGGCACAGACTTGTTCTGTGCCATTTTACCTGTATCCATTTCAACCAGACTTACATCTTTTCGAAGGAAGGCCTGAGAAAATCTCAATTCTCAACTGGAGTGATGATTCAAACCCCTTGTTTCCCTTCCTTTTCTTTGGGGTCTCTGTTAGTTTCCTGTGGCCAATGTAATTAATTACCACAAGCAGGGAGCTTAAACATCAGAATGCATCTTTCACAATCTGGAGACCAGAAATCCAGGTGCAGGATTTTACAGGGCCATGCTGCCTCTGAAGGCACCAGGGTAGGGTCCCTCCTCGCCTCTCCCAGTTTGCTGGCATGCCGGCAAGGCTCGGCACTCCTTGGCAGGCACCAGCCGTGCTCCAATCACTGCCTGTCTTTGCATGGTCATCTTCTTGTGTTTCTCTGTATCTCTCCTCGTATAAGGTCCTTGGTCATTGGATTCAGGACCCACCTTACTCCAGCATGACTTCATCATCACTTAATTACATCTGCAAGAACCCTGTTTCCAAATAAGGTGACATTCTTAGGTACTGGGGGTGAGTATGTATCTTTTCTTCAACATATCTTTTTGGTGGAATGCAATTCAACCCAGAACACCACCTCTCACGAAAACGGCTAAAAACGGCTGGGGAGGCATTTTCAAGAACTTTCACTAACAAATTTTAAAGAATAGATTTCACTGTAAGCCTTGGGCAGCCACTGAAGAGTGTGTTGGAATAGCTGCTGAGTGTCGGCCACTACTGGGTGACGTTTCCTTAATGGCTGGAAGAGTGAAGGAATTAGGGCCGAGCGTGTATGCACAAAAACTTCTTCTGTTTTGACTGTATGGGCTTCTTCCTTTCATTTGTTCATTTAGCAAACATGTATTGCCTTCTTTTGTCTTCTAGGATCTATGAAAGATAAAATGTGGTGTGAGGACACGGCCCAGCCCCACCGTCGTCTTCCAGCCCCACCATCGTCTTCCAGCCCCACCGTCGTCTTCCAGTCCCACCGTCGTCTTCTAGCCCCACCATCGTCGTCTTGGACTCTCTGGGTGGCACCACGCTGTGGGTGCTGCTCTCCTCTGTGTCCCAAACGAGTTTGTGCCTCACTTTGTCGGGTTTTGGCTGTGACTTGGAGCCTCACCAAGCTCCCTTTTCCTCTGTCTCCCATTCTCCTCTCCAGGCCAGGGTGGCTTCCCCAGCCCTCCTCCCCGGGTCCTGCCTGTGCCGAGCCTTCCTCCCAGGAGGGAGGTGATACTGACTTGAGATCTTATGGGTGTTTTGTTTGTGGCTGGGCCTGGCCGACCCTCTCTCCACGGCCTTAGATCACACTCTGGATGGATAGGACAGTCGTCCTCAATACTGAGCCTCTTTGGAGCATACCCACTGATGGTGGTTCACAAGCTACCCACGCCCACAGGCTGACCCAGATCTCCGTGAAATTAAAAAATACTGTGAAAGGAAAAAGAGCCAATGTCATGTGGATAATGAAGTGTCAGCCACTGAAAAATCTCAAAATAATAAACATGGCTTGTTTGTCAGGGTTCTCTAGAGAAACAGCAGCAACTGTGTGTGTGTGTGTGTGTGTGTGTGTGTGTGTGTGTGTGTGCGCGCAGAGAGAAAGAAGGAGGGAGGAAGACATAAGGAATCAGCTCATGCAATTGTGCAGCCTGGCATGTCCACAGTCTGTAGGATGGGCCGGCACGCTGGAGACCCAGGAAAGAGCTGCAGTTTGAATAGGAAGGCCATGGGCGGGAGAGTTCCTTCCTGTTCAGGGGACCTCAGTCTTTCTCTAGAAGACCTTTGGCTGACCGGATGAGGCTCATCCACGCTATGGACACAAATCAGCTTTACTCAAAGTCTACTGATTTAAACGTTAATCTCATCTACAAAAAGTACCTTCACAAAAACATCTAGAACAACGTTTGACCAAATATCTGGGTACTGTGGCTTAGCCAGGTTGATACATCAAATTAACCGTCACCTTTTGCTTAATCTACTTTTTAATTTGCTTTTACTTTGAAAACAAGTAAAGTTTTTGTAAGCCTCCAAGTTGAGATTAACGATGTGAGAAGGAGAATCCATAAACTTTCCTGTTGAACAAATAGCAGATGGATTTTTTCAGGAGGTGGGGACCACACAGGGCTGGCCTGCTCTGACGTGGCAGCCGCAGAGGGGTGGCATCAGCAGCAGACAGTCTCATGTCCTCAGCCCTGCCGACGTCCAGATCACTGTGGAGTGTAGCTATTACTCATGCCTTTTTCTTTGATCTTTGCCTTTTTCCTTATTATTTTTTTTCCTTGCTGAAGATAAAAATAAAATGGAAGTAATGATAAAACCACAGTTCATAACCTAAAGTGCCACAAGGATTAATGACAAATTGGTGCCCTGGACATGTTCGTCACACAGCCAATGTCCCCGCTGTGCCAGATCCATTTTGAACGTAAGCTGGACTGTCTCACCCTGACAGAGTTTTCCAGTCCTCTTCCTCCCAGGTTCTCAGTGTGGCCAGTCCAGACATCTGCCTTGCACCACTGCCTCCTGGTGACCCCTCCTCACGGGACAGCTGGACACAACCTGCCTGACTCGCCCTCAGACCCCACACCCCACATGGACTGTGCAGACCTATGCCCCAGTGACCCTTCAGTCACAGTGTGACCCCACGGAGCTCTTGCCTGCTTGCTCCAGACCCACCGATTAGAACTCCCGTGGTAAACCTGCTTGGCTAACTCCTTGGTCCCCATAAAGGTGTTGGCCCCTGGGTCTCCCTATCTTTCCCCCTGCCCGATGGTTGAGTGTGCATGTCCCCAGTGGCTCCCCACTCCCGTCAGCCCTGCGAGGTGGGCTGCCCTCTCCTCTCGCGGCCCTGGGAGACATCAGCTGCTTCTGAGCTCATGAGCTCTGCAGCACCGCCTCCTGTGTCTCAGCCCAGCTCGCTCCTGGTCAGGGCTAGAATTTACAGCCACTCTCAAGAGAGACCTCAGGCCAAATTAGAAAAAAATTAATATTTACAAAACAGCATGTGTGTATGTGTGTGTGGGGTGTGTGTGTGGAGGGCTGTGTGGTGTGTATGTGTGTACATGTGTATGTGTGTGGGGTGTGGTGTGTATGTGTCTGTGGTGTGGGGTATGTGTGTGGGGTGGAATGCGTATATGTGTATGTGTACATACATATACACGTTTAAAGGTCAAGCTGTTCTTTAATCAACCAGAAAGCGTAGGACACACATATTTCTTAGTTTTTTCCAAACTGAGATAGAGAAAGGAAGATGTTTTTAAGTATGTATAAATTCGTATTCATTTTATGAAGAGAGAAGGAAAGGCCCGCTCTGCCAGTGCCCCATTACAGCCCATACACCCTGCAGGTGGCTGGGGCATGAGAAGCGTTGAGTTGCCTCTGGGTGACAGGGGGCCTAGAGCCCTTGCATCTTGGCTGTGTGTGTAGTGTAGGGTGTGTGGGGTGCGCGTATGTGTGGTGTGTGTATGTGTGTGTGGCGTGTGTGTGTGTTGTGTGTGTGCTATATGTTTGTGTGGGAAATGGGTGTGTGTGTGTAGGGTGTGTGTGTGGTGTGGAGTGTGTATGTGTGTGTGGGTATGTATGTGTGATGTGTGTATGGTGTGGGGTGTGTGTGGTGTAGGGTGTGTGTGTGGTGTGGGGTGTGTGTGTGTGGTGTGTGTGTAGGGTGTGTGTGTGTTGTGTGGTGTGTGTGTAGGGTGTGTATATATGGTGTGGGGTGTGTGTGGGGTGTGTGTGTGTATGTGTGGTGTGTGTGTGGTGTGTGGGTGTGTGTGGTGTGTGGTGCGTTCATGTGTATGTGTGGTGCATGTGTGTGAGGTGTGGTGTGTGTGGGTGTGTGATGTGGGGTGTGTCTGTGGTGTGTGTGTGTGTGGTGTGTGTGGTGTGTGTGTGGTGTGTGTGTAGGGTGTGTGTGTTGTGTGGGTTGTGTTGTGTGGGGTGTGTGTGCGGTATATGTGTGTGTATGTGTGGCATGTGTGTGGTTTTATTTGTGTGTGTGGTGTGTGTGTGTGGTGTGGGGTGTGTGTGTGGTGTGGAGTGTGTGGTTGTGGTGTGTGTGTAGGGTGTGTGTGTTGTGTGGGGTGTGTGTGTGTGGCATCTGTGTGGTTTTTTTGTGTGTGTGATGTGTGGTGTGTGTGTGTGGTGTGGGGGGTGTGTGTGGTGTATTTAGGGTGTGTGTGTTGTGTGGGGTGTGTTATGCGGGGGGTGTGGGGTTATATGTCTGTGTATGTGTGGCGTGTGTGTGGTTTTGTGTGTGCGATTATGGTGTGTGCATGTGTGTTTGTGGTGTGTGTGTGGTGTGATGTGGCATATGTTGTGTGTTGTGTGGTGTGTGTGGGGGGGGTGTGTCACACGTATATTGGAATCTGAACCAGGTGCTGTTTGTCATCACTCTGCCTCTGTACTTTGCTGAAGCAGCCCACATGGACGATGGGGCCCTTCCCAGTGCTGCAGAGTCTTGAGCTAAGAGTTTACGTATTCCAAGACAACGCACATGGGACATGGGACTTCCTCCCCCGTGCTCCTCCTGTCCTCCGCCTCCTTGATGAGCTGGACGTGCGGGGAGACCCCAGACCTGGCGCATGGCTGGTTTTGCTCTGTGCCTGCACAGACCGGAGATGCCCTTGGTGACGCCGTCTGCTCCTCCCGTGCTTTCAGACACAGTGAGCGCCCTGTACCCAAGTGTGTGTCACGCAGGGGTGCTGGGGTCCCTTTCGTCTCTATTCCCCATTAAACATCTTTCACCATTTTAACATGCAGGCATTTAGAAACTCTTTTTTCATATAATAATTGTCTGAGCTCAGAAAAGCCAGCAGCGTTACTCACTGTCACCGAAGTCCAGATGGTATTTTTATTCTGTGCTCAAATTGGCTTCCTCATTTCTTTCCAGGCCCTGTAAGCAGCTTAAAATTTCCATTTTCCAGGTCAAGCTGTTCTTTAATCAACCAGAAAGCGTAGGACACACATATTTCTTAGTTTTTTCCAAACTGAGATAGAGAAAGGAAGATGTTTTTAAATACGTATAAATTCATATTTGTTTTATGAGGAGGGAAGGAAAGGCCCGCTCTGCCAGTGCCCCATTACAGCCCATACACCCTGCAGGTGGCTGGGGCATGAGAAGCGTTGGGTTGCCTCTGGGTGACAGGGGGCCTAGAGCCCTTGCATCTTGGCTGTGACCGTGGCCTTCGATCGAGCACAGTGGGTGAGGGCCTTCTGAATAAGAAGGGCACCGCCACACCCTGTGGGGCCGATGAGCAAGTCAGTTCCTCTAATACAAACTCTGCATTCCTTGTGGCTCCCCAAAAAGGTCAGAGGACTTAGGAGATGGAGAGGAACCAGGAGGTCTTCTAGTTCAACTTGCTCACTTTTCAGATGCAGAGTTCAGTTCACCGAGGCTGGGGCAGCATCAGGATCAGAACCCAGACCCTTTGACCCCAGGGCTCTTTGCCCGCAGCATAGGGAGGCTGGAGAGGGCCCTCTGCCTGTCCCCAGTCTTGGGAAAGTCCTTCTCTGTGCGGCGGTGAAATACTCAAAGAGAGGTGAAGGCGGGGCCTCTCTGGGAAGGTGACCTGGGGTAAGGAGCCTGGGTTGCAAGTCTCTGGGAGTCAGTGGGACCCTGCTGTGCCCTTGGCTTTTCCTCTATGGCCCTTCTCTAGCTCAGGAACTCTACTATGCTGTTCCTGGTGCCACCTGTCCCAGAGGTTGTGAGCCAGTACCGTGTTCTCTGCCCTCAAATATGACTTCCATCTGTTTCCTCCTCAGTATTTACAATGCAGACAGAGATTGCCTGATTCTGTGTTGCCGCCCTTCCACTCTAGGCTGCCTGGGTCAGCTGCGTGTCTGTTTCTGTAGATTTGGAGGGGCCTCATCCTGGGCTGGCTTTGCATAACGAGAACAAACAAGAGCTGTCCAAACTGCTGTGGAACCAACTTTCCTTTCCTTGAGAGGAAGCTGGAATTCAAGGTGCTGAGTGAACCTACTTCCAGACAGGTGGTCCTAAATGGGAAGTGTTGCATGGATCTCAGAAAATGACAGTCCCTAAAATAAGTCCATTTGTTTTTCCAAAATCACCAAAAACCTGGGAGTGGAACGCAGTCACCTTTGAGACACAGCTTGACAGTGACTGTGGCCTTTGATTGAGCACAGTGAGGGACAGACTTTTGATTAAGAAGGGCACCACCACACCCTACAAGGCTGATGGGCAAGTCAGTTCCTCTAAGGCAAACTCTCCTTTCCTTGTGGCTCGAAAAAAGCCGGAGGACTTTGGAGATGGAGAAGAACCAGGAGGTCTTCTAGGTCAATTTGCTCACTTTTCAGATGCAGAGCTTAGCTCACCGAGGCTGGGGCAGCATCAGGATCAGAACTCAGACCCTTTGACCCCAGACAGGTAGTCCTGAGATTATTATAAGCTCCGTTTATTACAACTTCTGGGAGCCAATCATTTGAAGCAGAAGGTAATGTTTCCTGCTCTGGTGAAATGAAGACTAGTTGAAGAAACAGTTTGCAGAAATATTGAAGTGTAGCTCCATTCAGCTCTGTCTTAAATAGTGTTTGTGGCAGCAGTCAGGCCTTGAGGGGTGTTAAGGGCTGAATTGCATCCACCCCAAACTCATATGTTAAAGTCCGAACCCCCAATACCTCCTGATGTGACTCTATTTGGAGGTAGAGTCTTTAAGTGAGTGAATAAATCAGATTCACTAGTGTGGGCCCTAATTCAATCTGACTGTGCCCTTATCGAAAGAGGAGATGAGGACACAGACACTCACAGAGGGACGGCCACGTAAGGACACGGAGAAGTCACCATCTGCAAGCCAAGGAGAGAGGCCTCCTGGGGAACCAACCCTGCCGATGCCTTGATCTTGGACTTCCAGCCCCCAGAACTGTTATGAAATAAATGTCTGTCATTTAAAGCCACCCAGTCTGTGGTATCTTGTTATGGAAGCCCTAGTAAATTGATGCAAGGGACAAGGCAGTCAGAAGTGGCATTCGACTTCCAATTAGAAGTCTTACAAATGCTGTAGGCTCCAAGCCCAGGGTCAAGGTGGGAGGCTGTGTGCACTCGGGAAGTGCTAAATAAACGCCTGGTCACTACTGATTGGTCCACACATGGGGCCGTGGGTGCAGAAACTGCTGTTGTTTTTAGCAACACCCTCATAGACCTAGGAAACAATGCCATCATCACCAACTACAACTCTGCCTCTCTTCACATGTTAACTTTGTAAATAGAGGAAGATAACTTTGATAATGATGGCCTATAAGGACTTTCTTTTGAACAGGATAAATCTCTGTGGCAGAGATCACTGGTTGCCACCCCCACATCCACCCTCCACCTTCCCTTCCTTCTTAGCAACAGAACTCTGCTTTATCTGGAGTGTTTAATGTGCCCAGCTAAAAGACCACTTTTCCCAGCCTCTTGTTCCTTTTGGCCCTCATATGATGTTCTGCCAAAAATATGTCCACGGAAATGTGCTGTGGGGATTCTGGGAAGTCTTCGTCAAGGGGAGGGGATATTTCTCTTGGATCCCTCTGCTTCTTTCCCTCTGTTGCCTGGAATATGTATGTCATAGCTGGTGCTCCAGCAGCCATATTGTTCCTTGAGTTGCCTCTGAGAAGGGAAGCCACATGTGGTAGAACACAAAACCAGGAGCAGCCTGGGAGTCTGGTGGCTTCCATATTTTCCCTGAAACACCTGCTTTCACACTCGTTTTATGTATGAGAATGAAACCTTTCTGTGTTTAAGCCACCACAGTAAGAGCTTTGCTACATCCAGCTGAGCATAATCCTAACATTTTCTGTGGTTCAAGATGAATGAAGGCATCTTAGTCCAAAGAGGTTAAAAAAAGTACCTGAGTGTACATTTGGTGACTAGAAACGCCTCCCTCTTTTCTGGCCCTGAAGGGATGTGAGAACCTCTGGGTTACATGAATCTGGTGCACTCAGATACATGGTGTGTCCTTCTTGTTCCCAGATTGACGACTCTGCTTTCTCTTGGTCCGTGATGGAAGAGGAAGCCCGAACGCACGCCTCTATCAGCAACTCTGCAGCACCGCACTTGCCACTCGGAGAAAATGCTTTGAAAGCCCAGACAGCCACATACCATTAGAAACAGGTAAGAGGGCTGCAGCTGGCAAAGACAATGCGTAGCTTTTTCCTTTCTTTTCACTTGTGTTTTCTTTTCTTGGCTTTAGCTTGATCTTAATCCATGTTAGCATTTCCATGTGTTTTCTCTGTAAAAGGAGCGACTTTGGAGCTTTGCAGATTGGAAAAATAAGTAGGGTGAAGGAAGGGTGAGACCTGGGTGAGCCCAGACCCGGGGGTCCAGGATCCAGGCCCTCAGCATGGACTGCCCATCCCCCAGGCAGGTACAAGCCCGGGGTTGGGGATTGGGTTCATGGAAGAGACCCTGAAGACACCCTGGAGAAGCAGCTGTGTGGTGCCTGGCAGCCACAGTGCAGAGACAAACTGCAGGAAACAATGGGGAACCTGGCCCAGTTACAAATGGGATCCGTGGGCACAAACAAGGGCAGAGCCCAGCAAGGAGGCAGCGAGCACTCTGGAAATAGCATTGTTGGCTGATTGAAGGTGTTTGTGGTTGAACCAGGTGGCCTATTTCAAAATAGCAACCTGACCAGGCGCAACTGGGCTCTCCTTCTTTCCTTACAGATGTTGTGAGGACCTAGAGGCGGGGCCAATCCAGTCACTTCCAGAGGCTGCTCTGGTCCATGCCCCAAGGGCAGGAGTTTAAGAGGTGGTCCCAGGAGGCAGTCCTTGGTCTCAGTCTGGCCTTTTGGGGTCCCTGCACTGGCTGAGGCTCAACACTGCAGGGGAAGGCTGACTCCATCTCCAGCCATCCTGGAATTTCCCTTCATATGCAGCCCATGACAAGCTGGACCCCACAACTCTCTGGAGTTCTGGCCCATGTTGGAGGTGCCACGCTGTCCTCAGAGGGGCTCAGACAGAGGAGCCTGCCTTTGAGGGAAGCAGGTACAAGCCCACCTCATTGCAGCCTCTTCTCTGCTGCTGTGTTTTTACCTACACTGCTCCAGACTTGGCCTTTGAAAGCTCATGTTGAAACATAGAGTTCCATGAACCATGAGATGTCACTGGTTACAGAGTTTGTTTTTTTTTTGTTTTTTTTTGAGACAGAATTTTCCCTCTTGTCACCCAGGCTAGAGTGCAGTGGTGCAATCTCGGCTCACTGCAACCTCCACCTCCCAGGTTCAAGTGATTCTCCTGCCTCAGCCTCCCAAGTAGCTGGGATTATAGGCATGTGCCACCACGCCTGGCTAATTTTTGTATTTTTAGTAGAAACGGGGTTTCACCATGTTGGCCAGGCTAGTCTCGAACTCCTAACCTCAGGTCATCTGCCCACCTTGGCCTCCCGAAGTGCTGGGATTACAGGTGTGAGTCACCGTGCCCGGCCAGGTTGCAGAGTTTTAAAAATTTTTAAAATTATATGCCCAGGTTATCATTGGTCCACTGAGCATTCTCTTGAACAAGGATGAAGACCCAGAAACCCCTCTGCCCTGCAGAAGGCCCCCTCTGGCCCAAGGTCTGTCTCATCTTGGCTTTAGATCAGGGTTCCCCTGGGAGCTTTCCAAAAGCCCAGTGCCAGGCCGCACCCCAGGCCACTCTGGTCCGTTCTCCTGGGGAGGGTGTGGGTGCTCCCCACCATCCCAGTGTTTGCCGGGGCTGAGGGTTGTTGCCAGATGTGGACACAGGGCACAGCCAGGGGCAGGTGGGTGCTGGAGCAAGGCCCTGCTGTCAGCTCAGGAAGCCTGACCTTTTGAGGGGCCCAGCCTTGCCAAGGGCAAGTGAGCTTCAGCCTCTGAAACTCAGGTTGCTGTGGCTCAGGCTGCAGTTAGAGACCTGGGCAAGCATGGGTCTTCACTGATTAGCAGCCTTGGGCACATCCTTGCTCTGAGCTATAGGGCCCTCCTGTGTACCCAGGGATGACAGCAGCCCCTTGCAGGCTCACTGTAAAGGTGGAGGCAAGAGCACTGGGGACCTTGCACAGTACTGGACCCACACTGCCCTGAGTCTCTTCCACTTGAACAATATGCACACTCAGATCTGGACGCTCCCTAGGCTGGCCTCCTCCTTTATCTGCTGATCTTCTGACAGACTTCCCTAGCTCCTAAAGTATGTTTTCTCCTTCTTCTTCAAGAGATTTTTGGCCGGGTGCGGTGCCTTGCGCCTGTAATCCCAGCACTTTGGGAGGCTGAGGCAGGTGGATCACCTGAGGTCAGGAGTTTGAGACCAACCTGACCAACATGACAAAACCCCGTCTTTACTAAAAATACAAAAATTAGCTGGGCATGGCGGCAGGTGCCTGTAATGGCAGTTACTCAGGAGGCTGAGGCAGGAGAGTCGCTTGAACCCCGGAGGTGGAGGTTGCAGCGAGCCAAGATCGCGCCACTGCACTCCACACTGGGTGACAGATCGAGACTCTGTCTCAAAAAATAAATAAATAAAATAAAAAAAGAGATTTTCACTATTTTCTCTGTCCAGTTCCTTTGGGAGCTGTTAGCCTGTCAGGGAAGGTCGCTGCCTTTCCCCATGTACTGTGGTTTGCTTATATTAGAGACCAGCAGGTGCCTGTGGTTTTTTCCTTCTCTGCTTTTTTTTTTTTTTTTTTTTTTTTTGAGATGGAGTCTGGCTCTGTTGCCCAGGCTGGAGTGCAGTGGCGTGATCTCAGCTCACTGCAAGCTCCACCTCCTGGGTTCACGCCATTCTTCTGCCTCAGCCTCCTGAGTAGCTGGGACTACAGGTGCCCACCCCCACACCTGGCTAATTTTTTTGTATTTTTAGTACGGACGGGGTTTCACTGTGTTAGCCAGGATGGTCTCGATCTCCTGACCTTGTGACCGCCCACCTCGGCCTCCCAAAGTGCTGGGATTACAGGTGTGAGGCACCATGCCCGGCCCCTTCTCTGCTTTTTTCCCCTTCCACTGACATTTCACATTTCCTCAACCTGGCCTTTCTGCTTTCTTTAGGTCCTTCCCCCACTCTATGCTCTGTCCAGGTGAAGTTGTGGGTTAATTATAATAATAACCCTCTGTTTTGTCGCTATTTCCTCCCAGGGTGTTCTCTAATCAGCAGAACTTTTCTTCCTCTGGTTCTAAACCTTGGGCTAATCTGACCATGGTTTTCTGAGTGGTTTGGTCTGTGGACACTGAAATCCCCTCTTGCTTGGCTGGGTCAGTTCACTGAGTACCCTGCCCATGGTTCCCTCTTGTCCTCCTAACCCCAGGGGGCCTTTGACGGCCCAGGCAGACAAGTCAATGCAGCGTGTGCTGGTGTGTGCATGTATGTGTGACGCGTATGCACGTGCATGCATCATAGTCTGTAATTTACACATAGCGAGTTGCTTCTCCCCTTCCGCTGGTCGTTGTTTCCTTCATTCCCTTGGGCCTGATGTTGCACAGTTGCTTGGTGGAATTCCCGCTCATTTCCCAGTGAGAGAGCAGAAGAAGTAATCAATTGATCTCCGTGGGATTTGGTCTAAGTGAAGAAAGCACAAGTGAGAATTTTACATCACCCTTTGGGGAAAGGTTTTGGTCCAAGAATTTTATAATGACCGTGTTTGGGTGTGGATATTGTGCCCAGCAATGGGAAAACATGATGTTTTGATGAGGGGTTACGAAAACTGATTGTTGGATGTGTAGACACTAGCATTCATGAATTGCCAGATTCCATGGTACGGTGACAGAAGGACCTTACCATCTTGGTTTAAGTGAAACACAGTGTATTAGTTCATTTTCACATTGCTGATAAAGACATACCTGAGGCTGAGCAATTTACAAAAGAAAGGGGTTTCACTAGACTGACAGTTCCACGTGGCTGAGGAGGCTTCATAATCATGGCAGAAGGCAAGGAGGAGCAAGTCATATCTTACGTGGTTGGTGGCAGCAAAGCGAGAGCTTGTGCAGAGAAACTCCCATTTTTAAAACCGTCAGGGCTGGGGGCGGTGGCTCACACCTGTAATCCTAGCACTTTGGGAGGCCAAGGTGGGCAGATTGCCTGAGCTCAGGAGTTCAAGACCAGCCTGGGCAACATGGTGAAACCCTGTCTCTATTAAAAGTGCAAAAGTTAGCTGGGTGTGGTGGCACACATTTATAATTCCAGCTACTCAGGAGGCTGAGGCATGAGAATCACTTGAACCTGGGAGGCAGAGGTTGCAGTGAGCTGAGATGGCACCAGTGCACTCCAGCCTGGTTGACAGAGCGAGAATTTTTCTCAAGAGTTCGAGACCAGCCTGGCCAACATGGTGAAACCCCATCTCTACTAAAAAATACCAAAAATTATCTGGGCATGTTGGCACACATCTGTAATCCCAACTACTGGGGAGGCTGAGGCACAAGAATCACTTGGACCTGGGAGGTGGAGGTTGGAGTGAGCTGAGATAGTGCCACTTCACTCCAACCTGGGCAACAGAGTGAGACTCTGTCTCAATACAATAAAATAAAACCATCAGATCTTGTGAGACTCATTCACTATCAGGAGAACAGCACAGGAAAGACCTGCCCCCATGATTCAATCATCTCCCACTGGGTTGCTTCCACAACATGTGGGAATTATGGGAGCTACAAGATGAGATTTGGGTGGGGACACAGAGCCAAACCATATCACATAGTCACGGGGCTGTGGAGGCCCAGGGTGGCTGCCTTCAACCCCACCGGGGCTGCTAGACACCCTCCTCCAGGATTTGAACTGATGCCCAGCACGATCGGGGGCAGGACCTGGGTGCAGCTTCCCCCACTCTTGTGCACGTCCTTAGATAGTATGTGAAGCAAGGCGCTAGCCACAGGCTCCAAGAGTTGAGAGTGCTGGGGTGCCTCATCAGGAACTGTGGTGCCCCTGCAGCTCCTTTCTAGGAAGGCAGAGAAGGCACTCATGTCAGCACCTTTCAGCTGGTGTCAGGTCAGACAAAGGCACTGTCTCCACTGCAAACAAACACAATTCTTTTTTGATGAATCAGAAGTCAAGAAACCAGGCCTGCAACACAGTAGTGAAGAGGTAGAAACAATCCAAAAGTCCAATAACAGATGCATGGGTAGGCAAAATGCAGGACGTCCATAGAGTGAAATAGTATTCAGCCATGAAAAGGAATGGAGTACAGGTACATGCTACAGCATGGGTGAACCTTGGAAAAATTGTGCTAACGGCAAAAGAAACTATCATCAGAGTAAACAGACAACCTACAGAATGGAAGAAAATTTTTGCAAGCTACCCATCTGACAAAAGTCAAATATCCATAATCTAGAAGGAACTTAAGCAAACTTACAAGAAAAAAACAAACAACCCCATCAAAAAGTGGGCAAAGGATATGAACAGACACCTCTCAAAAGAAGACATTTATGTAGCAAACAAACATATGAAAAACAACTCATCATCACTGGTCATTAGAGAGATGCAAATTGAAACCACAATGAGATACCATCTCATGCCAGTTAGAATGGTGATTATTAAAAAGTTAGGAAACAACAGGTGCTGGCGAGGCTGTGGAGAAATAGGAACACTTTTACACTGTTGGTGGGAATGTAAATTAGTTCAACCATTGTGGAAAACAGTGTGGAGATTTCTCAAGGATCTAGAACCAGAAATATCATTTGACCCAGCAATTCCATTACTGGGTATATACTCAAAGGATTATAAATCATTCTACTATAAAGACACATGCACACATATGTTTATGGCAGCACTATTTACAATAGCAAAGACTTGGAACCAACCCAAATGCCCATTAATGATAGACTGGATAAAGAAAATGTGGCACATATACACCACGGAATACTATATAGCCATAAAAAAGAATGAGTTCATGTCCTTTGCAGGGACATGGATGAAGGTGGAAGCCATCTTTCTCAGCAAATCAGCACAGGAACAGAAAACCAGACACCGCATATTCTCACTCATAAATGGGAGTTGAACAATGAGAACACGTGGGCACAGGAGGGGAACATCACACACTGGGGCCTGTTGTAAGGTGGGGGGAAGGGGAGGGAGAGCATTAGGACAAATACCTAATGCATGTGGGGCTTAAAACCTAGATGACAGGTTGATAGGTGCAGCAAACCACCATGTCACATGTATACCTATGTAACAAACCTGCATGTTCTGCACTCGTAACCCGGAACTTTAAGTAAAATAAAAAAAATTAAATTAAAAAAGAAAAGAAAATATTGGGCTAAGTAAAAGAAACAGATACAGAAGACCCAAAATTGTATGGCTCAATTTACATGACACGTCCAGAATATGCAAATTCGTGGAAACAGAAAGCAGATAAGTGGTTGCTTAGGGCGCAGGGTGAAAAGGAGATTAGGAGGATTGAGGAAGTGACAGCTAAAGGGGCTTCTTTTTGGGGGTGATGAAAATGTTATAAAATGGACGGCGGGGATGGTCACACAACTCCATGCTAAAAAGTGAATTGTACACTTTAAATGGGTGAATTGAATAGCATGTGCGGTATATCGCAATAAAGCCATTACAACAGAAAGAATCAAGGAACAAACAAAAGTGGCAGGGTTGGGAGGACGGGTCTGGAGGTAGCAGGGAGGGTCACAGTCCCCAGGGCCCAACTGGGAGCTCTCCTGTTCCCCGGAAGACATGCTGCCACGGCCCCTCCCACCAGTTGTCACTTAATCTCAGGAAGAGTCTGCCACAAATGCCCCGTTGCGACGGCTCTTCCCAGCAGAAGGGGAGAAAAAGAGGCCCGAGTCCCCGGGAGCTGATCAAAGGTCTGAGCTGTGCTGGCAGTGACCATTGTGCAACTGAACAAATGCGTGGCAGGAATATAAACAGACTCCACCTTTCAGCATCGAGCTTGGTTAGGAACATGGCTTGACAGCCAGCTTCGTCTTCCTAAGCCGATGTTAAACTCCATCCATCACTTTCATTCTTTGCATGAATCTTGTTCTTTCTATTTGGAGCCATGTACTCTGGGTCTTAGAGAATGGAAACAGGCCCGAAAGCCTGTCAGATGCACTTAGGATAAATGAGAAGTCATTCCTTTCGCCATGGCGTTAGGAAGATGACGGTGACCCTGCCGGTAGAGATGGCCTTCCAGAGTGTATTGCCTGAATCCTGCCTATATCCAAGCTGGTGAACCCTGGCTGCCTGCCGGCTGAATGATGGGGTCGTTCTCAATTCCACCCAGCTCCTAGCTTGCTGTTCTTTTCCTTCCCATTGGCCTGTGGCTCTCCCTTCCTTGGGTCCCCGGCCCCTGCCCTCAGCCCCACAATCCCGGAGCTGCATTCAAGCCCCTCACGGCCTTCTACACTCTGACGTCTTGAGAACAAGCACACAAATGACTGTTCATTCTGTGGTAGACTGAATAAAGGCCCCCCAAGATGTCTGCATCCTCATCCCCAGATATGTGACCCCAGAAGGCAAAGGCACTTGGGAGAGGTGACTAAGTGAAGGATCTTGAGCTGGAGAGATTTTCCTGGATATCCAGGTGGGCCCCAAATGTCATCACAAGGGTCCAAGCAGGGAAAGAAGGAGGGCAGGAGGGTCATTGAAGGAAGTGGAGATCAGAGCTGGAGAGAAGTTTGAAGAGGCTGGCTGCCCTCTGGCCTTGAAGATGGAGGAGGGGCCACGAGCCAAGGGATGCAGGCAGCGTCTAGGAGCCAAAAAAGCAGGAAATGGATCCTCCCCTGAAACTCCAAAAGGAACACGGCGCTGCTGACACCTTGATTTTAGACTTCTGACATCGGGAACTGCAGGGTAACATGTTATTCTGCCTGGGCTGCTGTAACAAAACACCATAGACTGGGCAGTTTATAAACAACAGATGTTCATTTCTCACAGTTCTGGAGGCTGGGAAGTCTGAGATCAAGGCGCTGGCAGATTTAATGTCTGGCGAGGGCCACTTCCTGGTTTATAGCTGGCATCTTCTCACTGTGTCCCCACATGGTGGAGGGGGTGAAAAGTCTCTTTCTAGGGTCCCTTTTATAAGGGCATTAATGCCGTTCATGAGAGCCTCATCCCTATGAACTAATCACCTCCCAAAGGCTCCATCTCCTAATACCAGCACCTTGGGGGTTAAGATTTCAACACGTGAATTTGGGTGGGACACACTCAGTCTGTAGCAGGTAATAAGCATATGTCCTGCAAGCCCTTGAGCTTGTGTGCTTTGTTACAGCAGTGACGGGAAACTGACACATGGGTTTTACCCTTGGCAAAGGCAGGGAAACAGGCAAGGTTTCACAAGAAAGGAAGCTGTAAGATCCCGAAAGTCACTAGTTCTGGAGGACACTGTCCTTCCCACAGTATCAACAGACCCAGGTCTGTTTTCCACGGTTCTTCTCTGACTCTCTGGTTGAAACTTATCCAGGGAGTTTCCCAATTCTTGTGTGTGTGGGGGGGTCATCTTGCCCAACCCTGGCCAGGTTGGAGCTTGGGCCAGGTGCCCTGGGCTGGCTGCAGGGCGGCTGCTGGGGGTGTCCTGGCCACTAGTTCTGATGGAGCTCCAGCCTCTCCTCACCTGTCATGAGCAGGTGAGGAGACCTGCCCACATGACCTGCCCCTCCCCATCCTGAGACGCTGGATGCCCACGTTTTCTTTTTGCCGCCATTTCGGAGTCTGCTGGGGAGGAGGGCGAATGCCGTGGCCCCCCTTGTCAGGCGGCCCTGCTTATCTCTGCAAGTTGTCTCTGGATGTCTCACAGGAGCCTTCACAACTCCAGGCCCTGGAGGTTGGCCGAGCCCTTGAAACTTCCCCAGCAGCCCTGGGGCCTCATTGCTGGGTTTCAGCCTGCCGCACTGTTCCCTGGGGCTCTGGCGCTGAGAGGCCCCTCCCTCTGAGGGGCTCAGTTGCTTGGAGTCTGTTCAGCAGCTGGAAGAGGAGGCGGTGCTTCTTCACTGAGGCTCTCTGCCTCACGTGCTTTGCCATCTATGTTCTGAGTTGATGTCTTGACAAAGACCCCCTCCTTGGTCGTGAGTGACAGAGCAGGGGCCAAGCTCCCTGTGTCTGGTGACCTTGAGCCCCTTCTGCCATGCCCAGCGGGCTTCTGTCCCTTTTGCTTCCAAGTCCCTGTTTTCCACGATGGTAGCTTTGAGCTCTCCACTCCTTTGAAACCCCGACCCTAATGATGCCGGAGGGAGCCCTCCATGCTCAGAGGACCAGCTGCAGCCACCTCTTCAAATTCCTTTTGACTCATTCTTGCGTCATCACTGGATGCGTGGTTGAGTCCTTGCTTGGTAGCAGGGGCTAGGGATTCTGTGGTTATTCCGGCCCACTAGGAGTTTACAGTGTCATGGAGACTACCAAATACAGAACTATGCAAACATCTAATTCCATTGTGATGAGGGGTATGATGAGAAGGTTCAGGGCAGCGCGGCAGGGCCCATATGGTTTCAGGGCCAGTGAGGCCATCCATGAGTGTGATGTTTAGGCTGAGAGTAGACACCTGAGTGGCAGGGAATGGACTGTGTCTGTGTGTGTGCAGATGTGTATGTGCTTTTGCTTACCACAGGGCAGGACGCCACATTCCAGATACGTTTGAAAGGACGTCCGACTGCTCGTTCACTTATCTGTCTGGGAACTGCTCCTGGAGCACCACAATGCCAGGCCCAGGCTGGGGCATGAAGCAGTGTGGACTGAAATGGGGAGTGGACGCCAGCGAGTGGTCACTGCCTTCTCTCTGGAGGGAAGGAAGGTAGCAGCTTGGGCAAGAGCGATGGCCAGGAGAGCAGGGAGGCTGAATGGAGAAAGAACGGAGAATGATCAGAAGGTCCTGGGTGCCCCAGGGCCAGAGGCTGATTGAAAGTGCTGGAAGAGGCACAGGGCAGGCCCCAGGGGCCTCTAGTCTCCAGCATGAACAACTGGGAGACCTTGGGGTCCCTTGAAGGAGAGAGGCAGGCACAGAGAAGTGAGTTGTGGGGTCAAGGGGCTGTGAGCTCCTATTCCCGCTTCTCCTGGGGTGAGTGATGGTGGGGAAGCAGGGAGTGCAGCAGAAAGAAGGAGGGGCGCCTCAGAGAACCCCATGTGACTGTTCTGTGGCCCTGATACGACTGTTCTGTGGCTCTGATGTGACTGCTCTGTGGCTCTGATGTGACTCTTCTGTGGCTCTTATGTGTCTGTTCTGTGGCTCTGAAGTGACTCTTCTGCAGCTCCAATGCAACTCTTCTGTGGCCCTGATGTGACTGTTCTGCGGCTCTGATGCGACTGCTCTGTGGCCCCGATATGACTATTCTGCGGCCCTGATGCCACTCTTCTGCAGCTCTATGAGACTGTTCTGCAGCTCTATGAGACTCTTCTGCAGCTCTATGAGACTGTTCTCCAGCTCTATGAGACTGTTCTGTGGCTCTGATGTGACTCTTCTGCAGCTCTGATGTAACTGTTCCGTGGCCCTGATCGACTGTTCTGTGGCACCCACATTCTTCAGAGCCACACTCAGATGGAAGCTTTGCTGTGTGCAGGGGATGAAACCAACTGTCATTCATCCTGCTGGAGGCCAGGATGTCTGCCACACCCCCCGGGGCTGCCCCCTGCCTGTCTTTCCTGAAGACGTTCTCTCTCTGGCCCTGTTCCCAGGGCAGGCTGAAGGACAAAGGACAGGAAGGTAAGGTCCCAGGAGTGACCCCCAGTGTGGAGGATGAGAGTTGTTGGATAAATGTCCCAGCTCCCTCCTCCCTCCATGGGGCAGTTCTGGGGCATGTTCTGCTCAGACCTCAATGCAGTCCCAGTGGGATGAACCGAAGTTCCCTCTGGCAGGGATCCTCTCTCTAGGGTACCTGCACTCCTGCCTTCACTGTGCTTCCTGAGATCACCCCCAAAATCAACTGCTTGCCCCCAAATCTTTGTCATAGGGTTTTCAAGAGAGGGACGTGAAGCAAAGACACTCATGAAAGTTCTTTGTATGTACTATGATTGGCTCTGTCAGTTTAATGGAAAAGTTGGTAATGGTGCATTATTATTATTATTATTATTATTATTTTGAGACAGGGTCTTACTCTGTCACCCACGCTGGAGTGCAGTGGCACAGTATCAGCTCACTGCAACCTCGACCTCCCGGGCCCAAGCAATCCTCCCATCTCAGCCTCCCAAGTAGCTGGGACTACCGGCACATGCCACCACACCTGGCTAATTTTTTTGTACAGACGAGATTTTGCCATGTTTCCCAGGCTGGTCTCAAACTCCTGAGCTCAAGTGATCCACCTGCCCTGGCTTCCCAAAGTGCTGGGATTACAGGTGTGAGCCACTCCACCGGCTGCATAATTTTTTTTAATGAGAAAATATCTTAGGAATAATGCTTGGTGAAACATTTTATTGAGTCATAAAGGTTCTAATTTACTTATTTGGAGCTAGATTTTTCTGACATTTAAAAGCTTGTGTCTCAATTAATTTGCCGTGTAAAAACAACACGTGGCTGCACACTGCCGTCCCACCCAGGTTAGGTATGAGGAGGAGGAGGGGAGCAATCCCGCAGGCATGGATTTGGGGGCGGGGTGACCTTCCTAACATGTTTTAACTTACACCGTGGAGGCACCTTCAGCTGTGCCTGCATCTGAGGTCAATTCCGATTCCCACATCCACCCCGCTACACACACCTCTTCCCTCCATTCCATCCCGCTAGTCTCTCCTGCAGGGTGAGATCTGAAATAAACAGAAATACTGCAGATGTCAGAAAGCAGGTGTCTAAAGCACCCTGCGCTCTTGAGCCTGTGGCAGCTGCAGGTTTTTAAATTGATAGCAGGGGTGAATCAAGAAGGCAGATGCTTTGCTGTGGCCCCACCAAGGGCCAAGGACAAGCGGAGGCTCTGTTCACAGTCACTCTTCCTTCTAAGACTCCAGGTCTGTGATGTAATTACCACCAAAAGCAGAATCAAGCCAAGTTGTCCAATATGACTTAATTAATTATATTTCACCTGTAACAGTGACTAACTGGTCCATACTTGTCGGGCCTGCTCTGGTGGACGGTAGGTCAGTCTCTGCTGGCCCCTTGATGCTCATCTGTGCTGCCTGAGGATGTGACAGCGGCCCATCCCGCTACGGGGCCCAGGTGTGCTGCTTGGGGGAGGCAGCAGGACTCTGAGGACCACAGATTTAAAAAAGCACAATATTTTGGAGCATCTTTTTACCCTTTTGTTATGGAAAGGTTGTCCCATCCCTTGATCCTCCCACAGATCCCTCGTCTCAGTGCTTGGAACTTGCTTGGTTTAAGAAGTCAGAACAGGAGGGCTGTGATAATCACACGCTGATGATTGTGAGGCACAAGGATTGGTGGTGTCTGCCTGAAGGGTGGGGAGGGGAATGTGCGAGCCGCAGGACGCCCACCAACGCCGAGGGGCGAGGCACAGGGAATTCTAACCTCCCAGCAGTGGGTGGTCAGCACGGGATCTACTTTAATACCATGAATAGTGTTTCCAATGACATTAACAGTGACAATGGCAACTAAAAGCACGCTCCGTTTTACAAAGTGCTTCACATCCATGGTTTTGTTTGATCCTGATGATAGCTTGTGAGTGAGGTTTTCTTTATAAAGCCTCATTTCACCCAGGAGGAAGCTGGGGCTCAGAGAAGCTAAGTGCGGCCCTACCAGCCAGTAAAGGATAGTGCCGGGGCCCAGGGGACCTTCCGAGCCTCGTGGCTGGGCTCTGGCTGGGTTTGGTGACAATGGCTCTTTCTCTGGACAGTTGTGGGTGCACAGGAAGGTGGCCCCGTGGGCCTGGCTGCAGCAGCTCCATCTGTGAGTTCCCGTCCAGTCCCCAAGAGCCAAGGGCATCACTTGTCAGACGACCGACCGAGAGCCACGTGAAACCGTGGGCCTTCGCTGGTGTCCCTTTAGAAGCTCGAAGATATCCCGCATGTCTCACAGTTTTGGCCTGAGGCTTCCAGCCCACCTCACGTATCCCATTCCACGCTCCTCACCACCCAGCCTGCCTCAGCTCGGTGTCTTCTGGGCTCCTCATTCCAGCCTCGGGGCACCTCCCTGCAGCCCCATGCCTGCCTCCTGTTCATTGTGGCTTTGAGCCCCCAGAATGGGTTTCTTTGGGAGCTGGTGGTCTCCAGCATTGGAGGTAAATCCTGCAGAAGTTGGACCCCCAACTTCCATCATCAGATGGACTCGACGTAGCTGTTTATATCTTCAGCTGGGCAGCCACAGCATGGGTTTGGTTGAAGGGAGAAGAGAGAAATTGATTTCAAAAGTTGATAATTAAATGTGTATGATTTTCTTATTTTTCTCTTTCTAACTTTAAGAGGATCTTCTTGGTCACAGATCCTGGGCTATTTTATTTTATTTTACTTTATTTTTGAAGCAGAGTCTCGCTCTGTCGCCTAGGCTGGAGTACAGTGGCATGATCTTGGTTCACTGCAACCTCAGCCTCCTGAGTTCTAGTGATTCTCGTGCCTCAGCCTCCTGAGTAGCTGGGATTACGTGTGCCCGCCATCACGCCTGGCTAATTTTTTGTATTTTTAGTAGAGATGGCTTTTCACCATGTTGGCCAGGCTGGTCTTGAACTCCTGACCTCAAGTGATCCACCTGCCTTGGCTTCCCAAAGTGCAGGGATGACAGGTGTGAGCCACATCCTGGACTTGACATGAACACTAAGCCCAACCCTCCTCTGGCCCAGTCACCGGCTTTCACTTGTCCTCATGGGCCATCTCCCGCACCTCAGCCCTACCCGACCTGCTCCTCTGGTTCTGTTTAGTCTTGTCTGGGCCTCTGTCAGCCAGTGGCCACCAGAGGAGGTGAAGGCTGGGTCACACAGACTCCCTCCTCCCCATTGTCCCTGAGCCTCTCAGGCAGACCTGTTTTAGGGCTTGGGGGGTGTGGAGGTCTCCCTGGGGGCTGGCTAGGATGAGCCCAGGGAGGTGGCTGGGGATGGAGTGAAGGATGGACCCTGTAGAAGCAGATCCTCAGTCCTGACCATGCCCTCCTCCAGGACCCTGAACAGCTAGGCCGGGCACATGCCAGCGCCTTCCACTCTTCCTGCCTCTCGTCTCCTGAGGCTGTGTGGGTGGGGGTGGATGGGGCATTAGTACAAATTTTCCCACCTTCAGACTTTCAAGAGCCATGATTCCCATGTTTGTTTGTTTTTTGAGACAGATTCTTGTTCTGTCACCCGGACAGGAGTGCCGTAGCTCAATTTTTTGTTTTTTGTTCTGTTTTTTTTTTTTTTTTTTGCTTTTTTTTTTTTTTTAGTAGAGATGGGGTTTCACTATGTTGGCCAGTCTGGTCTGGAATTCCTGACTTCAGGTGATCCACCCGTCTCAGCCTCCCGAAGTGCTGGGATTACAGGTATGAGCCACCCCACCCCACCAAATCTCATGTTTTTACTGCCCTTCCCTTCCCAGATCACTGGAAGCCCATCTTGGGATAGTCCCCTTCCCTTCCTGTCCTACTTAGAACAGCTACATTCCAATGGTCCCTTGTAGTTGGCTGCGTGTCCTGGTGTCTGTCAGGGCACAGAATGCAGCTGAGGCACCTTGAGTCTGAAAAGTTGGAAGGACGGAGAATTCAAAATTGGCTTTGAGTTGAAAATGGAATTCAAATACAGTCAGCTCTTCTTGAGTATTGGAATTAGTGGTAGAGGGTGTATTGGAGGTACAGTAATGATGTGTGTTTGAATGTCACCCCTCCACTCCGTCCCAGTGGTTCTGTATGTCTAACTCTATCTGACTTAAGCTCATATGACCCATATTACCCTCCCCAGACAACCCCCAAGAGGGTGTGCATGGGCGAGGGGAGGTGGGGGGGGTTGCTGGCTGCTCAAGAGCGACATGGAGGACCAGGGCCGCACAAGCTCATTTGGAAGCAGATGGGGACAGTTACCTCTAACAGCTTCATGACTGAATGACACCACAACCACTGGTGTCCTTGGCCATCAGAAATCCCTTTCCCCAAGGGAGTGGGGAAGCTGCTACGTGAGCTAGCTACATAATATCAACTAGAATTAGAGGCGCTTGCTTTCCATGTTGAACTTAATCATAGTTTGTTATTACTTCCCATCCCCGCCTGGCTTAGTTTGTTCATTGTGCCCCTATAAAGAGTGCTGAGGCTGGGTAATTTATATATACATATATGTATGTACGTATGTGTATGTATACATGTATAGTTTATTTGGCTCATGATTCCAGATGGCTGCAAAAGTCCATGGTTGGGCGTCTGCATCTGGGGAGGGCCTCAGGCTGCTTCCACTTATGGGGGAGGGCAAAGGGGAGCTGGGTGTGCAGAGACCACAGGGCGAGAGGGACCCAGCGGGAAGGAGGGGAAGTGCCAGGTCCTTTTCAGCAACCAGCTTTCTTGGGAACTAATAGAGTGAGAACCCACTCAGCCTTAGGGAGGGGCGTTAGTCCATTTATGAGGAATCTCCCCTCCTTATCCAAATGCTTTCCATTAGGCTCCACCTCCAACACGGAGACCACATTTTTTTTTTCTCAAATTTCTTTTTTCACTGCAGCCTCAACCTCCCAGGCTCAGGTGATCCTCCCACCTCAGCCTCCTTAGTAGCTGGAACTACAGGTGCCCTCCACCATGTCTGGTTAATTTCTATACTTTTTTGTAGAGGGAGGTCTTGCTATGTAGCCCAGTCTGGTCTTGAACTCCTGGGCTCAAGCAATCCACTCACGTTGGCCCCCCAAAGTGCTGGGATTACAGGCATGAGCCACCACACCCGGCCTAGGAGACCAAATTTCAGCATGAGTTTGGAGGGGACAAATATCCAAACCATAGTCCTTGTTTCTTAAAGGATCTGGACCTGGCAGGTGATCTGGCAGGTGACTTTAGGTCACTATGGGAGTCCTTTAACTTTTACACAACTGCAATCTCCACGTCCACCTCTGCTTAAATCACACGGAGGCCGGCTGCCCAGCAAGTTTGAGAGCAGCACTTTATGAGTTTTCTGCTGATCATTCCCCTAAAGTGAAGTGCAGCCAGCCAAGGTAGTTATTCAAAACCTCGCTCAGTGCCCACTTGGCTTCCTCTGCCCAAGACAAGATGGCTTGCTCAGGAAGAAACACCTGCATCCCCAGTGGCAGCATTGTTGCAGGGCAAGGAGCAGCATCCACGACTCTTGTCCTTTCTCTGTGTCTCTAAATGCAAAGGCCAAACATGGGACATTTCAACAGATTCAAGCCAAGGAGAGGGTGGGAGAATCATAGTCTTTAAAATTTGTTTTGGCCGGGTACAGTGGCTCAGGCCTGTAATCCCAGCATTTTGGGAGGCTGAGGCGGGCGGGTCACAAGGTTAGGAGTTCGAGACCAGTCTGGCCAACATAGTGAAACCCTGTCTGTACTAAAAATACAAAAATTAGCTGGGTGTGGTGGCACACACCTGTAGTCCCAGCTACTTGGGAGGCTGAGGCAGGAGAATCGCTTGAACCCAGGAGGTAGAGGTTGCAGCCAAGATCGTGCCATTGCACAGAGCAAGACTCTGTCTCAAAAAAAAATTGTTTTTAAAACAATAAGGCAGGATTTAGACATTGGTAACTGACTATCCCATGTTTATTTGAAGTACCATGGAATTTTAGTGGCAGTATTTATTCAAAACCTGTCTCAGTGTGAAAAAAATATTTGGTTTCCCAGAGACTGTGCTGGGGGAGGAAGAATTCCGGGAAGCCACAATTGGGCTTAAGCATCTCTAGTCCAAACAGTTGGGGAGCCATCGGTTTCCATGTCTGTCGGGTAATTGAATGACATCATTGGGCTGAATCCGGGGTGACTGTGCGGCAGGGGGCTTTCGGCTTCGAGGGAGAGAGTCTCACCATTTCTTACCTATAGGAAAAATACCCATTGCGCATCTGAGAATTTAGAGGGTAAGTAATGCCCAACACCAAGCTAGAATATTAGGCCTTGGGGAAATTTATTTTGGCTGAATGGGATTTATTTTAAGATTCTGAAGTCATTACCACTGCACTTTATTTTCTGAGTAATGTGCCTGTCTTGTAGACTCTCGGGAGGAAATGCTTCACTCCAGCTTTATTTAGGTCATTACCACAAGGCCAAAGCAAAGACCACGTGTGAGGTCACTGACTGGCTGCTGCCAAGGGCAGGTTTATGACCGTGTAGTGGATGCCTTCCCGGCAGCCCCGCCACCAGGCTGGCTGATGCACATGCCCAGCTCCCGCACGATGCTTTTTAGCCTACAAGGTGCTGGGCTGTTAAGGGGCGGAGGTTCGGGGAACAGGGGCTACGCCAACGCACAGGTAGATAGGGGCTGGTCTGCTTCCCCTGGGGCTTCAGGAAAACATTTGAATGTTTCTTTCTTCCCCAGTAACAATGAGCAGGTTGCTCGGACCACTTGCCGGGGGCGTCTAACCGACCTCTTCTACGCCAGGCATATTAGCCGCTTGTCACGGGTCAGTGACAGATGGAGTGGACGGTAGTAGGAATCTGTATCGGAAATCTGTGTCCGACCTTCCTTTACTGCTTCCTGGGCTTAAAAACCTTGATTAAAATGTTTGTCTCCTGGCTGGGTGCAGTGGCTCTCTAATCCTAGCATTTTGGGAGACTGAGGCAGGAGGATTGCTGGAGCCCAGGAGTTCGAGACCAGCCTAGGAAACAAGGCAGAAACCCCATCTCTACAAAAATAAAAATAAATTAGCCAGGTGTGGTGGCCTACATCTGTAGCCCAGTTCCTTGAGAAGCTGAGATGGGAAGATCACTGGATCCTCCCACCTGGTTAAGCCCAACCAGGAGGTTGAGGCTGCAGTGAGCTATGATTGCACAACTGCACTCCAGCCTGGGTGACAGAGCAAGACTCTGTCTCAAAAAAAAAAACAAAAACAAAAACAAAAAAAGGGCTTCTTTTTTTCCCCCCCTCATAAAAGGCATATCCTACACCAAGTTTTCCTCAAATATGAATAGGCCCAAGAACCACCTGTAGATCTTGTAGAGCTGCAGATTCGGATTCAGTAAGTCTGGGACAGGGCATAGGAGTCTCGCAAGCTCCCAGGTGACACTGATGTTGCTGGTCTGGGGCCACACTTTGAACAGCCGGGCCCCAAGCCTCTCTCGACTCCAGGAGACATCCAGGGCTGGCTTGCTCATTGCTTCTCCTTAGCATGGTGCGGTGCCCACTCTGGGTGCCGGGGTCCACGTCCCCATCATTATTATGGTCAGCATATAGCTGTGACCTTTCTGACATCAATGTGGATGTGCGATAAGTCCATGTTTGCGGGAACCTAAGGAAAGACCCACTTACTCATCATCTATGAAGGTGTGGGTAGGAGACAAGAGAGCCGTGCAGAGAAACGAGAGTCAGGAAGAGAATGAGGAGCTCTGGGCATGGAGATGGACACCAGGGACCAGTGGGGAAGCTGAACGGGGCCTGGGCCTCTGCAAAGAGACCTGGCGGGGAGGGGGCAGAAGTAGGGTGCTCACCTGTTGGCATGTCCAGGGCGGGGTGGTGGCAGATTCAGGCTGAAGTTCAGGCTGAGCCCTGGAGACCCAGGCAGAGTTGACCCTGCCTCCTGGGGACCAAGGAGCCTTCAGTGAACTGTCACCCCCTACTGCAGAGCCCAGGACGTGCAGACAACATGTTTTGAATGAATGGAGTGGAAGTCAGGTACAAATATGAGACAAGGGCCTGATGCTGTGTGTAATGCTGGGTCAGACCCGTGGGCAGGTGAGCAGTGCTTGCTTAGAGGGGACCTTGGGCCTGGTTTCCCTTGCTCTGTGGTCCTGCTTCTGAGCTGAGTAGCTGTGGACCTATCGTGGGGAGGAGGAACTCAGAATATGCCCAGCTCAGAGTCTGGGTCTTAGAAGAGAGAAACTGGGGGCGTGGTGCAAGCCCTGAGGGCATTCAGCTGTGTGGTCCAGGGGAAACCACCATAGCTTTGGGGGGTCAGACTGTGAGGCTCAGAACCAGGCAGCCGGCCCCGCCCGTGTGTTCTACTCCACACACGCCGTGTGAGTTGCTGTTCATGTGGTCCAGGGCACTGCCTCACCCTGAGCATTTCATCCACTGGACACTGGGTATTTCTCATCGCAGAGGAGCCTGCACAGGCTACAGAGCACGACCAGACTGAGAGCTCTGAGAGGGGCCCTGGAGGAAAGAATTTGCAGCATGATGTGCCCAGTCCTTAGACCCTCTGTCCCCAGGTGTGTGGCCTGCAGCATACCTGTGCATTCTGTGGGTCACCGATGTCTCCAAGAAGGGAGCATTTTCTCCGGAACCCAGCAAGGAGCAGCTGATGAAGGCCTGCTGACTGCTTTTGGCTTTGCGAGTGCTCTTGAAACCCGTGTACTCCCCAGGAGCTCTGGGCAGCTGCTTCGGCTGCAAGAAGCCTTCACTCACAGATATGGATGCGTCCCAGGGCACCTCACTCCTGCCTTTATTCTTCCAGCCACACGCCAGGGGTCCCCAGGCCACCTCCACTGAGATTAGGCAGTGTGTTTCTATCATGATTCACACATTAGCCATTGTGATATACAATTTTAGCCTTAGAAAAAAGTTGCAAGAATAGTACAAAGAAACGTTTGTACACTTCAACCAATTCATTAATTGTGAGCATTTTGTCTCATTTGCTTAATATCCTCTCTCTAGTATAATCTCTATGTATATATCTTTTCTTACATGTATATAGTATCATCTCTGTCCATGTACATATCTTTTCATATATATGTGTGTATATATGTGCATATACATAGATGTGTATGCAAATATATGTGTGTATGTATGTGTGTATGTGTGTATGTAAATATATGTGTGTGTGTATATATGTGCATATACATATGTGTGTGTAAATATATGTGTATGTATATGTGTGTTTATATGTGCGGATACATATGTGTATGTAAATATATGTATGTATATGTATGTTTGTATATATGTACACACACATAGATTTTAGGGCAAGAACTATTTAAAGAGGTTGTGGACATCAGGTTTCTTTTCCCAAGTGCTTTGGTGTGTATTGCTAGGAATAGTCATTCTCTTATATCACTGACATTGTTATATCCTACCCTTGAACCCATCATCCTTATTCAAATAGAATGCCCTTTGCAACCACGTTTTTTCCGGTTTAGGATCTTTTCTCAAATTCATGCTGTATTTGCCTTCATGATCTTGATGATACTGAGGGAAGGATTATTTTCATTTTCTTTAGTAAAGAAAGTGCAAAACTAGAACCAACAACATCAAAGTCGCTTTTATTGAAAGGCTTGGAATCCACATCGATGGATCCTTCCCATCGATCAGCAAAATCCAAAAACCTATCTGCTGGGTGGATCTCCGCATGTGGCTGACCTCCAGGGAGCAGGTGGGCACGGTGGCCTGTTTTCAGGTTTGCAGTGTATGAGGCGACACCATCTGGATACTGGCCTCCTCCGAGTCTGTCTGACCGAGAAGGCAGCCCCTGGTTCTCCAGTCTTGACTCTGGTTTCAGATGCTGCTCTTGGATTAAAAAGCAGATTTCTGGCCACGCTCTTTGATCACAAATTTAATTACAAAATTTGCTCTAACCCCAAAGGAATGAAAACTTACCAGCTAAATGAAAGCTGCAAGTTGCTAGATTTTGACTTGATCAGCCTGTCTTTCTGTAACCAAATAATCATTCTTTGTCCCGATGCGATGTTGGTCACCCTCAACATCAAAGCCCTTTTGTGGGACGCCTTTATCTCTCTGAGGGCCTGTGTGGTGCAGATAAGGGGAGTGAGAGGAGATGATGTGATCGCCCTTGGCCCTACTCTTATATCCGGAGCCAGCGGTGGGACTTAGACCGCAGCATCCTGACCTGACTTCCAGGCTCTGCTTCCAGCGGGAGAGCTTCTCCAGCAGGCTGAAGACACATGCAAAATTAAGATACACTTTCAGGCTGGCTTTTATGATAAAAACCCCAACTTAAAATTTTTTTCCATAAGTTACTGGGGGGCAGGTGGTATTTGGTTACAAGAGTAAGTTCTTTAGTGGTGCTTTGTAAGACTTCGGAGCATCCATCACCCATGCAGTATATACTGCACCATATTTGTAGTATTTTATCCCTCGCCCCCCTCCAACTCTTCCCCCTAAGTCCCCAAAGGCCATTGTATCATTCTTATGCCTTTGCGTCCTCATAGCTTAGCTCCCACGTATCAGTGAGAACATATGATCTTCGGTTTTCCATTCCTGAGTTACATTACATAGAATAATAGTCTCCAATCTCATCCAGGTCACTGCAAATGCTGTTAATTCATTTCTTTTTATGGCTGCATAGTATTCCATCATTGTATTATGAAAATTTTCAAACACACAGAAAAGTGGAAACAATTGTAAAGTAGACACTCTAGGTTCTACAGTTAATATTTGCGGTACTTTATCACACATCTACCCACCCGTTTATCTCTCATCCATCAACCCTTGGCATCTTGTGTTTAATGCATTTCAAAGTAACTTGCGGACCTCCATTTGTTTCCCTAAATATTTCACCTGGCGTATCATTAATTAGAGCTTCATATTTGTTTACAGTCCTTTTTTGAGGTAAGATTTAGATACAGTGTTATGTGCAAATGCTAAGTGTACATTCATTGAGTTCCAACAAGTGCATAAACTTCTTTCAAGGCTTAGAACATCCCCAGAACCCTAGAAGTTTCTCTAATGCCCTTTCCAAGCAATACCCCCTTCAATCTTCAGAAGCAAGCACTGCTCTTATTTTTTCTTCACCACAGATTTGTTTTGCCTGTTCTAGAACTTTATAGAAATGAAGTCATGTCGTATGTAGTCAGTTCTGTCTGGCTCCTTCCGTTCAGTGTGTTTTGTGCTATATTCATGTCATTTGTGACGTGCTGAGGATTCATTTCTTTTTGTTAGTGAGTAGTATTCCATTTTAAGAAGATATAATTTGTTTTTACATTCTCCTCTTAATGGGCTGTTTCTGGGTTTTGGCTATGATTCATAAAACTGGTGTGAACAAATATTTTTGTGGACATAAATTTTCCTTTATCTTGAGTAAATATCGGATTGAAATGGTTGGGTCTGGGGTAGGTGTATTTTCGGTTTTATAAGAGACTTCCAGGCCCTTTTCCAGATGGTTGCACCACTTTACATCCACCAGCAATGCTTGTGCGTTCCAGTTGCTCCACAGCAGCACCACTAAAGTCTTTTTAAAATGTTAGCGATTCCCGAGTGCAGCATGTATAACCTTCCAAAAAATTCAACATCATCTTCCGCTGTGTTTCCATCCATCTGAAGCCTGTTAGAATTTATCCAAATCCAAATCAGTAAACCCAGAGTCAGTTCTCCAAAAATTGTGTGGAAAATCTAAAATTTATCTTTACTACTGCTGGCTGCCCCCTCTTGGCACTTCTGTGCTCTTAGGCACCAGGAATTTGGTAACCTGGTTTCTCATCTCTTCCATTGTTTTGTTTTGTTGGAGAGAGAGTCTCACTCTGTCACCCAGGCTGGAGTGCAGTGGTGCCATCATAGCTCACTGCAGCCTCAACCTCCTGGGCTCAGGTGATCCGTCCACCTCAGCTTCTCAAGTAGCTGGGACTTCAGGTGCACGCCACCGCACTCAACTAATTAATTTTTTTTTTTTTTTTGTATTTTTTTCTACAGATGAGGTTTCATCATGTTCCCCAGGCTGGTCTCATACTCCTGAGTTCAAGCAATCCACCTGCCTTGGCCACCCAAAGTGCTGGGATTACAGGTGTGAGCTACTGCGTCTAGCCCTCTTCCATCGTTTTCAAGGAGGGATCAGGGGTCAGCTGTTCGCAACTTGGTACGAATGAGTTTGTCATTGGATCACCTCCCTTGGGAGGAAGTCTTGCCCTGGGGATGTAGGAACAAGAACTAACATGCTCAGTGCCTCCTAACAGCCCCACTTTACCTAGTGTGTCAATTCCCCACAGACAAGTAAACTGAGGCCCAGGAAGCATCGTTGCCTGAGGTTGCCGAGTTGATAAGCAAAGGTCTCAGTCCCTGTGGACTCAGAGCCTGGGCTTCTCCCCTGGGACCCTGCAGCTCCACCGGCAGTTATTCCAATTCTTCCTCAGGTGTTGGAGGCTTGTATGGAAACTCCTTGCTTCTGTCTCTCGCTCAGCCCTTAGAAAACCTCCAAGAGATGGCCACTCCTGCCTGTGGTGCAGAGAACGCCCAGGCAGAAGACCCTTGGAGGCTCAGACAGAGAACTCACTGCACTTTCAGTCATCCTGGGCTGGCTCCCCGGCCCCTCTCACGTTCTTTATGGATTTGACCCAAAGTCTTCCAGATGGATGGAGCTGTGGGCACTGAGTCTGGGAATGTCTCAGCCCACCTTGGCTCCCTTCTCCAGCAGGAGTGGAGGTGTGTGATGTCAAACAGGCCCAGCCTCTCTCTCAGACCCGGTTCTGGGCCCACACAGCCCCTTCTTCCTGAAAGCAGAGGTGGCAGTAAGAGGATGGCTTTGGCCTTTGAATGTTCTCAAGCGATCCAAGTTCAGAGTATACTGTTGCTGTCCTCTGTCCCTGAAGCTTCTCTCCTACTCCTTGGACAAACTCACTTCTCCCCTCAGGGACTTCTCTCATGTAGCAGAGTGTACACCTGCTGCCCCAGCAAGGCCTTCACAATGATCCAAGCCTGGCCTGTTGCTCCAGCTTCTGGAACCTCCCATGGCCTTCGGTCTACTTGAATGCTCCTGAGGCCAGGTAGCTCATCACTGCCGGAGGACCTGTTGCCACTCACTTCTAGCCACAAGAAATGTCTGCCTGTCCTGAGCAAAACCCACCTTGGAGGAACTTCTTTACTCCCTTGTTGAATTTTTGGCTCTACCAAATAAACATGAATTGCTTCCCTGTGAAAGACCTCCAAACACTTTCCTCTGCCTGTGTGTTGTTCATCAGTGGTGTAGCCGAATCCAGGGCGAGGAGGACCTGCATTTTAGCTGGTGTTAACCAGAGTGGAGGGAGGATTAGGAGTGGCCTTTGGGTGGACAGGAGGTATGACAGGCTGCAGATGGTGGAGCAAGCCTTGCTGTGCCCCCGACCCAGCTCGACATGCACACGTGGGTGGTTCTGGCTCCCTGGGTGGGAAGAATGGTGGGGTGGGTGGGCATTGTGAGCCTGGCAACCAGACCCCACGGAATAGCAGGGAGGAGGAGGAAGGAGGACGCCCTCCAAGAAACAGTGGAGTGAAACCTTAGTGCCTACTTCACAGCCCATCTGGGGTCTCTCCCTGCTTGCTTCTGGGCAGAGGGTGTCCATTATACCACAAGCACAACCTTGAAATGTGCTGGAGCAGGAAGTCGCGCAGGACCTCATTCCCCAGGACTTTCCATACATGAGGAATGCAGGGCTGAGCAGGTGAGATGCGGCGGTGGGAGGCATGCCGCCTGCTCCCTCTCCTGATTCACTGGGGTTTTGGGCTGCAGGCAGTCAGAAGGTCTCATTTTGGGGGGTTCTCAGCAATAGATGGGGATACAGTAGGAGGGCAAAGTCACAGAAATTCTCTGCCGGAACTCCAAGACGCAGGGGCTGGGAACCGTCTGCAGGACCCAGACCCAGAGTTGGACCAGGATTAAAGGTGGTGGGGGGTGTGGGGTGCCGAATGTGAAGAACAGAACGGAAGTGCAGGAAGACAGCCCGACCTCCAGGAGACACCATCACTCTCGGTGTTTCCCTCCCTGTGTTTCTTTCTTCCAAGAAAGGGTATTTCCAAGAGGACAGATTGGTTGACCAAAAGGCCATTTTATTTCTACTTTATAAAAATAGATGAAAGGAGACTTGAAATTATTTTGCCTCTTACATCACTGGGTTTGGGTTCTGGAAGTCCCTGGAGGGTGCGCCTGTAGCCCAGACTTCACAGGTAGACATGGAGGTCATGCAGGTCACATGGCTGGTTGACACCTGTAAAGCTATGATGGCCAAGCAGAACTTTGCCGGGTATCTCTGGTCCTATTCCCTCCCCCGGGTCATCTGCCTCCCTCCTGGAATTGATTGATTAAGTGCTGTCCCTCCATTTCGTCTAATAGACCACGGGAAGGATAGGCCAAACAAGAAGGGCCTACTTCAACTTACAAGTCAAGTCACGGTTTCAGAACACCTTATCTCCAACCTCTGTCCTCACCACAAGCCAGCCCGACAATGTCCTCATCCGATTTTCTCAAAAGAGTTTGGGCGATCTTGAGGGCAAATCCCATTAAATATCTGTACCCAGTCTAGCATCCAGAGTTGTCAGCGTTCGTGAGCAAACAGATCTCAGAGGCATCAGTGTTCGTGAGCAAACAGATCTCAGAGGCGTCAGCATTCGTGAGCAAACAGATCTCATTCTTAGTGAGAGTGCTTCTCCTCTGGAAGCTCTTGAGGAGACACCCTCCTTACATCTTCCAGCTGCAGGTGTTACCGGCAAACCGTGGTGCGCCTTGGCTCACAGCCACATCTCTCCAACCTCTGCCTCCTCGGAGTCCTTTTCTGTCACTTAGAAGGACGCTGTCCCTGGATTCGGGGCAATGCTAGGGCAGGATGATCTCATCTCTGACCTTACATCTGCAACAGCCCTTTCCAAATAAGGTCCCATCCTAAGATTCTGGGTGGACATGAATTTTGAGGAGACACCATTCGAACATATCTTTGTATCTCTTCCTTCTCAGGGTGTGTCCTACCCCCTCACAGCTTATTCTTTTTCCCTTCAAACACTCTGTTGAGACCCTTACACGAGGCGGTTTCCCCAGACACCGCACAGATCTCTCCTCCCTAACGAGTTCCGCAGACTCTCTGGAAGTCTGGCTGGAAATGCTGCTCTCCCTTTTTCCTTCTGGGATGGAAAAACGCTCCCAATGGCTCCACCAGTCAGTCAGTGAGACGTTCCAAACCGGTCTTTCCACTTGGGCTTCCTCATCTGTTTATCTTTTATTTATACAAGCCTCAAACCACTGAACACTGCTTGGTAAACATTCCCTCATTTACTATGCAAATGTTAGCACGGGGGCCCACGCCCGCCCTTCCCCAGGAAAGCCACTGAGTGCTGAATGCGGATGGACTTTCTTCACATTCTTTGGGGTTTTCGGAAAGGGTATGTTTTTCCTAACGTCACTTCAAATGTATTTCTTAACAAAAACCTCCTAACCTTTGGAAAATGGAAAAGAAGTTACTCATCTGAAAGGAAACTCCAAGTTTTTAGGACCTCTACCAAACCCCTGAGTGACTGCGGTCACCTCGCCTGCCAGCATGCTAAGAAGGCATTGTCTTGCCACAGGGCTGGGTTTCTGCCAGCGATTTCTGCAACATGTTATGTCTGGGTTATGTATTTGAATTCCCGGCCAGGATTTTCTGGTGGGTCTCCCTACCCTCCATGAAAGAGTCCCTGTGCAGTGCCAGCCCTGCATCATGGTTCTTGCAACGACTGAGCATTCTGCACGCCTGGAAATGTGGAGCAGCCGGGAGGATGAATGGCCGTCAGCTTCTGAGTCCCTCCTCATCTTTACAGTGCAATAGTGAGAGTCTTTTTCTAGGTCAGTGGTTTGTAAAATGGCCAGCTTTAGAGGGAACCACCACCCTTCTAAGAATTGTAACTATATAATCACATGGCATTTAAATATATTACCAAGACCAAGGGCATCAGAGGGCATCAGTTTCTCAGCTGGGAGTGACTTCCTCACACTCCTGGATTCCCTTGGCAGGAGGCAGATGAAGAGAGCTGCTGAAAAAGTGACTTTCCTGGTTTGTGATCTCCACGGGAAAGAACATGCGACCCGTCTGAGCCTTGAATGTCGGAATGAAGTGTTTTGCTGCTGGTCACGGCTATTCTGGGAAGCACGGCTGTGGGTCTGTGAGACCATAGAAGAGGTCCTTAAAATAATATGCACGCCCGGGAGTTGGGAGCGATGAGCGGCTGTGGGGAGCCCTCTTCTGCCTGCTGCTTCCTGGTCCTACCCTAATGTGTATGTGGGCTGACCCCAGGCCATTCAACAAGCACTTATTGAGTACCTACTGTATGCCAGACATGGGCTGGGCCCCAGGAGGAAGTAGTCTTAGGTCCTGATTCCTCCTTTTGTTTTTGTTTTGTTTTGTTTTTGTTTTCGAGATAGGGCCTGGTTCTGCTGCCCAGGCTGGAGTGCAGTGACCTGAACAAGGCTCATTGTAGCTTAGACCTCCTGGGCCCAAGTGATCCTCCTGCCTCAGCCTCCCGCATAGCTGGGTCTACAGGCACACACCACCACGCCTGGCAAATTTTTTCTTTTGTATTGTTTTGTAGAGACAGGGGTCTCACTATGTTGCCCACGCTGATCTCAAGCTCTTGGTGTGAAGTGATCCTCCTGCCTCAGCCTCCTAAAGCACTGGGATTACAGGCGTGGGTCACCGCGCCAGGCCCTGACTCCTCCCTTTGTGCTGCCCATCACCTATCAGGGCAGGGGAGACCTTCACTCACATTGTCACAGAATAAAGGGACCAATGACCTCAGAGAAGCGACAGCGAAGTGCTGTTTTAGGTGTCGGGAAGTGGGATGGCAGTGGGCCGAGGACTGAAGGGCAGCAGGGAGGAATGAGAATTTGAATTGGCGCTGAGTGGGATGAGTGTTTGAATTGGCACTGATTGGAATGAGTATTTGGATTGGCGCTGAATGGGTCAATATTGGTTCTCCCCTTTTGGGTTGATGCTGATTTGTGGCCCTAGCGTCCCCCAGGCAGGGCCCCAATTGTGTTGCTTGAACTTGGCCTCTGACCCCAGGCTGACGTGGACCCTGGGTTTAGCTGCTGCTGCTCGTGGGTTTAGCTGCTGCCGCTCGGCTCTGCTTCTGTTGCATTCTGGTTCTGGTCATCTGCTCAGTGGCTCAGCCCCTCTGGGGATGGCTCTTGCCATGTTTAGTCCCAGTGTCAGGAGTTTCTGGTCCTGGAGTCAGCCCTGCCACTCCCTGGAGGACCTTCCCGAGGCCAGCTGCCTAATCCCCAGCCCCGATCCCCTGTCTGTGGCCTTGTGTCGTTGTGATCCACACTGTCCTGCCCACCACGCTGTCACCTGCTTGCCTCAACGCTGGCCAGCTACTGCTGAACACCCTTGGAAGCCCTGACCTGGCCCAGGCTGAGTGTCCCCTCCCCTGACCATTTGTGGGGACAGCTCCTCCAGCACTGGCCGGCTCTCGTCGGGGTCCATTGGGGGCCACTTCTAGGCTAGACCCTCACTGCCTGCCTGTCTGTCCCTAGAGACCACCAATGGCAAGGAGTCCATCTGGCCAGTGGTCCCATGGACAGTGGACCGTGGACAGTGACAGCAGGTTGGACAGTGACTGCGGTGGACATGACACAGCCCTTTCTTGCAGGGAAGGTTGATTTCAGGGTCACTCTTGCACTTGATCTTCCTAAAGAGGAAGCAAGGAAGCCAGCCTCTCCAAAGCGCTGATTGCATCCTGGGGTCTCTGAGCAAGCTGGCTCAGTTGCCACCTGTGGGCATGCACTATTCTTCCACTTGCAGATTAGATGCCAGGACAAGTGTCTTCCAAAGGCCACCTAGAAAGCAAACGTCAATGAATCTGGGGTTAGACCTGGCTCTGCAAGGACCCAAAGGTCATGGCAGCCCTCTTCCTCCTCGTCGTCCTCAGCGGTCAGCGGCTTCTGATGTCTCTGTTCCCCAGTCGCTGCATACTTGTGCCTCAGAGCTGAGCTTCTTATCTACCCTCCACTGACGCTGCCCACTCGGGAAGGAGCCTCCCTTGCTCTGAAGCTGCCACTCAGGTACGGAGGCTGGAGGGCGCCATAGGGGACAGACAGGGTGGGTAGGGGAGTGCTGCCTGCCTGGCAGATTCACCCAATGCCAGCATTTCTCATCACAGCACCTCAGACAAGGCAGCCTGACACTTAACAGCCCTCATTATCTGACCTAAATTCCTGCTGAAATTGAGGTCGGCCTCTTCTGATTCTGCCCCAAGTGATCTGGAGGCCTCGGTCGGTCACCATGCCCCTGTGAGGGGACACACCCTGTGCACGGAAACTGATGGTGACCGGGGCCACGTTCGCTGGTGCCCTGCCTTGATGCCCACTTCTAGAGAGGCAGAGCTCTCAGCACCTACATTGTCCTGGGGGCCGGGCAGGCCGGGACCTGGCGTGTGGCTGGAAGGGTGGAGTGATAGGGCAGTGGAAATGCATCTTGTGCCCTGTGCTCCGGCGTCCCTGCCCTCTGCATGGGTTCCTGGGTGAGGCCAGCTCCCGGCCCCAGCCTCTCCGGAGGGCCCAACTGACCCTTCTCCCTTCAGGCTTCAGTGTTGGTGCCACGGACCCTGTTGTCTGGGCATAATTGGGCGTGGGATTATGTTTAACCTACAGGTGCACACCTGTAGTCCCAGCTACTCGGGAGGCTGAGGTGGGAGGATTGGTGCCCAGGAGGTCGAGGCTGCAGTGAGCCCAGATCCTGTCATGCACTCCAGCCTGAGTGACAGAGAGAGACCCTGTCTAAAGAAACAAACAAACAAAAAAACCAGCCAATTACTAAACAAACAAAAAAGCAGTGAGGGTCGGACATGGTGGCTCATGCCTGTAATCCCAGCACTTTGGGAGGCTGAGGCGGGAGGATTATGTTTAACCTGTTTAACATCTTCCCCTTTAGACTCTGTGTGAGTCGGCTTGGGCTGGGAACAAAGCAGTGCAAACTGGGAGCTTAAACAACCGACGTTGATTCCCTCACAGTTCTGGAGGCCGGAAGGTCAAGATCCAGGTGTCTGGACAGAGCCCTCCTGGCCTGTGCTGGTGTGGGCGGAGGCGGTGGTCCCTGGTGTGCCCTGGCTGCAGCCGCCTCGCTCCCCCTCCACCTCTGTTGTCTCATGGTACTCCCTTCTCCATTCATTTGCATCCAAATGTCTCTCTTTTTATAAGGACATATTAGATTTAGGGCCCACCCTACTCCAATTTGACCTCATTTTAACTACACCTGCAAAAATCCTGTTCCCAAATACAGTCACATTCACCAGTTCGGAGGGGTAGGACTTCAACATATCTTTTTGAGGGACACAATTTAGCCCCCAAGAGACTTTAAGGCTTTTGGAGGCCATGAGCGGGTCCCACTGAGGCCCCAGGCTGGCCTGCAGCAGGCAGGGCCGGCAAATGTGTGTGGAAGGAGTGGGGCAGGGCAGAGGCCGGCTCTCAGATAGGCAGCTGAAGAAAAACCCGGCACATCCACGGGGAGTTCGTGCTGGTGTCTTCTCTCTCTCTTTTCCTCTCCTTTCTTATATGTTGGGTTCTTCTCAAATGTGAATTTTCTGTATCAGCATCCCTCCTGCCTGCCCATACCCTCCTCCCACCACCCAAGTCTCACTTCCTGTTTTCGGCCTTTCGCCTGAACTGCTTCAGAAGTTGAAACCCCACAGGGCTGGGCCTGCCCCTGCGAGGCATGTTTTTTTTCTGGAAGGAGGAAGCGGCAACGGGTTACAGGCTGGAGGCTGTCCCTGTGCTCAGATCCCACACACGTCCCCAGCAAGCCCCAGCCCCTGCCCTGCGGGAAGTGGGGTCTTGAACACTGCCCCGTGGGGCTCTCTCAGGGGCAGGTGAGGCAGCGTCTTCTCGCGCCCTCATTTCCCTCAACTTATCTCCAGGGCAAAATCCTATGCAGTGGCACCCAGTGGCCGGCCCTGACTTTGATCTTGGGTGCTTTCTTCTCCACCCAAAAGGCTCTGAGGTCATCTCTGTATCAGAAAATCAGCAAGATCTGCAGCGGGACAGTGGGGACTGATGGCCACTGTCATCAGCATCATGGTGAGCACTTGAGCTGTGGTTTCCTCAGGACAAATTGGCCTTCCCCACGTGAACTCGCGGCAGGCAGAGAATCTAGGTTGGGACCCTGGACTGCACCCGGTGCTGGGCTCCTGGCCTTTTCCCTCTCCGCCCTGCTAAGGCTGCTGTGCCGAGCCCTGGGACCATCCAACAGGGAGAAAGGCCTTGGGACAAAAATGACACTTTCTCAACATCACCCACTGTTGAGGTTACAAGAAGCAGAGAGTGTGAGAACGTTTCCAAATGAAAGTGGGGGAAGGATCGCAAAGAAGCAAGTTAGTTAGGGCTGTGCCCAGCCAGCGCCAGTGCCAACGCCGAGCCGCCTCTGCAGGGGAAACCGAAGCAGATGTGGTGAGATAATACATCCAACCCTGAGTGCTACTCTAACCTGCCAGAGGCGGAGGGTTCTCAGTGAGATGAAAGCATTACAGATGCGTTAGATCTAAGGGAGGGGCCTGCAGATGCGCAGCTGGCAGAGAAACCAGGGAGGGGCTGAACTGTCAGTCGCGACCACCAGGGATCTGAATCAGTTCACCGACAGCCTTGGGGACATTCACCTTGGGCTCCACAACCTGTCAGAAATGCCCCCAAGCCCAAAGGCGTCGAGAGAATGGCCAGGTTGTTTCAGATTGACACATATCCTAATGTACAAGTCAGCCCACACACCCCACGTGCACTGAGCGTCTCTTGTTGTTCACCCCAAATAAACTCTGCCGGAACTGGGGCGGGACTCGCAGGGGCGGAGAAGGGGGGAGACGGGCAGAGGGCAGAAGTGGATGGTGAGAAGAGCCAATGGAGGGGCCCCGTGAGAGTGAGCAAGGCTGCACCCCTAACCGACGTCCTGGGGCTACTGTACAAACAAAGAACCACAGGCTGGGAGGCTGAACAACAGACCTGCACTCTCTCGCAGCTCGGAGGCTGCAGGTCTGAAATCGAGGGGCTGACAGCGCTGGTTTCCTCTGGAGGCTGCGAGGGAGAAACCGTCCCCTGCCTCTCCCAGGCTCTGGGGTGAGCCCTTCCTGGCATCCCGGGCTCATTGTAGATGGATCACTCCAATCTCCATGGCTTCTCAGGGCTTCCCTCCATGCACCTCAAATCTCTCTCTCCTTCCTTTTGTAAGGATGCCAGTCATTGGATTTAGGTTCACCTTAAATCCAGGATGATCTCATCTAAATTACATCTGCAAAAAGACCCTTTTTCCAAGTAAGTTGACATTCACAGGTACCTGGGGTTAGGATTGGACATATCTTTTGCAGGGGTGCAGGGGGCTGCCACTGAGCCCGCTGCACAGGGTGACCTGGGCCAAGGGCCCTTCACTTTCACTTCCTCATTGGCAAGCTGCCCTGTGTTTGGACTGGGTCGAGGCTGTCAACCTTGCTGCCCCTCGGAGTCCCCCCTGGTGTCCCCCAAACAGATTCTAAGCTGCTTTCCTGGGGCTGGAGGCCAGGCATTGGGATTTTTTAAAGAGCTTCCCAGCAGGTGAGCAGCCTTTCATGGGTATCAGGAGACCTTCCTGGCAAATGTGGTGAAGGTCCTTCCTCCTGAGCGATGCCTTAGACCCAGGAGCCCAGGGAGGCTGCTCACCTGATCGTTAGGACAGGAGCAGTGGAAACCTCTGGCCTCAGACCCCCTGGAGGAATCCCTCCCTCTAAGACTCTGGGACTGGTGCACGCAAGGAGCTATCGTGAACATTGCTCCCAACTGGCCGCTTGCTTGTCCCCCGGCTCCCCTTGGCCCCAGTGGCGGCTTTGCCTGAATTAGAGGGCGTGAGAGCCACCTGTGTCTCAGCACTGCAATTAAAGCAGGAAGCCCTTTCGGAAGCAGCCGTGTGCACCAGCCTCCCATGGGTGGAGCAGAGCAAACCACCCACTTCTGCCCTCTGCCCTTCTTCCCTTTTCTCGACACCCTGCGGCCCCCCAGTTTCAGCAGAGTTTATTTGGGGTGAAAAACAAGAGATGCTCAGCGCCTGTGGGATGTGTGGGCTGACTCGTACATTAGGATGTGTGTCAATCTGAAATAACCTGGCCGTTATATGGATGCCTTGGGGCTTGGGGGGTTTCTGGCAGTCTGTCGAGCCCGAGGTGAATGTCCCCAAGGCTGCTGGTGAATCAGATCCCTGGCGTTCTCCGTTGGCAGTTCAGCCCAACAGTTTCTCTGCCGGCCGTGCCTCTGCAGGTCCCTCCTCTGATCTGATTGGATTAATATTTGAATCAATAGACTGAGTCAAGCAGAATGTGGGTGGGCCTCATGCAATCAGCTGAAGCCCTGAAAAGAGCAAAAGGGCTGCCCCTTCCCCCGAGGAGGAGAGAACCCCTCCTGCCGGACGGCCTCCGAACTGGAACATCAGCTTTTTGCTGCCTTTGGACTTGAACTGAAACATTACCTCTCCCTGGGTCTTGAGTCTGCCTACGTTGGCACGGGAACTACACGTTGGCTCTCTTGGGCCCCAGCTTGCTGACTCACCTTGCAGGTGGTGGTGGACTTGTCAGCTCCGTAACTGTGTGAGCCAATTTCAATTTCTTAGAATCACAAATTTCTTTCTTTCTTTTCTTTTTTTCTTTTGAGACAGAGTTTCGCTTTAGTTGCCCAGGCTGGAGTGCAAAGGTGTGATCTCGGCGCACTGCAACCTCTGCCTCCAGGTTCAAGCGATTCCCCTGCCTAAGCCTCCTGAGTAGCTGGGACTGCAGGCGCCCAACACCACACCTGGCTAATTTTTGTATTTTTAGTAGAGATGGGTTTTTGCCATGTTGGCCAGACTGGTCTCTAACTCCTGACCTCAGGTGATCTGCCCGCCTCAGCCTCCCAAAGTGCTGGGATTACAGGCGTGCACCAACATGCCCGGCCCACAAATTTCTTTCTTTTCTTTTCTTTTTTTAAAATCAGTTTTCTGTTTCTCTGGAGAATCCTGACAAAGAGCGCATATCTGAGAATTTTAAAATCATTTATTGGAACTATTGAATCTGTTGTATTCTGTTTTTACTTTTGAAAATCCTTGCGGCTGGGGGAATGTACACCTTCTCTCTTTTCCTCTTAAACATTAAAGCCTGATTCGAGGTAGAGGCAACTCACTGTTGTGATGTCCTTTTATCCCAACCTCAGCCCCGGCAGAAAGACTCCGCGCCTTGGGACATTGGTGTTTTCCAGGAGTGACTGTGCTGGGGCAGCTGCCTGTTGCGATGAGGGCTGGCGGGGAACGATCCCCTCTGAGTTTGGCGTCACTTATTTGGAACCCTCCAGCAGAAAGCTTTCTAAGATGCCACACTATAAACTCATTCATGCAGTTATTGCGTTTCAGTTCAGATTCTATTGCTCTTGCTTCATTATTTCAAAGCCACATGATGATATCCATTACTGGGTGCAGAATGGCCCTGATGGGTCTAGAAGCACCGTGGTCTGACCCGTCCTAAGAGATGATCCAGTCACGAAATGCTGGTGCAGGTGTGGATCGAGCCAGTTATCTTCACTATCTGGAAACAAGACCCTGAAGTCCAGGTGGCCAAGGACTGCACCAGATCTCTTTCTTTTTTTTTCTTTTTTTTTTTTTGAGGCGGAGTCTCGCTCTGTCACCCTGACTGGAGTACAGTGGCATGATCTTGGCTCACTGCAACCTCCGACTCCCTGGTTCAAGCGATTCTCCTGCCTCAGCCTCCCGAGTAGCTGGGATTACAGGCATGCACCCCCATGCCCAGATTTTGTATTTTTAGTGGAGAGGGGGTTTCACCATGTTGGCCAGGAGGGCCTCGATCTGCTGACCTTGTGATCTGGCCGCCTCAGCCTCCCAAAGTGTTGGGATTTCAGGAGTGAGCCACTGCACTCAGCCTGCACCAACTTTTACAGACAGGCTGGAGTCCTGTCTAGAAGTCAGGACACCAGGCCTGGCTGGCACCCTATTCTCCAGACCACGCTGCCCTCCGCAGCCAGGTCCCAGGACCCAGACATAGGTGGATTTTTGTTTCTGACTTGCATTCGCTCTTTTACATGAACCGTGAATTCTTTGTCCTAACGTTATTGTTAGGGCGACAGCATTCCTGATCGTGGTGCTAATGCGGTTATCAATAGGCTCCAAAGCTTATCCTTGATGCTCACGATCTCAGAGTTGGAAGAGGCCCTGGCAAGCACCCAGGCCAGTCTTCTCTGGTAAGTGCCCTATGCCCTTAAAACCACCTCAGGATTTCAAGGACAGAGACAAATTAAAAATAGAGGCTTAATTCTCCTGATTGAAAAGAAGGGAAGAGATTTTTCTCTCCTTTTTCTCTGAGCATTACTCTTTATTTATTTATTTATTTTTTGAGACGGAGTCTCGCTCTGTCGCCCAGGCTGGAGTGCGGTGGCGCAATCTCGGCTCACTGCAACCTCCACCTCCTGGGTTCAAGCAATTCTCCTGCCTCAGCCTTCCGAGTAGCTAGGATTACAGGTGTGTGTCACTATGCTTGGCTAATCTTTTTTGTATTTTTAGTAGAGGCAGGGTTTCACCATGTTGACCAGGCTGGTCTTGAACTCCTGACCTCAGGCGATCTGCCCAGCTCAGCCTCCCAAACTGTCTCCTGGCCTCTCTGGTTTCCTAGGGAGGCCAAAAGCCTAACTTAGTTGATCTTGCTCCAAGCTGCAAAACCACCTCCTGTCATGAAGATAGGAGTTCATTCTTCTTCTAGATACAGACAATTAACAAACACAGATGGTAACCCCAGTGACCAGGTGGTTCTGGGGTCAACGGTGTGTGACAAATGGCACTGTCAGGGCCTCTTCCTTAAGGACTAGTTATTGTTTATGTTGAAAACACGCATGCAGTTAGTTGTACCTGTTTGAGTCTTTAAAAGGATAAGATCCTTTCTTTGCAGTCTCTTAGCCATTGCTTGTGATGCATATCATCTTCTGGCTTAACGGTTATTCAATAATGAAACTTTTCTTTCTTTTCCACCTTTGTGGAGAGGTTTCCTGGGTTTAGAGCACACGTCTTTTTTCTTTCTTTTTTTTTTTTTTTGAGATGGAGTCTCGCTCTGTCCTCCAGGCTGGAGTGCAGTGGCGCGATCTTGGCTCACTGCAACCTCCGCCTCCTGGGTTCAAGCAATTCTCTGCCTCAGCCTCCCAAGTAGCTGAGATTATAGGCATGTGCCACCACACCTGGCTAATTTTTGTATTTTTAGTAGAGATGGAGTTTCACCATCTTGGCCAGGCTGGTCTTGAACTCCTGACTTCGTGATCCACCCCCCACCCCTCCCAAAGTGCTGGGATTACAGGCATGAGCCATTGTGCCTGGCCAGCACATTTTATTTTTAATTATATTTCCCCAGTAATGGCCTTACCTACATTTAATGACAATAAGTGATGGATACTTAAAATACACTCTAGTTCTAGAAGGCATTCCCATACATTAATTAATTTGGTTTTCATAAAATCAGGAGGCATTAAAACACCATTAAATTAGAAGGCATCACTATTCCCTTTTGGTAATTTCTCATTTAGGAAACCGAGGCACTGAATGGATAAATGCCACCCAGGGGACCCTGTCCAGCCGTTGGCAGAACGAGGACTGGACTGAGGGTATTTGGCTCCTAATCCAGGGCTTTCCCCAGGTTCCACTGTGAGGCATGCAGGGTCTGAAAACACACCGGCACGTGCGTGTCCACTGCCCCCCTGGCCTTAGCTATGCCTTTGCTGTGTTACGGAAGCACCTCTGAAGGCCTGGGCGCCTCTTCTGGGAGTTTCTCGTGTCTCTTCGCCTTCCGATCTGCTCTGGCCTTGCCACGAGAAAGCGACAGGCCCATGCTGCTCCTTGGGGCCTGGAGACAATGTCCCAACCCCAGGCCGCACCCTCGCTTTCCATCCAACCCGGCAACTGCTGCCCGTGGAGGGCCACAGTCTCCGAAGTGGAATGTGGAAAAGGAAAAGTCATTCGGGCTGTGATAAGAAAGCCGAGCTTCTTCAAAGGTAAACAGAAACAGAGACAAAGACGAGGGCACGTGTCTGTGTGAGTGAGGGAGAGAGAGATGGGGGAGGGGAGCAAAACAGAGGCGGCCCGGAGAACTCTCCAGAAGGGTCCGAAGGCTGCCACATGGAGGAGTGGCACTCACTGTCCAGTGTGAGGGTGGACCAGGCTTCTCGGATGTGGTCGTTCCAGCAGGAAGGCCAACCGTGATTCCATATCGTGAGGAATTTTCAGGCAGAGCCATCTGTCCACAAAAGGGGCCATCCCACTGGATTCGTGTCCTGGTGTTCAGGAGGACACGGTCCCGTCCTCAAGGTCGTGTGAGCACCTGAGTCACCCGGATGCCGGGGGGCCTATCCTCCAGTGCCTGAGTGAGAGAGGGGTGAGGCTGGGAGCCTGCATTTTCTATATGTTCCCTCCCCATGCAGGTGGTCCCCACACACACCCCGAGAAACAGGGTGTTAAGTCACCGCCGCTGTCAGAGAGCCACCTGGATGGGCTGGATGCTGGGCTGGATGACTCAAGGTCTCTTCCAAGTCCAAACCATTTTTTGGTTGCATGACTCTCCTCCCTAGCTCGTCCTCACATTCTCCATCACAACCAGCTTTCCCTGAAAATAAACCCAGCTGGCCACCCCTTGGAGATGAGGGCTTCTCCCACCCTGCCTCTTTCTGCCTGCACCTGCCCGGCAGCCGTTACCATGCATGCCCATATACATATGAGTGAATATGTGTACATGTGTTAGTGTGGGCATGTGTGAATGAGCATGCATGAGTGATGTGGCATATGAGTTTGTGTTTGTAAGTGTGTGTAAGTGTGAACGTGTGTCAGTATGTGTGTGGACTTGTGTGAGTGTGTCTGTATGTGTCGGTGCACATGTGAGTGTGGATGTGTCTGTGTTTATGCCCAGTGTGAGCGCATGTATGTGAGTGTGAGTGGGTGTGAATGCCTGGGCATGTGTGCCCTGAAAGCCAGCATGGCACACCAGTGGCCTCCATTGTCTCTCCAGCCCTTGGATGCTGTGTGGGGGATGCTGGCCTTTCTGCACAGAGGCCCTGAGCGAATTTGGGGCTCTCTGCTGGATGGACTGTGGAAGACACACCCCGGCATTGTTGGACACCAAGTGCTGGAGAATTCTCTCCCTGGTGGGTTACAGTATGGGGTTGTTTTTCTCCTCAGAGTGTTTACATGGACAGGGCAAATGTGAAAAATCCCTCCGGCCATCATGCAGGAAAATATGTATAAAGGATAACTGGAGAAAAATGCCTTCCATGGACAAAACACAGACAGAAACACACACACACACACACACACACACACACACACACACAAACAGCAGGGGTATCTTTCATTGTGCCTCAATAAAACAGAGGTTGAAGGAGACACCAAGCTAGAAACAGACTGTTAATTTTGGGATTTTTTTCTTTAATCATTTTAATATAAAGAGACAGCATGTTACAATGACATTTTATGGATGATTATAAATTATTATGAAGTCCTCAACTGGTAAAATGTCTTGATTTTGTTCCCCTGTCTTGGGGTCTGTGGTTAAATCATGACAGACCAGCAGTGGAGTGGAGTGTGAAGAACTGCGGCTTGAGGCTTAGACAAGCCTGGGTTTAATCTCTTGTTTACTGGCTGTGTGGCCTTTCTGAACCTGTTTTCTCACCTATATAATAGGGACAAAGGACCTATTTCATAGGGCAATCGTGAAGATGAGAGACAACAGTGCACCAGACGAATTTTGAGTTTTAACCTGTAATATTATCCCTGATTTACCTTGATATTTTATAGACATTCATACATTATAGTAGCAAACATTTTGAGATGATATATACAAGATAATACAAATTCATCTTGCATTTTAAAATGTTCAGATTTACTTAAATCATAATACTTTTTATTCTTTTAGTGTTAATAAAATTTCACTTCCTTGAGTATTATATAATAGCTTTAACATTTATTCTTTTCGTATGAAAACGTTTTTTAATGAGCCAATTCTGTGTGAAGCTTTTGGTTTTCTATAAAAGCTGCTGTGTTCCAAGGACACCCGTTGTACGCAGCCCCTTTGCTGTGAGATCATTTCCAGCCTCCTTTTTGTATTCTTGTCATGGCATCTGACATTTAGTCATTAGCCAAGCAAATGCAGCAGTTCATCATCTCAGAGATTAATCTACAGAGAATAAAAGAGGTAGCAACGTTGGTGCGGGAGTTAGGCGAGAAGGTCCCTTCTGGAGGAATCGTTTTGTATCTAGAACACCAGGGAATTATGCTCCCGAACCATGCAGCCAACGTGAATCTTTGTTAATTCATCTGAATGTTTCCTCAGTAAAATCAACAAGATCTTCTTCATCCAATGTTAAAAATTGGGCTTCAGCAGTCAACACTAAGAAGTGAGAGGCAATCAACGGTGCAGTATGAAAACATCATGAGCTAGAAAGAACTTAACATGAGATTTAGAAATCTACTTCACATATACCATGATGACTACTGAAATAAAACATTAATCACCTGTATTCTTATCACTCCTCAAAATGTTTTCTTCCTGTCCCAGGGCCCTTTCTGGAGTTTTCTCCATGCTTATATAACTGTACAGAGTTGTCACTTTCATGGAGATGAAATTGCATGCGTTGCTGTTTTGACTTCACATTGTTAAGTATTTGTTTGTGCTACTAAAACTTCATGGTGAGCATTTCAACGCCCGTGTAATGCTGCATCCAGATGCTCTGTAATAATTACTCTCCCACTCTCCTGTGGCTGTCCAATTATGTAATTTCCCACTTTAAGTCATAATAGGTAATGCACATCCCTGTGACCACAGCTTCGTGCTCTCAGCCCAAGCTCCGGGAGGAGAGGACTGGGTCAAAGCACCTGGACATTTTTGTGACTTTTGAAGTGCATTGTGGAACCGTGTGAAGGACGCTTTTCTGAACGTGATGTTCCACTTTGATTTGATGCTGTTTTCTTCTGCCAGTTCAGAACGATAGGGTAAGAGAATACTCCGTGTTGATGGAGAGACTCAGATATGAGTCTCAAATGTGTTTTCTGCGTAACAACGAGATGGGATCCAGCGATGCGGTCTGGGCTTTTGGGTACTCACCTTTCCTAAAAGATGCCATCTGCTTGGAGCAGAATAGGCTGTGACACGCAGGAGCCCCCAGGGAAACGGCCATGGCAATGGTGGGTGTTAACGAGCAGGCATAAGGGACTGCTCCCAGCGGTGCTTCCTCTGAAGTCATTGCCACCTGCAGCAGCACAGGGGACAGAAAGGCCGTTTCTCCAGGTCCAGGCAGCTCAGGCCCCTATGAGCCCTGGCGTAGCAGAGACCCAGGCTTCTTGGTAGAGGCCCAGAGCCCTGTACTGCCACCACTGCCGGACGATGCTCAGGACCTCGGGGCTGGCACTGCTGGCTCTGGTCAGTGCTGTGGGCCCAAGCCAGGCCAGCGGCTTCACAGGTGAGGGGTCTGGGCTTGGCATGGGCAGTTCTTAAGGACAGGGGCTTCCTGGCATGGGTCTCATGAGGACAGCCCCCTGTGGAGACCTGGGCAGGCAAGGACGCCTCTGCTTGGAGAGGCGACATCTGTTCTTTTGTGGACAAGCTTTTTGGTAAGCGCACATGGTAGCAGCTGTGGAGGTGGGGCAGGAGTGCCGGGTAGGGTTTTGGGAAGAGGACTCCCCCAGTGGGAACCTGTTGCTGAATCACCTGGGCGTTCGTGGGGGTAAAATGCAGATTCTTAGCCAGCAGGTCTGGGGTGCAGGGCCTGGAACTCTACATGTCTGTGGGTGATGCAGATGCTGTGGGTCCTCAGATCCCACTGAGAACAGTGAGCTCCTACAGACGCAGAAGAAAGGTCTCCTGAACCTTGGTGCATTCAAGTCCTCACTTACAGATTTAAAAAAAAAAGGAGACCTAGCCTGGGCAACATCATGAGACCCCATGTGTACCAAAAAAAAAAAAAAATTAGCCAGCCATGGTGGTGCACACTTGTGGTCCCAGCTACACAGGAGGCTGGGATGGGAGGATCACTTGAGCTTGGGAGGTCCAGGCTGCAGTGAGCTAAGATTGCTCCACTGCACTGCAGCCTGGGCGGCAGAGCAAAAGCCCCCAAACAAACAAACAAACAAACAAAAAAAGCCACAATACAAAAACAAAAAAGAAAGGGAGACCCAGAATGGATCAGGGACTTGCCCAGGCCACACAGCTCACAGGGCAGAGTCACCACAGGAGCCAGAGGCTGCACCAGGGCTCTGTCCGGAGTTTTCCCAGGCATGCGGAGAGCAGGGCAGCTTCTTAAAAACACACGGGAGTTCTGAAACCCCAGAATCCAGGGAAATGGGACTGCGGAATTTTAAAATCATTTTCCTCTTAAAATCTGTCATATTCAGTTACAAATTTAAAGGAATCCATTCTGTTTCTAAAATCAACTATGTTTTTGTACTACTTTAACGTTTTTCACCCAGAAGCAGGATTTTGCTTTGTGATTTGTGAAATGGATTTTCCCATTGGAACAGGTAATGTGTAGACCCCACAGTTCAGATGCATAATGGGTGGGTATCCTGGGAAGCTGGAGAAGGTCTTAGGAGGTGTTTCCAGAACCCCTCATTGTATATGAGGACACGGGGCAGAACCTCAGCAACCCCACACGTGGTCGCCCCGAATTTTCCCTGTGTGCCAGCACTGCCTTCACAGGCATGACCCCACTTCAGCCTTTTGCAGCCACAGGACATGGCTGTTATTTCACAGATGACAAGAGAGGGGCACTGGGAGGGCATGACATGGGCGCAATCATGCAACAGGGGTTTGTGAGCCTGGGTGTGAGCACAGGTCCATCTGACCCCAGGACTCTTGTTGGCCCCAGAGCATTAGGCTTTCCCATCTCTGAGACCGGAATCCAAGACCCCCGGCTCCTGCTCTGATGGCCCTTGTGGGTCTTTGCGGGATGGCAGGATCTGCTAACTGCTTTCTTCTCTGGGCTTGGCCAAGAAGCCAGGCTTGGGATGGCACGTGACCTCGGATAAAATGTTAAAAACAAAACAGGGCAAACATCTCCCGGGTTCCACAGGAGATGAGTGTGTGTGTGTGTGCGCGCGCGCGTGTGTGTGTGTGCGTGTGCGCATGTGTGCAGGACGGCTCTGCTGCGGACCAGCTGGGGCCATGTAACGATCAGGTGGGGCCCTGGCACCTCTCTAGAGACCAGGAGCTGTAAGTGTCCTTAATGTGGTTGGCATCTCTGCTCAGGTTACGATGAAAAACGCAAGCTAGATCCACTCTGCTAAGTTCTTGGTGCAGGAAGTCCTCGGCCTTTGCCTAGCTCGGCGTGGTCACTGAGTAGGTGAGCGCGTTCCTTCCGGCCATATTCCACCGTTCTTCATGCAAGTCACCTCTAGGCTCTCAGCCAAGCTGCCCTGGTCCCGGAAGCTGATTTGTCCTGTTCCACCCCGTACGATGAGGACCTCCCGTTCCTTTGCAGAGCTCACAGTAACTACCCCACTGGTGATGCCAAGCAGCAGGTGGTCCCCATCCCCAGAGGCCCTGCTGGGCCCGCAGGGTGATTTGGGGTTCAGCCCCCAGAGGAAGTTGCAGCTCCAGTCCCTGTTGCTTGTGGAGTGGGGTCGCTGTGCAGCAAGTGTGTGGTCCAGCACCTGTGTTCTGCCCAGAGCAAATCTGCAGCCTCTTCCCTCACCGTGTTTGAGGGCTGGCTCTGCCCTATTTCTTCCTGGGGTGAGTAACAAGCCCCTGGAGTCCTGCTTTCTGCACACTTGTAGGTTGCTGCGAGGTCCAAGGAGGGAATCTTCAGAGATGCTGCCCCAGTGGAGCGAATAAGGACAGCAGTGGTTTTGTGATCATTTCTGCTCCCATCTCTGTGTTCCTCCCCAGAAATCAATCCAGCTACTCATTGAGGGAAATCAACTGTAATACTGAGCCCCCACCTCTTGGGGGTACAGTCTAGTAAAGCTTAGAGCTCAGGGGTTGAGTGTCTGAAATGCAAGCACTGTATGTCAAATCCTCCGTTCATCCTGCACTGAGAGTCCATGTACTCAGGGCCCCCTGCTAGGTGCCACGGGGGAGCTGGAGGGGACCCTTCACCATCCCTGTGTGCACTGGCTAGGGCTGCTGTAACAAAGAAACACAGCCTGCGTGGCTTAAACAGCAGAAATGGATTCGGTCACAGGTCTGGAGGCCGGAAGTCTAAGATGAAGTTGCGGGCAGGGCTGGCTCCTCCCGAGCCCCTGCAGGAGTCTCTGCTCCGGGCCTCCAGCTTCTGGAGCTGCTGGCAATCTTTGGTGTTCCTTGACAGGTAGAAGCATCACCCTGGTCTCTACCTTCTCCCTGTGTGCCTGTCTGTCTCCACATTTCCCTTTAGTATAAGGGCCAGTCATATTGTATTAGGGCCCACCCTAATGTCTCCACTTTAACTTGATACCCTCTGTAAGACATTACTGCAGATAAGGTCATATTCTGAGTTACTGGGGTTTAGGACTTTAACACACTAATTTTTGGAGGAACACAATCAATTCAAACTAGGCAGTAGGGGCTCCCGGGGAGATGGGAAGCCCAGGCACCACGTCAGGGGATGTCCATGACCAAAGAGTCTCGTGGTGAATGTCATGGGGCCAGGGGTCTCGAGAACGGAGTAATCACGTTGATGGAGGGGCGATGGGCCTTGTGTAAAGGAACCAGGCTCCAGTGAGAGATATGTGGGGCCCAATAGGGTAAACCTGATGCTTGTCCTGCAGCGGGGGTGACTGTGCCTCCTCCTGATCACAGTGGTAACGGCTGAAAAGTTGAACTGGTCTTTTTTTTGAGATGGAGTCTCGCTCTGTCACCTAGGCTGGAGTGCAGTGACATGATCTGGGCTCACTGCAACCTCCGCCTCCTGGGTTCAAGCAATTCTCCTGCCTCAGCCTCCTGAGTAGCTGGGATTACAGGCACCAGCCACCACAATTTTTTATTTTATTTTTTATTTTTGTTTTTTTTTTCAGAGGGAGTCTTCACTCTGTCACCCAGGGTGGAGTGCAGTGGCGCAATCTTGGCTCACTGCAACCTCCGCCTCCTGGGTTCACGCCATTCTGCCTCAGCCTCCCAAGTAGCTGGGACTACAGGCGCCCACCGCCACTCCCGGCTAATTTTTTGTATTTTTAGTAGAGAGGGGCTTTCACCATGTTAGCCAGGGTGGTCTCGATCTCCTGACCTCGTGATCCGCCCACCTTGGCCTCCCAAAGTGCTGGGATTGATTACAGGCATGAGCCACCGCGCCCAGCCCACACCCGGCTAATTTTTAAAAAATATTTTTGCTGGAGATGGGGGGGGGGTTTCACCATGTTGGCCGGGCTGGTCTCGAACTCCTGAGCTTGAGTGATCCACCTGCCTCGGCCTCCCAAAGTGCTGGGATTACAGGTGTGAGCCACCACGCCCGGCCTGAGCTGGTCTTTTATCATCAACAAACTTCTCACACACTTGCCACAGAGCGACCGCACTCCACAGGTGCTTTAAGTACCTGCTTACTTATCTTCCACCTCATTGAAAAGAAAGCCGTCATTGTCATGTCCTGGCCACAGCAGGCCTTCAGTTTGCACTGTGGAGGGAACTGCTGCACATTCACTTCCCATGTGGCAACCTTGAGGCTCAGGGGGACTAAGAGATAGATGTGCACGAGATTCTACGGCCTGTGGAATCAGCTCACATGGAGCAGAACAAAGGGACGTGATCTCTAAGCATTGATTCCAGCGCTGTGCTCTCTCCTTCGTATATGGACCGTGAGAACCCTGTGCTTCAGGAAGCATGCGTGGGGCCCAGGTGGCACCTCCTCCTCGGTCACAGCGGCTTTCTTAGCAGGCCAGGCTACGTTTATGCTTTATTCTTCTGTGCTCACTCATGCAACAGCCTTCCTGGTGCACTAGCAGGCAAAGGCCAGTGGAGAGGGCTGGTGGGCAGCTTCTGAGAGGCCTGCGCGAGTGCGGGAGGTGTGCTCTCACTTGCTATTGCAGAGGGACGCCTTGCGGATAACCGCTCGCACGGATCTGATCCTGGTGTTCTCAGTCGCCTTCTTGCTTGGCCTCTTTCAGAAAAAGGCCTCTCCCTGTTGGGCTACCAGCTATGCAGCCACCGTGTGACCCACACTGTACAGAAGGTGGAGGCCGTGCAGACGTCCTACACGTCCTATGTGTCCTGCGGCGGCTGGATCCCCTGGAGGCGGTGCCCTAAGATGGTTTACCGGACACAGTACCTGGTAGTGGAGGTCCCCGAGTCCAGGAACGTGACTGACTGCTGTGAGGGCTATGAACAGCTCGGCCTCTACTGTGTCTTGCGTGAGTCCAGGGCTGCTGGGCTGGGGCGGGGCCACCCTTGCCGTCGAGACGCCTGATGGGACAGTCACCGTTGGCATCCATTGGCCCCGAACTTGCTAGATCTTCCAGGAGCACGGCTCCCAGCCTTGACCAGGCAGCAGGTCATCGGCAGGGCTTTCCCTGGCCCCACTCCTAGGTTTCTGAGTCCGTGGGTGGGGGTGAAGTACAAGAATTTGCCCTCCTGACAAGTTCCTGGGTGACGCTGACGCTGCTGGCCCAGGGACCCCACTTTGAGAACCTCTGCTGTTCTCAGAGGGCTCCTGGATGGCTTTAAAAATGCAGATGCCTGGGTCTCTTCCTGAGAGAGTGTGAGGGAATTGGCCCGGGGCGTTGAGAGAGTGTCGGAAGTTTTCAAAGCTCCCAGAGTGATTCTCATATACCACTGAGTGTGAGAGCCAGCACTGAACTCTCTTCTACAGCAGCCTTTTCTTTCTAAAAGCTGCAGTGAAATGCTTTCGTAGCCAAAATCCTATTCTGAACTCCAATACGTGAAAGAGCTGGAAGGAGCCCCGAGCCTACCACCCTAAGTGCTCAGAGGCCCCCAAGTCCTCCCAGTTCCTCAGTGCAGTTTGGAAGCTGCTTTCCTGTAGGATGCTTGGGGCCAGTTACCAGGGTGACCTGTGTGGTTATGCCAGGCCAGGGTCTGAGCCGTTGGGATAGGGCAGGGACTCAGGGCTCAGCCTACTGACACACAGGTGATCTCTTCCAGGGGAGGGGTGTGTGTGTGTGTGTGTGTGTGTGTGTGTGTGTGTGTGTGTGTGTGTGTGTGTGTGTGTGTGTGGTGGCTGCTAATTTTGAGTCAATACCAGATCTGCAATGAGTTTCTGTACAGTCAGAAGGTCCTGCCTTGCACCCCCACTGTGGAGGGATGTGGGGGTGTGTGGCTCCAGCTTGGTGTTGGCCAGGGTCACTGAGACATAAGGGCTGTGACCTCCAGAGTGCAGAAGCCACCAGCTCCTGGGTGCCACGAAGGGGATCCTGCAGGACCCATCCTTGTGGCCTGAGACTGTTGTACCCAGGCGAGTTAGAGAAAACGCCATACTTTGAGACGAATTAAGAGTCTTTTATTAGCCGGCGACCGAGAGACGGCTAACGCTAAAAATTCTCTCAGCCCCGAAGAAGGGGCTAGATTTTCTTTTATACTTTGGTTTAGAAAGAGGAGTGGGGGTCTAGTTAAAACAATTTTACAGAAATAAAGTAGGCAAAAAGTTAAAAAGATAAATGGTTACAGAAAAGTAAACAGTTCCAGGTGCAGGGGCTTTAAGACTATTACAAGGTGATAGACACGAGGCTTTGGGCGTTATCAATCAGACGAATTCCTGGGAACTGCGGATATAGCTCGCCACAGTATCTTATCAGTTAACTGCATTCTTGGATGTGCTGGGAGTCAGCTTGCACAAGTTAAGTCCTTGAGGAAGGGGCTGCCAGTGAAAGAGGCAAGATGGAGTCTGTCTGGCTCTCTTAGCTAAGGGAGAGTCCATTCAGGTGGAAACAAGCCTAAAAACAGGGTTAGTAAAAACAAGGTTGGGCATTACAAGACCAGGACAACAGCAGAATGGAGCGTGGACTCCGCAAACCAGGGTGTCTGCCTCCTCCAGAAACCAAGGGCCCCAGATTGTAGAGTCTGGGGTCTGCATAGACCTGCAGGCTGGGCCATCCTGAGTGGGCCCTCCCTCAGCCCCCAGTGCTATTTCACTGATGACAGGGAGAGTTGATGCGTTTCTGTTGCCCCGTTCAGAGGGCCAGGCAGAGAGAGGGCCTGATGGTTTCGGGTGTGCTGTTAACAGGCATGTTCCTCTTTCAGGAGTGTTAAAACAATACCACCATAACCAACACCTCCATCACCAACAGAAACCAGGCAGGGCCAGCTGACCCCAGAGCAACACCTCCATCACCAATAGAAACCAGGCGGGGCCAGCTGACCCCAGAGCAACACCTCCATCACCAATAGAAACCAGGCGGGGCCAGCTGACCCCAGAGCAACACCTCCATCACCAACAGAAACCAGGCGGGGCCAGCTGACCCCAGAGCAACACCTCCATCACCAACAGAAACCAGGCCGGGCCAGCTGACCCCAGAGCAACACCTCCATCACCAACAGAAACCAGGCGGGGCCAGCTGACCCCAGAGCAACACCTCCATCACCAACAGAAACCAGGCGGGGCCAGCTGACCCCAGAGCAACACCTCCATCACCAACAGAAGCCAGGTGGGGCCAGCTGACCCCAGAGCAACACCTCCATCACCAACAGAAACCAGGCGGGGCCAGCTGACCCCAGAGCAACACCTCCATCACCAATAGAAACCAGGCGGGGCCAGCTGACCCCAGAGCAACACCTCCATCACCAACAGAAACCAGGCGGGGCCAGCTGACCCCAGAGCAACACCTCCATCACCAACAGAAACCAGGCGGGGCCAGCTGACCCCAGAGCAACACCTCCATCACCAACAGAAACCAGGCAGGGCCAGCTGACCCCAGAGCAATGGCCCTTCTGTACTCTCATTGGTTCCCTAGAGGGCCACTGGCAGGACAAGCCTATGCCTTGGCCATGCTGCTCAGGTGCTGGTCTAAGGAGACCCTTCCTGTCCTGATGCCTGGCCCCATTTCCACTTTCTTCGAGGGCCACACACACAGAGGGGCCTGCTGAGCTACAGTTGCTGCTGTGCAACAACTCCACTCCTAGGGGATAGCGGGGGGCCATTAGGACACAGGTGCTGGTGCCACGGCAACTCGGTTTAGAGCATGTGGGCTTTGCAGTCAGGACATGCCCTATCCTGTCCAGTCTTACCTGTGAAGGCCACACCTCTTCCTACCTGTTGGCATTGTCAGGACTAGTGAGGGGAGGAGGCCCTGGGGGAGGCTGATCAGCAGCCCCTTCCTGCTCCCGCTCTGCAGGGCCACACCAGCCCCACCCATGCCCACCATCACCTTCTGTAAGAGACCCTGGCCTGCTGCAGCAAACAAGTTAATTCCCTCCCAGAAGATAGGGAGGCCTCTCCCCACCACCTGCCCTGCATCCTCCTTCACAGACCAGCCTCCAGGAAGCGCCTCTTGTTGGAATCAGCCCCACTTTTAGAGTGTTAACACCTTTAATTAGGGACTCACCAGGGCGATGCCCTTGCAGTCAGGGAGTCCCGTGGGTGAGAGTGGGCTGCCCTGGGGAGCTGCAGGGAGTGGAGAGTGAGGCCACAGGGAGGGACGTGAGGCATGAGGGGAGGTGGACTCAACCTGTGGGCCCTGAGCCCCTCAGTAATGGCCCCTCAGGTTCTAGAAGGCTCACTCTGGCACAGTGAAGAGGGGGCAGATCTAGAAGGAGGAAGGAAGAGAAGAGGGAGGGAAACAGGCACTGCCTGAGTGCATTCTTTCTAAGAGGCCAGGGCAGGAGACCCTCCAATCCCTCGGGCACCAAAGGAATGAGTATCCCTGGCTCTGCATGTGGGGATCCAGGCTAGGGGAGGCCCGCGCCTCCACCACCATGGCACAGTTCCAGGAAGGCAGGCTGGGGATGTGGACCGGGGCTCTCTGACCCCCAGGCAGATTTTTGGGGGTTTACCAAGCTGCACTTTAGTATAAGGGAGTTTGTGGCATTTGAGTGCTGTGGCTGTGGCGACTGTGGGAGGAGGAACATTTCAGGGCACTGAGGACACGGAGTTCTTTCTCAGAAAGGTCCCTGCCTGTGCCGGGGCCTGGTGAAGGGCACAGCCCACGAGGCTTCTGCAACTCCTGCCGCTGGAGGGCCTGTATCCCATTTCTTCCCAGCCCCACGGTCAGAGACACCATGCTGGTGGTGTGAAGGCGCCTGTGGTGGGCGGATTTACACCCCGGATTTTGGCAGCGCGAACTTCTCCATGCTTGCACAGCTCTTTTGATCAAAGCCGCCTTTTTCTGGGATGCCACACAGCAGGTTGGCTCCTTGGAGCTGGATGTGAGATGGTTTCAGTAAGTGACCTGTTGAGCACCGTGACTCTGATTTGTACAGAACGAAGCAGGGCCCGAAGCTGGACCTGGCAGATGTTGGAGGCCCCTGGAAATACTGGGAAGCGTGAAGGGCAGGAGATGCTCCTTCCTCTGTGGCGGGGCCTCCAGGTCACCCGAGTGTGGGTGACTCACACCTCAGCTACCCGGGGGTCTGCGCCTCGGAGTCCTATCCCCCAGACAGTGGTAAAATGCCAGACATGTTTCCTCCTTTCTCCTCCCACTCAATAATGACTTATGCAAAAAAGGGAACGGAAGCATGGACACACACGTGATATGACTTTCAGTGACTTTTTCAACTTTTTCAGTCCAGCATTTGGAATGCGATGACAACTGGTGCATTATTTTAAGTTTTTAAAAATATAATTACAGAAATGAACACACGAGCCATACAGAAAATTTGGAAACACAGAAAAGAACAGGAGGAGGAAACGATCCCAAGCCTGCTGCTCACGAATAACCACCTTTCACATGTTCTTTATCCAGGGCAGACATTTCACAAGAGGATGGCCACTGTGTCCAAGACATTTGTAGCACGATTTTACCACTCAGCAATGTATCCACAGCAGCTTTCATGCCTGTGAACATGACTCCACTGCATGCTTTTACGGCCACATGGCATTACCTCATACGCACATCAGCATTCATTGAGCAAGCTCTTGCCACTTAACTGTCAGTTGTTTCCAATTACTCATTATCATACATAATGCTGTGATGAACATCATACCGTACAAACACGACTGTGCACAAGTTGGATTATGCGCTGAGGATGAATTCTGAGAAGTGGAACCCAGCATCTTAGCTGTGCTCTGTTAACTCCAGTGACACCCCAGCTCTGCACAGGATCAACCTCCTGGCAAACTCAGCCTCGTTAGGCAAGTCCAGGACCCCCAGAGGACCAGGAGACTCCCCAAAACTTCCTGTCCCCGCATGCTGATGACCAGGGGCCCTTTGGTGAGAACCTCCTGTCCCGACCAGGCGAAGAGGCCCCGAGGAAGGAGGAGGGAGACAGGAGCGACTCCTCCTCAGCCCACCCAGTCCTCAGCCCTGGGAGCCTTGGGTTTTGTTGCTCAAACACAAAGCTCCCCTGTTGCCTCACTGGACCATGACTAGCAGTGTTGCCAGGAGCTGAGCAGTTCTGTTTTATTGTTTGCATTGAGTTAGGGACGAAGGAGATTTGTGACTTTCTACCAAGTTGGACTTGTTCAGCGTTCTCAGGGCACTCAGTCAGCTGGCCAGCTCCAAGGGATGGAGGGGCTTCCCGGCAGTAGCCAGTTAAGATGCAAACCTTTCACTTAAAAACACGCCTCTGGTGATTAGGCAACTATTTTTAGAAGCCAGTTTTGGGGGGATTGTTTCTATTTAAATAGGCTTTTAGTTTAGAATAGTTTTAGATTTGCAGGGAAGTTGCAAAGATAATGCAGAAAGGTCCTGTACCCCCCAACCCAGCTTCCCCTAACGTTAGCATCTTACAGCTCTCGGGACTACTTGTCCTAAGGAACTGACACTGGGCATTGTCGGGAAACTCCATAGTTTATTTGGATTCCCCTGTTTTCCCCTGAATGTCTTTTTCTGTCCCAGGAGCCCACCTTCCATTTAGTCCGCATGTCTGCTTAACCCTGAGGCCTTTGCTTTTTGCACTGGGAGACAAAGCAGAGACCTTCGGATTCTCAGCAAGCCTCCACCAGGCTCCTGGCGTTGCCCTCCTCGAGCTGCACCCAACGTTCATTTTTCATGCACGGCCATCGGTAGAGCTGCCTGGATGATGAGGAGATGAAGAGTGAGTCAGGGACAACGCAGGAAAGAGAGTGCGGCTGAGAGGAATGCCCACAGCAAGGCCGGGCGCCAGGCAGACAGGGCTGGGTGAGGAGAGCGGGGATGCAGGCTCTCTGCATATTCCGTGACTCTGGCTGCCCCTGCTCTGGCCAGCTGAGCAGTGTCCTTGGTGATGTGGTCCCAGCAGAAGCCAGGGCCGCCACCTCTTTCTTCGTTGCAGAGTGCTCTGCAGAGAACTTGGGGGACCCGAGAGGCCAGTCCCTGGGACTGCAGCCTGCTGAGGCTGCCCTTCCGCTTGGCCAATCCCACGAGTTTTCCCCACCCTCGCGGGGGTGAGTCCAGGACCCAGTTACCAGCTGGCCTCCTCTAGTCTTCTGGGCTCTGAGAGGTCTTGAGCTGTGCTCCTAAACATCCCCGGGCCATAGACACACAAAGCTTGCCATGTATCTGGGCATGAACTGGACAGCTCTGAGTAAAGCCCCAGGGGGGCATGGCACCCACCGTCAGGGTGGCTGGCTATGGAGGCCACAGAGCTGGGCAAGCCTTCTCTGGGGCCCAGCACTGGGGTCCCTCCTCCCTCTGTGTCCTCCTCATGGCTGCCCTCAGCCTCGTCCCGGAGCTCCCATCTTCTCAGCTTCCTTCCGTCCTGGGAGATGGGGTCATCTCCTGCCCTGGGCCCACCTCTGCCGTCTTGGCAAAGGCACACTGCAGGCTCTGCGGCATCGGGCACACGCTCTGCTGTCTCCTGACCCCTGGGGTTCGGTTTCTTCTCCTTGCCCTCCTCTTGTGCTTCTTGGAGCCCTGAGCATCAGCCTCCGGACTCCTGACAGCTTCCCTTTGGGTGGATTCTCAGACTCCTGCAGTGCTTTCTGAGACCTCTATAAGCCCCTTTTTCTGGAAAGCCCACCGTGGCCTCCCCCTGCAGCCTTGGCTGAGGTCTGGTCCCCAGGACCAGCACACCTCCCATGGGGACCCCACCGGGTTGGCCTCTTGCCTTCCTCATCTTTGCCTCCTGCAGAGGCTGGCCGCGTTTCTGTGTCTAGAGCTGCATCGGAGCTGCACTCACACTGTGAAGGGCTGGGGAGCTGTGCAGCCAACAGCCAGCGGGCTGGCCTCAGGGGCCACCTCCAGTGCCACTCTGCCATGCGTCTCCACATGGGCGAGCAGTGGACATGTCCGACTTCACATTTGCACTGCCACACTCCTGGTCTACACCAGGCCGTTCTTCCCGCAGCTTTCCCCAGCTCAGGAATGAAGCCCCAGGGATGCCAGACCCGAAGCCTGGGAGCCTTCCTGAAGCTTCTTCTTCTCTTACACCCCATCCCGTCTGTCAGCACATCCTGTGGACGCCCCCACCTGATCTCCCCAGGGACCCATGCTGCACTCACCTGCACTGTCACCTAGGTCGGCCCCCACCACACCCCACACCAGGCCTGTACCTCGCCTTGTGGGCGCCAGGGCTGATGTCTGCAGAGCTGCTCCGAGCTCCCCTCTGCCCAGCCTAGGCATGAGCCCCTCTCCAGAGTGTCCTTCCAATCCCCCACACTGCTTCATTCCCTGAGGCTCTCACCCCATCTGAATATCTGTAGATCTCCTTGCACTATTGTTCCCCCACTGGAATATAAGTTCCCTGAAGGCTGGGCCCTGGGCACCCGGCATTGTGCCCGGCACATAGCAGGTGCTCAACAAATATTGAATGAATGAATGAATGAATGAATGAGCTATCAGGACTTGAAGCAGCAAGGGGCCCTTTCAGGGGGTGGTGGAGCCCCCTGGACCTGGACTTCTGAGGCCTAGAGGAAACAGAGACACCTAGGACCCCAGCTGAAGCTGCCCTGGAAGGACAGATGGGCAGAGGATATGAAAACCAAAGCCAATGGCCCTCCAATGGGGTGGGTGTCTGCCCAGGCATGGGGATGGGCCCCGAACAGGCCACAGACCTACAGGCAGAATTCAGCACCAGGAAGCACCGACGTGAGGTCCCCGTGCAGCAAATCAGGTTTGTCTTTTATCGCCAGTATCATTAATTGTATCATTTTCTCCCAGCCCTGAATCAGTCCGGGCAGTTCACGTCAAGACCTGGGGCCTGCCCCGCAGAGGGGCCTGAACCATCCACCTCCCCCTGCAGCTTGGACATCGACTGTCCTGGACTTGAGAAGTGCTGCCCCTGGTCAGGGGGGCGCTACTGCATGGCCCCTGCACCCCAAGGTAGGCTGCTGCGGGCCATGCTTATGGACAGGCAGCAAAGGCGGGTCTCGGTGAGGCCTGATCTGTGTGAAGGTGTGGGGGGGAGTGTGTTTCTAGGAGCAGTGACCGATTTCATCAGGAGCCCCCACCGTGTGCACAGGCAGCACCTGCTCTTAGATAATTTCTTAGTCAAAATCTGGCCACTGAACTCTCGGGGGAGAAATCTCATGGCGCTCTTAGGGGCCCTGAAATGGGAAGACACTTCTGGTGGAGCAGAGACCCGGATTTCCCAGTTTGCCTGGAGAGGCCAGGAGCTCCAGGTAGATTAGTTGCAGGTGTGGAGCTGGCTGTGCCTGCAGTGCCACAGGGGCCTGACGAGCGCCACAGCACCCGTAGGCAGGCCCTGCCACCTCAGATATGCGCCTGCTGGTCTGGAAAGTTCTCTTTTGATTGGGGTCTGCATCCAGGAGAATGGGAGAATGGGATGGCCTATACATATATATATATGTATAATGTTACATATTATTTAATATTTAAAATATTATATATTATAGCGTTAGTATGGTATGCAGTAATAAAGCAATAGTATACATAATATCAGATATTATGATAATACTATATCATTATACTACATGCTATTATATAGTATATATCATATTACATATGATTATACTATCCAATATTTGTAGTATCAATAAAATAATGACAAAGTATAAAGTAATTTTCTATATCAACATACTATGACAGTATAATGAGGCTGATAGGCTCTATTTACCTCCTAAGCAGATCTCTTCAAGGGAAGGCCTGCTGCTGTGGGTCCCAGGCCCAGCTCACCTCTGAGCAGGGATCGGTGGTCTTCAGGGACATTAGGATGGAGAGGAGCGAGGGGCGGGCAGTGAGGACATCCCCCGTCTCCTGTGGTAGATGTCTTTTTGCAGGGAGGTAAATGCAGAGCAGGGCCTCTCATGGCCTCTGGTTCCCTCTCCTGCCCCCTCTCCCACCCCAGCAGCTTTTGTGACTTCAACCTGTCCTGGGTCCATAATCATCAGTGTTTTCCCTTGTGTAGCTCCAGAGAGGGACCCTGTGGGCTCCTGGTACAACGTCACCATACTGGTGAAAATGGACTTCAAGGAACTCCAGCAAGTGGACCCCAGGCTCCTGAACCACATGCGCCTTCTGCATTCCTTGGTAGGTGAGACAGACGGGGGCTGCCTGCACCCTCCTTGTGGCAGCTGCTCAGGCAGACCCAGGTATGGGGCCGTGGAAGGGACCTGGGGGTTGGGGAGGGTGATGTTCCCCAAATGGCCCCAAATGACTGACTCTGAACGAAATTCTAGTTCTTAAAAAATCAGCTTCAAAGAGGTATGATTTACATGCAACAAAATGCACACAACTGAAGCGTGTAGTTGGCTGAGTTGTTATGTGTGTACCCTCATAGGCCCGCCTGTCGTGGTGGAGAACGCGGATCCCTAAGCTTGCAGGGGTCTGCAGTCCCAGCAAAGACAGCCTAAGCCCCGAGCTCTTCCCTCACCACCCTCAGTCCCAATTTCTTCAAGTTCTGGCTCCTGCTTCGTGGAAGCCAGCACCAACCTGGGAGTGCTGAGATGGGAACCGTAGCCCAGGGCTGGAGAGCACCCTGGGGTCTGATGGTTAGCAGCGCCCCTGGCCTCTCCACACAAGTCAGAAGCACACCCCAGGGTGGCATCCAAAACTGTCTCCAGACGTCGCCCACTGTCCCCTGGGGATAAAAACAAACACCCTGGCTGACCCTTGCTGATGACACAGGTCATGCTTTCTGGCCCATCAGCAGTGATTACCAACCAGGATGTCTTCTCCAGCTCAGGCCACCATCAGTCTCGGGAATCCCAGTGTGGACAGGGCGCTGCGTGTCCCCAAGGCTGCCGCGTGTCCCCAAGGCCGCCCTCCCTGGGGGATGGTCTGGCTTCAGGACCGGCTGCTGACAGGGGCTTGTGCTCAGAGGGGCCTCAGCTTGGTCTAATGTGCTGCTGTTGCCTCTGGAAATGCCGAACACTTTTCAGACAAGGGGCCCCGCATTTTCCTTTGGCATCTGTGTAGCTGTTCTGTGCTTCAGATCTTTTGTGTGTCCCATATGTCCCTGGGTGTCTTGGTGTCAAACCCAGGGTTGGGTCACTCCTTGGCCGTTAGACTAAGCTGGCTGGCAGCCCAGATCAGATGGTGCACACCTCATGTTGTTCTGGGCTGCTGGCCAGTGAGCTGCTAGACAGGTAGTCTGCAGCCTCGGCCTTAACAGCCCGGGCTAGGAGTGATTCCTGTTTCCTCTTAGCTTGTTAAGGGGACTGCCCAATTGGCCAGTAAGAAACTAGCTCTGAAGCCACACTGCCTGGCCCTAGTGTTGCCACTCATCAGCTGTGTGACCTTGGGTAAGTCACTTAACCTCTCTGTGCCTGAGATACCTCCTCCATTAAACATAAATAATCGGCCAGGAGTGGTGGCTCAAGCTTGTAATCCCAGCACTTTGGGAGGCCGAGGCAGGCGGATCACTTGAGGTCAGGAGTTAAAGACCAGCCTGGCCAACATGGCGAAACCCTGTCTCTACTAGAAATCCAGTAATTAGCCAGGCGTGGTGGCACGTGCCTGTAATCCCAGCTACTGGGGAGGCTGAGGCAGGAGAATTGCTTGAACTCAGGAGGCGGAGGTTGCAGTGAGCTGAGATCGTGCCACTGCACTCCAGCCTGGGCTACAGAGCGAGACTCTTGTCTCTAAATAAATAAAAAGTAAATAAATAGAAATAATCATAACCCTGCCTGAGACAGGGCCATGAGCTTAAATCATACATGTAAAGAGCTTGAGATGGTTCCTGAGCTTCCTGATGCGTGTGGGGCCTGAGATGTTGTGGTTGTTGTGTTTTCAATATTGCTGCGTGACACCTGCTGTCTCCTCGTGCATGTAGGTTTCATGTCTCCAACCAGCCCATTACCCCCTGCAGAAGCGCCTGCCTTGCACAGGGGTCAGGCACCAGCAGGGGCTGGTCTCTGAGGCCTGCTTCTGCTGCTGAATAAGGGGTTCCGATGAGGTCGGGGCTGGTTCCCAGTTCTGTATGCTAAATTATGAGCTGCATCTCCTCCCAGGAAGGGGCTTCAAGTGTGTATCGGAGGACTCCTGCTCTCCCCAAACCTCCTTTGGAGTTCCCAGTGGAGGCTTGGGGGTTTGCTGGCAAAGTTTGTTCTGGTGACCACTGGTCTGGCTGTGCAGCTGCCAGTTCACCTGGCTTCCCAAGGGTTGAGATTTCAAGATATTAAGCTGAAATAAAAATACTGCATATGAAATGAGGAAAGTGATCATTAAACCTCAGAAAAATAATTGGATGTGTACAACAGGAGACCGTGGCTTTTGATCTCTAATTGTCTAATTCTAGTTCTAATTCTCTGTTGTCAGCTGCAAGAGACCTGCAGTCTTGGCAAGGGCAGAAGACCGAGGGTCCTGGGTCTGGCTGCTGTATTAGTGTCCTGGGGCCACTGTAACCAAGGACCACAGACTGGGGGCTTCAAACAACAGAAACTTATTCTGTCACAGTTCTGGGGGCTGAAGAGTCTGAAATCAAGGTGTCGGCAGGGCTGGTTCCTCCTGAGGCCCCCAGGCCTCTCTCCTTGGCCTGCAGACGGCTGTCTTCTCTGTCTCTTCACACTGTCTTCCCCCATTCATGTCTGTTTCTGTGTCCAAATTTCCCCTTTTTGTGAGGGCACCAGCCATATTGGATTAGAACCCACCTTCACTAATTATATCTGCAGTAACCCTATTTCCAAATAAGGTCACATTCTGAGGTACTGGAGGTTAGGACTTCAACATATGGATTTTAGGGGACAGAATTCAGCTTATCACAACTGGTACTGAAAGGTACTGATAGTTCCGGTTTGTAGGACTTCTATTGGGATAGTGATGGATAGATAAGTACTGTAGAGGTTCTTTGCTGAAGAGCAGAATGGTACGTGTGTGTGGACAGTTCATTTCAGCTCTGCGGGCCTCAGTCTCCTCGTCTGTCTGACGGGGTGTCCTTCTGCTGTGTGACACTCTGATTCTGCCTTCACAGGTCACCAGCGCCCTGCAACCAATGGCCTCCACCGTCCACCACCTGCACTCAGCCCCTGGGAACGCCTCCACCACAGTGTCGCGGCTGCTACTGGGCCTGCCACGGCCACTGCCTGTGGCTGACGTCTCCACCCTGCTGGGTGACATTGCGAAGCGTGTCTATGAAGTGATCAGCGTCCAGGTGCAAGGTTGGGCTTCCCTCAATCCTCCCTCTGGGGAGGCTGCAGGGTGGTGCCTGAACAGCCAAAATGCAAGGTGGACGCTAAAGCCAGACCAGTCCTTTGTCTTTTAAAGGAGGTTTAAGTTCAGGAGCAAAAGAATAACTGGTTCAAGTGTGTTCATCCCACAGGTGTGGGACCCATCTTCAGCTCACCCTGTAAATTCCAAGTCCCCAAGTGCAGACCTCTAGAACTTATTTTGCCCCCCATTTCCCGCCCCTCTCCTCTTCCCTCCATCTCTCCTCGGATCCCTCTGGCCTCCTGCCCCCTCGGCAGGCTTCTCCTTCCATCCTAGTGGACACTGGAGTGCAAATCCCAGAGCCACACACAAAGAACTTGTTTCTTCATTTCTTTGGTTTCCTAAATTTCCCTCTCGCCTCTTTCCCACCCTTGCCAAGGACATCCTTGTACTCCAAAGGCTCCTTCAGCACAATTTGTCTAAAGTTGAATTTGTATCTGGCAAAGCACATAGACGTGGCCTTGTTTCTGGAAGAAATTACCTATTCTTTGTTGTTGTTGTTCTATGTCAGGAATTGGCAAGCCTCATCTAAAAGGGATCAGATAGTAAATATTTTTGGCTTTGCGGGCCCACGTGGTCTCTGTCTCAACGACTCAGCCCTGCTGTTGTAGTAGTCACAGACAGTCCGCAAGCAAACCCCTGGGCTCCCGTACGGCTTCCTGTACCCAAGCAGGAGGCAGCCAGGCTAGTCTGCTGCTCCCAGGGCTTTGCAGGAGGGTGGCTGCCTTGGTGAAGCCTCTTCTATGACACTGAGGAGGCACGTGACAATGCCAGGGCTCAGAGCCGTGTGAAAGCTCTAGTGATTGCATTGATCTCCCTTCAGATCCGCACATGTTCTGCAGAACCAAGCTGCATTGCTCTAGTGCCATTAAGCAAAGTGCTCGTTCTGTCATCTGCTCTGTCAATGACCTTTGGCCAGAGGTTGCAGGAGCACACCTGTGGGTGGACCAGTTGAGTTTATTATTCGAGGCAGCGAGGGAGAACCCACACCATGGAGAACCATGTGGTTTCTCAGTAGGAGATTGTTAGAAAGAACCTGTTATAGGATGTGGGTTTTGACTGGGTGGTTTGGGGAGGGTCTAGGGAAGTGTGATTTTGTTCTGAATTGAATGCCATCAGAAAATGGAGGCAACTCCACGACTGGGAATGTCAATACATCTAAGCAAAAGAGATGGGAACAATTGCATAAAGATAAGCCATAGTTTGTAAAGAACTAATAATCACTCATTTGGGCCAAGGGAGGGGCATTAGTATTTTGTGGGTGACACATGAGCTTATCGCGCTGTCTGTACTTAGACAGCATTATGAAGAGGCCCTGTCTGAGGCTGGCTGCTGTGAGATGGTTCTGTTTGGGAGGCCTGGGCCAGCCTCAGAACGTCAGGGGTGGCTCTGGGTTTCCTTGTTGGCGCAGAAAACACCCACTGATTTACTTTACGCTTGGGGTGGGATGTTTTGGCCCCACCTTTTCATGACCACTCAGACTCAGTCCAGCCCAGAGTGATTTGCTCACGTGAGGCTGCCCGGTGAGCCAGCCGCGAGCCCTGCCTGAACGTGGGCTGCTGCTTGGATGACGATGGCCAGCAGCCGCACAGGGCCTTCTAAGACGAGACTTCCATAGTCTCCCTTGGGATCACTGCCCAAGGCACCCCTCAACCGACGTGGCACAAATCCGTGGCACGAGTCCACAGAGGCCGTGTGTGTGCAGGTAGATGAAGATGACGAGGTAGCTGCGACTGCTGAGTGTGGGTCCTGCTCTCCTTCCCTGTAGATGTCAATGAGTGTTTCTATGAGGAGCTCAATGCCTGCTCTGGAAGGGAACTGTGCGCAAACCTGGAGGGCTCGTACTGGTGCGTCTGTCACCAGGAAGCTCCAGCCACGTCTCCACGGAAGCTGAACCTGGAGTGGGAAGGTAATGGCTAGGCTCTCTCAGATGGCATGGGAATGGCTTAATTCCTGTTTGCCCCGGGAATACTCACCAGCAGTGCTTACAGCTGCAGCATTCACCCCGAGATAACTCTGCCATGAAATATCTTGCTTTTATTATTATTTTCGCATCACTGTGGTATATTGACTTTGGAAACAGAGGACACAATTCTACTTATAGCATTCTGCTTTTAGTAGTGGTATTTCCATTTACAAAATATAGTGATTCTCAATCACTGAAAATGTCAAATCCTAGAAAACAGCAGTCCCACGTGTGTTGTTAACATTGTTCTCGAACAAGTTGTTGGCCGACGATTCATTTGCTGAACCTGTTTTTCTGAAATAGATGATTCTGATGATTCAGACAGTTCTGATGTTAGTTCTGTTTAGAAGTAATTCCAAGAACAGTTTTTATATTTTGTTTTCATATTGAAAATCAGTTAGATTTGCTTCAGCCCCAAAGAGCTTGTTTATGTAAAATTAAATGAGTGCCGGCAGTGAGCTGCCGTTTTTTTCTTCGAAACGGGAAAAGGGTGAAGGCATTTTTTAAAGGCTGGATGGTCTTCAGACCACAGGGACTCTTCTTGCCAAGAGGGAATGGCTGGCTAACCGGCACAGAATACACTTAGTTCTTTCAGCCATTATTGATCTCCTAGTGGGCCACCCTCGCATCTTCTTTGGCTTAGGAAATGTTGATTTAGGTGCTATTCACTGTGCTAGGTGCTGGTAATGGAAGCATGCAGAAGCAGGTCCTAATCTCTGCCTGTCTAGTGGATTGTGGAAATGGAGACATTTTGGCGCATGAAAGGGCAGGACTGATGTCTGCACTGGAACCACGAGGATAAGCTGGGACCATCCCTAGCATCGCGGGATCAGCCTGGAGAGCAGAAGAGCGGACTGGGTGTTGGGGGAAGCATGTAGATAAACGTGCCCAGGTCTGTCCCTGTTGGGAGTGGGGAGGGATGTACCAGCCAGGACTGGCACACGGGATTGGCTCTGCCATCAAGCAGCTTGGAAGAAGAAGTAACTGTGTAATCTGAAATGTAGGAAGGTGCTATAAAGACGATACTCTGAGTGCAGGAGTCTAGGGTGTGGAAGGTGGTGGAGAAAGGGATTCCGGCAACATTTTAGAGATAGAACCTCTGGAACTTATTGATTAATTCAGTGAAGAAGAGGAAAAAGGAAAGAAGACGGAATCCAGATGTCTTGACTGAACAGTGGAGTAGAAGGTGTTTCCATTGGAGAGGATGGGGAAGACCCGAGCTGTTGTTATTATTGTCAATAATAGTTATAGCTGAGATGGAGTGAGTGGCGGTGCCAGGATGCTGATTGAGTTGGACGCGTGGTGCTGGAGCACAGAGGCGGGGCTGGGCTGCATACGTGAGTCCAGGGTCACCTCCAGGTGACACTTAAACCATGGTATGGCTGAGAGAAGGGAAGAGGCCTGGGGCCTGTGGCCAGAGAACCCCAACAGTGCCAGGTCAGTGCAGGAGGAGAGGCTGCAGATGACCTGGGTAAGGCAGGAAAACAGCTGGAAGGGCGTGCGCAGCAAGGTCAGCAGGGAAGGCTCAGCAAGCCCCAAGCGAGCAAGCGGTAAGCTGGCCGGCAAGCAGGGAGGGTACACGCATGGGTAACAGCAGGGCAGGAAAGTGCCTGTGGGAACTACGGGGATCCGGTGCAGACTTCAGGAGAGCAGAAGGGAAGCAGCCAGCAGCCCGGGTTAGGAAGACAGCTGGAGGAGAGAAAGAAGCGAGAATAGCCGAGAATCCTGCAGGGAAGCTTGACTATGAACAGGCTGAGGGAAGGAAAGCCTGATGTGGAGGAGGCTGTGGACTCCCAGGGGGTCTCTCAAAAGACAGGCGAAGCTGATCCCGGCTCTTTCTATTCCCTGTTCCTTTCCAGGTTTTGACCTTATTGAACGCAGGGTTGAGGGTTTTTTTGTTTTTTTTTTTAAACCTTATTTAAATCCTGCTACATGTGTAATTTTATAAGCTGCTTTCTTCAGTTCCTATAATGTGTATAAAGTTTCCAAGAAGAAGCCTGGTTTTCACCATGATAATTATTGGTGGTTGAAAACTAGTGGCTTTCTAAAGCAATCATATAATATTCTTTCCCCTCACGGGAGCACTTCTGTTGCTTTCAAGAGTCTGGAACTGTAACCTTGTGACAGGGGTTACAGGGAATCTCTTTATATCCAATTTGAATTCGTTAATCATTTAATTTGCATGTTCTTTTTCCTTAAAAGGGACTCAACATTGAGGACCATCCCTTTGTTCACAATAACACCACAGCTGGCAGTTGCCCGCACTTCACGCGCTCTGGGCTCTGCTCTGAGCACTCTGTGGGTATTGCTTCGTTTAAATTCTTAGACTAACCCCAAGAGGCAACTACTCTCCTTAAGCTCATTTTTTTTTTCAGAAGAGGAAATTGAGGGGGACGAAGGTGATTTTCTTGCATAAGATCCCAAGGCTGGTCCTCTGAAGACGCACATGAACCAGCTGTGTCCCAAGGCTGTCTTCCCTAGGAGCCCTCTGGCGGGGACCTGCCTGAGAGTGTGATGGGCTCTCCCCCGCCCTCGGGGGCTGCCTTTTGTCCCAGTGCACTCAGGAAAACCGCCATGCCCTTTCCAACCTTCATGAGTGCTTAGGACCAAGAGTTGGGTAGAGCTCCAGAAGAGTTGAATTATTTTATTTGGCGTTCTAGAACCCAACTAGGAAAAGGAGTCTAAGGTTCTGGTTTATTTATTTATTTAATTAATTTTATTGTTTGTTTTTTATAGAGACAGGGTCTTACTCTGTCACCCAGGCTGGAGTGCAGTGGCGTGATCGCCGGTCACTGCAGCCTCCAGCTCCCAGGCTCCAATCTCAGCCTCTGGAGTAGCTGGGACCACAGGCATGCACCACCACAGCCATGCGCCACCACAGCTGGCTCATTTTTAAATTTTTTTGTAGAGACGAGGTCTCACTGAGTAGCCCAGGCTGTTCTCAAGCTCCCAGCCTCAAGAGATCCTTCCTCCTTGGCCTCACAAAGCGCTGGGATTGCAGGCAGGAGACCCCGTGTTCAGCCTAAGGTTCTGATTGGCTCTTCTCGTTGTCCTGTGGGCGAGGGGTTGGGGGAGTGGACCAGTTCCCAGAGCCAGCTGTGGATGTGGCGGGCTCCAGGGTCAGATCTTCCCCCCATCACCAGGAACGTTCCCCTCCTATCAGAATGAGGCTGTGTGGGGAGAGCGGACTTGCCCTCCACCCACTGGCAGATGAATCCCTGGTGCCCCGCAAAGAGCAGGCACTCCACAAACGTTTCCTGGATCAATCACGGAAAGAGAGGTTTTCACAGTGGTCATCCCCGGGGTCTCCAGGTATTAAAAATTTCCAGCCCAGCTCTGCCAGCAAAACACTGAGAACACTCCTGTACCCCGCAGCACGTGGCCTTGAGATCCACTTAGAACTTCGCGCCACGTCCACATCCCACGGCACCCCACTAAGCTCTGCAGAGAACTGTCTATAGATTCCTGCTCTGTGGCTTCCAGGGTGAGAATCCTGTCCCTTTCGTGAGCACAGAAGGTTGGAAAACAGGTATTTTCCAAATAGTTATTTTTACCCTGGTCAGTCATCCGGAAAAATATTAGATTCTATTTACGGTTAGGTTTGTTGGCAGTCACACTCTGCCGTGTTGCTTGGCACAGTGAACTGCCAGATTGCGTCAGGATACAGGGCCGCTCGAGCGACCGCCAAACACAAAGAGGGGAGGCTGCGCGGCCCCAGCTTCACTTCTAATAGGGCAGGACACACTAATCCAGTGTTTCCAGATCAGCAGTTTAGAGTGAATTCCAATTGCATATTGCTAAGGGAAACAGCATCCCCGGCACCTTCCCTGCTGAACCAGAGATGAGTCACGGCTGCCCGGGAAGAAACAAGGGCCAGACTGTCAGACGTGGAGAACCCAGGGTGCTTTACCCAGATAGAGGCAAAGTTCTGAACTTGTGTTCCTAGCTGTGGTTGGGGAGGGCTGTGGAGCAAGGGCTCTGGGGCCTGAAGTTTAGATTATCCGCATTGCCGTGGCCTTGGGTCATACAAACCCAGAGTCAAGAGCATCATTTTCTAGGGCCACATTTAAGGGGGACACTGAAAAGGGTCCCCATTTAAGGGTAACCAAAGGAGGGTGTCCTGGCTAATGAAAAACCAAAAACCAAGTTATAGGGGCCTACCCTGGAAGAGAGGAGTCGGGGGTAGAAGGAAGATTTCCAGTTTTAAAATACCCCAAGGTCTGTCCAACAAAAGAGAGATTGGCCTTAGCACGTTAGAAGTTGGTTGGTTGGTTTTACAACACAAAGAAAACTCTCCAAGCTGTGCTGTCCAGCCACGGGAACAGCTGCCGTGAAATTTCGTAGATATGTAAGTTTCCCGGGTTTCCCTAACAAAGGCCCATGAACTGGGTGGCTTCAAACAAGAGAAATGTATCCTCTCACAGTTCTGAGGACCAGAAATTTGAAATAGTTACCACTGGGCCTAAATCAGGTTGCCAGCAGGGCTGTGCTCCCAGGAGGCTCTGGGAGAATCCATTCCTTGCCTCTCTGCCCTCTGGTGGCTGCCGGCATTCCTTGGCTTGTGGCTGCATCACTCCTTTGTTTTCTTCTGCTGTTTTTTTTTTTTTTTTTTTTTTTGAGACAGGGTCTTGCTCTGTCACTCAGGCTGAAGTACAGTGGCACAGTCTCGGCTCACTGCAGCCTCCACCTCCTGGGTTCAATTAATCCTCCTAGCTCAGCCCCCCAAGTAGCTGGGACTATAGGCACACATCACTACGTCTGGCTAATGTTTGTGTTTTTTGTAAAGATAGGGTCTTGCTATATTGCCCAGGCTGGTTTCAAACTCCTGGGCTCAAGCCATCCGCCCACTTTGGCCTCCCAAAGTTCTGGGATTACAGATGTGAGCCACCACGCCCAGCCCTACTCCATCTTCAAGGTCAACATCTTTGTTTTTTCTCTATTCCAGCTTCATACCGCCTTCTCCTTTGTGTGTGTGTGTGTGTCTGTGTATAAATCCCCCCGATTCTCTTTTATAAGGACACTTGTGATTGCATTTAGGGTGTACCTGGGAAATCCAGGATTATCTTTCCATCTGAAGATACTTCACTGAATCACATCTGCAAAGATTCCTTTTCCAAATAAGGTCACAGTCGTAGGTTGCAGGGATTAGGACTTGATATCTTTGAAGCTCATTATTCAGCCTGCTACTGGTGATAGGAAAGCTTAGTAGTAAGGCAAGTGAACTTTGCTATTTCCTATTGTTCAGCTTTGCCATTTACTACCTACTTGACCTTTCTAGGCCTCAGTTTTGTCCTCTGTAAAATGGGGATCCTAGAAGAACTTATTACCTGGGATTGCTGTAAGGACTAAATAGGATAACATGGCTGGTGCACACAGTACCCAGGAAACATTACCTGTAACCATGTCGCTGATAGCTTGGCTGGTTTGTGACATGGATGTCATGGGAGGGAGTACTGCAGGGGGCTCACACCAGGGAGTTAATTTATAGCTCCCTGCAAGTTCCTACCGCTGCTATAATGCATGCTGCGTTAGCTTGGACACTGTGGACCTTAACTCATCATTGTTCCCTCAGTGTTTATGGTGATGCTGGGTGCATAGTAGAAGCTCAATTAAAAAAAATTGAGCCATAAGAAATTGGTGCCCTTATTGGTCAAACATGGTCAAATATGGACAATTCCAAATGCTTCAAGGTAACACACTGGAGAAAGGGCCACACAGATATTGGATGGGAACATTGTCCTCAGGGATAATGCATTTCTTTGGATTAGATGAGATTCTTTTACCCCAAATGCTTGCAATCTCTCTTAGTTGCAAAAGTCACTGACGGCAGCTTCTGCAGATGCCTCGGAGGGCTTCACAGCATTTGAAATGCCAGGTTTGCAGGTCCCCCATCCAGTGATCCAAAAACCCCCTGGCATCTTAATTTAAAGAGTAAATATACTTATTAAAAGAGGTAAAGCATGCATTGCCAGCCCCGTACCCTGTGAGACTTCTTTCCAAACACCATTCCTCTGCGTTCTTTTCAAATAAGTACGGGTGCCCTTTTAATTTTAACTCTGCTCCGTTCAGAAGCACTCCTTATAGAATGCGTTTTTAAATGGCCTGTAATCTGGGTGGGCCATCTGTTGTCCCACCCATGTGCTCTCTCGCTCTGCGTCAAGTTTGATATCTGAATGGCAACAAGGAGGCAAGGTTGGAGCCCTGGGTGTGGGCTGGGGGGCTGCTGTTATAGCTGCTGCGCCTGCTCGTGGCCGCCCCACTTTCCTGTTTGCAGGGCGTTTTGCTGTCACACCATCCTCCACCAACGTGGATTAAAAAAATGCTTGGGGCTGTGTCCTGACTGTACAAAAATAGAACAGTCAGTGCTTTTAGCAGACTTTTTGGAAAAGAAATTGTAGCCCGCCCTTCCTTTTTCAGTGAGACATATGTTCCCAAGGAACAGACTTTAAGAAGCCGGGTGGTTGTTAGAAGGCCAGGCAGTGAGTGGGGGGTCTTTTTGATTCCAGGGTTCTGGTGACCCTGGAGACGGGGGTGCCACCCACAATCTCAGGTCCCAAGCTTTGGGCCACCCTCAGTTGAAGCATTTCTGCTTTTCTTGCCACTAAAGAAAATATCATAAAGAATGAATCCATGTCTGTTTCCCTGACCAGTATGCCGAAAATCACTGGACAATCCTGTAAAAAGTATAGATGTGTCTTTTAAAAAACTACATTCTACCCCACATCCTAGAAGTGTTATTAGGACACATCAGAATTTGGATGGATGTCACTGATCCTGTCTGAGTGAAGCCTGTCCAGATTCCAGTAACAGATGCTCATCTGCTGGGAGGTGGAGTGGCAGGTTCTCAGTGAGGGAGCTCACCTACACAGGGACCAAGATTCAAAGGAGGCAGCTCAGTCTCAGGTTGGAAGGAGGAGACAGCAGGGCTATGTCGCGTGGTGGTGACTGGGCACTAAATTGGATTCTGAGCCTCTCAGCAGCCAAGGCGCAAAGGGAAATGAGTTGGACAGTGTTGGGTTTTTTTTGTTTTTGTTTTTGTTATTGAGAGAAAGCAGGCACATATGTCTAAAAGCAGAATTCTTTTCATGATACTAGAAAGCATATATCCTACCAGTCCTTACAGAAAAGGCTTTGGGAAGCCACACATTATAAAATTATTATTTTCTTTACCATGGTTTTGCAAAATATATTTTTAAAAGTTCTTTGTTGCTTATTTTTATAGAGCTTAAATTCTGATGTGAAAATTTTGGTGCGTAGACTGGGGGCCGTCTACTTTTTATATAATTCTTACTGCCCAGACACTTGCTGTACAGCCAGAATGTTTTTAACCAAAAAAGAGCTTCGATGCTATTTGAGCACTAGAATATATATAGGTTGGTACATCAGAGCTTTGCTCTCTGAGGCATGGATTTCAATAGGAAAGCATAAAAAGGGCAATAAAGGAAGCTCAGCCTGATTTCTGAGTCCGGCTTCCTGATGAGGCCATTGTTTATGGAGTGATGAGTCAGCCCAGTGCAGAAGTTCTCGTGCAAATGATCAAGTGCTTGTCATGAATCAGAGCAGCCCAGGGCCTCAGGAGAGGCTGGCAAGGCAGTATTTGTAGATGTGGCACAGAAACCTTACACTGTCGTGGCCATTGCTACAAATGTTTTCTGTACGATGACTGTATACGGGTCCCCAGAGAGACTGTTCTGACTTTCTAGTAACCACCGATTCCGGATCCCAGAGAGCCCCACGACTCAATGCTGTTCACTGTGTAGACAGAGGCACACTTGGATGACTCCCACCCTCTAACTTGGCTCAGTGATAGAGAGGCTGGGATTTCAACTTCAGACCTCTTGCTTCTCCATTTCATCTCAAATATCCCCATCACCTAATGCAATCCTGAGCTACCTTCCAAAATTACTCAGAAGCCTAGAGAGAGAGAAGATTGATACCTCTGTTTTGAATGAATGGGTTGCATTTATTATTGGAAAAAAAAACAGTGAGTGGGTCAGGTGCGGTGGCGCACACCTGTAATCCCAGCACTTTGGGAGGCTGAGGTGGGTGGATCACGAGGTCAGGAGTTCAAGACCATCCTGGCCAACATGGTGAAACCCCGTCTCTACTAAAAATGCAAAAAATTAGCCGGGCGTGGTGGCGAGTGCCTGTAATCCCAGCTACTCGGGAGGCTGAGGCAGAGAATTGCTTGAACCCGGGAGGCAGAGGTTGCAGTGAGCCGAGATCGCACCACTGCACTCCAGCCTGGGTGACAGAGTGAGACTCTGTCTCAAAACAAAAAACAAAAAATAGCCAGTGCTGTTCTGGATGGGTCAACTTGATCAATAAATCAGTGAGAACCAAGTTGAGATGAGGCTCTGTTACCTGCTTCAGAAGAGAAAGCCGCCCTCACTGACCCTTTGCTCATCTTCTCTGTCTGTGCTTTCGTAGATTGTCCTCCAGTCAGTGACTACGTGGTCCTCAACGTCACCAGTGACAGTTTTCAAGTATCCTGGCGTTTAAATTCTACACAGAACCACACTTTCCATGTCCGGGTTTACCGGGGTATGGAGTTGCTCAGGAGCGCCAGGACACAGAGCCAGGCACTGGCAGTGGCTGGGCTGGAGGCTGGAGTGCTGTACAGGGTGAAGACCAGCTACCAGGGGTGCGGGGCCGACGTCTCCACCACGCTGACCATCAAAACCAGTAAGGCCCCCAGTCAGAGACCCACGTTAGCTTGCGAGCTTGTCTTTCTATCCCAGGTCTGTGGCCCTAGCATGTCGCGTTCTTCTTCCTATAACCAGGGCACCAGAAGTCACTGACCGCCCTGCACTTCCTCCCTCCCCTCCCAGTCATCCCACTGCCTGCCCGGCATTGCACCGGCCCGCTGGTGCCTTCACTGGCTCCCTCGCTTCCCTACATGTCGTCCTGTTAGGGGTTCGTTCTGCCGTGTGAGGGGACAACATGTGGACTCAGAAGCACCAATAAGGCATCAGCTAGGGTGAAGCAAAGGAACAAAATAATAATAATAAAGCAGAAGGCGGCAGCTCCTGGCAGGCAGATCCGGACCCTGCCCGCTTACCCAGCAGCACTGAGGCCGTCTAAGTTCCCTCCCCGAGAGGGGAGCATCGCTGACGTTTTCACGCCTTGCTTCACTCATGATGCATGTAAAGCGAATGCCATGCCCACCACATTGGTGCTGGGACAAAACGTTTTTTCTTTTTGAGACAGGGTCTCGCTCTGTCACCCAGGCTGGAGTGTAGTGGTATGATCACAGCTCGCTGCGGCCTCGACCCCCTGGACTCAAGTGATCCTGCCACCTCAGCCTCCCTAGTAGCTGGGACCACAGGCACACACCACCACACCAGGCTAAATTTTTTATTTTTCATAAGGATGGAGTCTTGCCATGTTGCTCAGGCTGGTGTCAAACTCCTGGGCTCAAGTGATCTCAGGAGGCAACTTTTGTCTCCAAAACACACACGACACACACATGAACTTGGGGCTTGTGTCAGGAAGGCAGCCGGTGTGGCCCATCTGGGTCTGTCCCGGGCAGCCCACTTGGCTCTGCCCGTGTCTTGCTCCCCACTTGCCTGGTGCCCGTGGTGCCTAGACTTGGTCAGATGAGGCCTGGCTGGTGGAAGTTCTCCCCCAGGCTGGCATCTGTGGCTGTGGGGTGTGAATGTGGGGTTGCTGGGGCTCCATTCTGGTTCTGGGTTCCGATGTGTGTCCCTGACGTAGAGCCAGTGGGAGCCCTGGGCTGTGGGCTTTGGGCTTCATGTCTCAGCAGAGCGTACAGAGCATACAAGTTGCTGCATGAAGACCATACTGGGGCCTTTCTCACTCACAGGGGTTAATGCTAGTGACAGTGAGTGGTGGTGGAGAATGAATGGCGGAATGAGCGACCTTCTGTGGCTCGGCCCTACACCCTTTTCAAACTGATTTGGGGCGGACCTCAAGCTAAGTCCTCATAGCAGCCAGCACGGGCATCCAGAAAGCCCTCAAGCACCCCGGCCACCCTCGACACAAGCCCTCCACTGTGCACGCGGCATCCCATTCCAAGCTGACTCCACCTCATCTTCTCATTTCATTTCCAAAGTACACCAGGACTGAGGGGAGGGACACTCTTTTCCCTTTTTGGAAACTGAGGCCTGAGAGGCAGTTCCATTACAGAACCATCCTCCAGGGTACAAAATTGATCTCTATTGGGAAATGCAATAGGAACTTGCAGCTCCCTCCCCACCCCAGCAACCCCGTGCCCTCCTCACCCTCCCCACCCCAGCAACCCCATGCCCTCCTCACCCTCCCCACCCCACCAACCCTGTGCCCTCCTCACCCTCCCCACCCCAGCAACCCCGTGCCCTCCTCACCCTCCCCACCCCACCAACCCCGTGCCCTCCTCACCCTCCCCACCCCACCAACCCCGTGCCCTCCTCACCCTCCCCACCCACCAACCCCATGCCCTCACCCTCCCTACCCACCAACCCCGTGCCTTCAGGAAAAAAAATACCTGCATTCCAATGTCAGGCACAGATAATTTGGAAGACTCTAGAAGACTCTAGAATTACCAACCTATTCCACTTCCCAGCCTTGATTTTCTTTCCTTTTCCAGATTATAAAAATGCCCTTTTTTTGTAGAGCCCTTTTTTAAGGAGCCCAATTTGCTTTAAAGGCCTTGTCTAATTCCACCTTGTCATGAGCCTGTGACACCGGGAGGCAGCAGGGCAGGTGTTACGGTGGCAGCGGATGCCCAGAGCCTCCAGGGAGTCCAATTCCCAGGGCCCTGGAGGAGGCCGCCAGTCCACGGGGCTCTGCGATACGTCGGGGCCTGAGAATCGGAGGCCACATGGAGTGCTCCTCCCTCTTGCTAAGATGGGAGATTCACAGGGGCCCCAACTGGGAAATATACAATATATAACATTGGTGGCATTTCTGTGGCCTTAAGTGTGGCGTGCATAGGTGACACACTCTGATGGCCCGTAGCTTGCCAGCTGGGAGAGAGCCAGGGTGGGGCACAGCTGCAGGTGGCTGTTAGATAACTAGAGAAACATGCAGAATTGCCGCCGACCTGCTCCTGTGCCCGCCGACGCTTGGGTTGTGCATGCTGGGTTTCCTTTCAGTAATGAAAGATGAATATTCCCGTGTCCCATCTTGAAGCTTTTTTCCATCTTTGCTTATGCCCCAAAATAACGCAACCTCCCTTGTAAGTAAGCAACCCTACCATTTTGACTGGCAGAGTACGTTCTTGAGAAGTTGGACTTTCAGAGCTAAATTCTGGAACCTCCCGGGCAGGTTGGAACCCATTGGTCACCCTGATGTTGGGGGCCTGAGTAAGGGCCTCGTCGTGTGAGTACCTCCTGGGCCCTGTGGTTGTGAATAGGGCAAAGGAAGGCAGCAGCCACCCCACGGGAAAGGACCCTCCATGCTCTGGTTGAATCCCAGTTCCCGTGGGTATGGGCTGTGTGTGACGTTTGTACCTCCTTCCTGGGATGTCTCTGCCCTGGACATAAAAGTGTTTGTTTATTCTCTCGTTTCTTACATTTATTTCCCCCAATTAGGATACCTCAATCTAAGATTCATGCCTCAATCTATTAAAAAAAATTATCCCGCCAAAGAGTAGGCTTCATGGAAAACATTAACAGACAAGTGTGTGACTTTTGACCACAGGCTAATTTGTTTCACTGTCTGTCTCAGATGCCCAGGTATTTGAAGTCACAATAAAGATTGTAAACCACAACCTGACGGAGAAGTTACTCAACCGCAGCAGTGTGGAGTACCAGGACTTTTCTAGACAACTGCTTCACGAGGTAAAGCCACAATGCAGACAGAAATCTTTTCTTGGGTGTTCTGAGTGAGGACATCAAACACAAGCCGTTAATTCCTGCCCAGCTCTTCCTCTGGGATTGTGGCAAAAATACATGTTACTGCAGCTTCAGGGGAGGCCAAACCCAAATCGCACAGTGATTAGTCAAAAGCTTTCCCCCTGCTTTTATGGGGTACTTAATCCAGATACTGGGCCAATCCATCTTTAAGATATGTGCCTTTATTCAAATGGTGTACACCACTTACTCCTACTGTTGGATTTTCTGTGGAACCTTCTGTCTGAGGGCCCTGGCTTCCAGCTATGGGGTAGCTTCATTAGTGAAGCATTTACCAACAATCATGGCATCCATTCCTCCCTCGTGACTAAAGGGAGACATCAGCAGACAGCCAGGGAGAAGCAAGCCAGTGGGAAGCACCATCTATCCACAGATGGTGCATTGGAGGGAGAAGTGACTTCCTAAACTGCCAAGAATCACATAAAGTCTGAGGTTTTACCCTCCCTGCAAACTAACAAGTGAGTCTGCCACAGTTTCATGGATGCTGGCAGAAGACACGAGACTCCTGGGCCAGAGACGGAAGACTGTATTACTCCAGCACAGCAGGCAGCATGCGTGTGCTGCTGTGCCGGTTCCCCTTCCTGCACCCGAGTCCCGCAGAGGTGATGCAGAGGGGACCAGGGGCATGAAGCACACAAAGTGGGTCTGCACCTGAGCTGAGGAACCCCAACTCTAGGGAACCTGAATCTTTTATAATGGGTGCAAGCACTGGCTCCAGAAGGAGACATTATCTGTTACATCAGACAGTAACAAACCTGCCCTTTGCTCTGGAGGGAGCCAATATCTCTCCCTCCCAAGGCTGTTCACTATGCAAACATCCTTGGAAAGATATTCTGGAACAAAAGGGCAGTTAGTGCGTCTACTTGCAAGATGTGTAGAAATGCCAGAGACCCACAGAGTGTTGCTTCCCAACATTTGCCTGGAGGAGGAATCTGGTTTTCAATGTTTTCAGAGAATTCCCTCCCTTTTGAAATGTTAACTCACTTGTGTGTGCAAGTATGGGTTGGCACAAAGGCAGGGAACCAGGCTGGTATCTCCCTTGCTTGGGCATGGGTAGCCCTAAGCACCTGGCTCTGTGTGCGTGTTTTGTGTGGGATACAGCCTAGTAAGAGGGGGGACAGCTCCAAATAGCCATAGGCATTGTTCCTTGGTGGGGCCTCTCCATCTATCAATCAATCAGTCTTTCTCACACGCTCACACAAATGACCTTCGCACCAGTTTTCAGGACACTCAGAGGGGATTGTCCATCTGATGCTCCACAACTGGGAGCTTGATTGCAGTGGTCACTGTGAGTCCCCAGCACACACCAGGCCAGGCCCGGCCGTCCCAGGGAAAGCCCAGCTAAGGTGCTGTGAACGGACTTCTCTGCGTGCTCTGAGAGGTCGGTCGTCAGGTGCCTCCTCTTGATTGTAGAGGAGAGAAATGGCTCCAAGCACCATCCATCGGTCACACCTGGAACCCTGCTTAATGGTCGTGAAGACGTTGATGGATGTCTGCTGTTGCCTCTTCTTGGCTAGGTCGAGAGCTCCTTCCCACCAGTGGTGTCTGACTTGTACCGAAGTGGGAAGCTGAGAATGCAGATCGTGTCTCTCCAGGCGGGAAGTGTGGTCGTGAGGCTCAAGCTCACCGTGCAGGACCCCGGGTTTCCCATGGGCATCTCCACGCTGGCCCCCATACTCCAGCCCCTGTTGGCAAGCACAGTGTTCCAGATTGACCGGCAGGGGACACGCGTGCAAGGTATGGCCCAGCCACCCGCCCTGCTGCCTGGTGTCCTCCAGCTCAGAAATCCTCTTGGTGACTTTATTTGAGTCAGTCTTTCCTTTATTTCAAAGGGTAAAGAAATGCAAATCCTTATTCTATCTTCCTCCACCGGAACCAGGGGCCAGGGCAGTAGCCCTGAATAACTAGCTCACCTGTGTCTCATTGGTCAGCCCAGGACACTGAGTGAAATGGGGCTGGAAGGTACCCTCAGGGGAAAGGGACAGGAGTTCACTGTGTCTGTCGTCAGGGCCCCCCAGCACTTCTGGGCAGCGGGACAACTGCCCACCTGTGGGTCTATTTCTTTTCTTTTTTTCTTTTCTTTTTTTTCTTTTTCTTTTCTTTTCTTTTTTTTTTTAAGACAGAGTTTCGCTCTTGTTGCCCAGGCTGGAGTGCAATGGCACGATCTTGGCTCACTGCAACCTCCGCCTCCTAGGTTAAAGTGATTCTCCTGCCTCAGCTTCTCCAGTAGCTGGGATTATAGGCGCCTGCCACCACGCCTGGCTAATTTTTGTATTTTAAGTAGAGACAGGGTTTCACCGTGTTGGTCAGGCTGGTCTCGAACTCCTGACCTCAGGTGATCCACCTGCCTCAGCCTCCCAAGGTGCTGGGATTACAGGCGTGAGCCACCGCGCCCGGCCTCTGTGGGTCTATTTCATTACGCTGTGTGTTATTTCATTTTACTTGGTGTTGCCTTGAAGCAGGAGGTCATGGACACAGGACAGACACAAAGAGACAGAGAGATAAAGAGAGAGACAGAAAGGCACGGAGACCAGGTTCTTGCTGTCCTGCAGCAGGCACGGAGTTCTCTCCTGGCTGTGAGGGCACACACAGTCTCTAGATCCACAAGCTCCAGTTTTGGGCTCAATCTGTGGAGTGGGCACCTCTCTGGTCGTCTCCCGGGGTGCTGGGTCTTGGAGCTCAGCCACGTGCTGGCTTCCTGTCCCAACCTTCCCCCACCAGGAGGTGCCGGGAAGAACTGGGTTGGGTGTGGGGGGATCTACTCTTTGAAGTCATGCCTGGAAACCTCGGCCTGGGGTTACTCTGTTCACTTGGCACTCCCTAAGGATGGGGATACTACAGTGGCCCCTGTACCTGGTAAGATCCCACCTAGCTGGGCTGCAGGGTAGGGCCTGAGGTTGGGGTCCACAGGGTATGCCCCCAGCAGGGTCCTCAGTGTGTGACCCCGTGATCCAACCTTCAGGCGGATCCAGCCTTCAGGTGGATGCCACCCAGCCCGCCCTCCACACCTCCCTGCCTCCCTCCTCCCATCCTCTGGGACTAGGGCTCAGGCGATTCCAGATCCCTGCCAAATGAGAACCTCGGCAGCAGGGATGTCGTGGGTAGAATGGTGGCCCCCTCCAAAAAGATATGTTCACCTGGAACTTCAGAATGTGACCTTATTTAGAATAAGGGTGTTTGCAGACACGATTAAGTTAAGGATGTCAAGATGAGGTCCTCCTGCCGTTGGATTTGGGTTGGCCTGAAGTTCAGTGACAAGTGTTCTTATACGAGACAAGAGGAGGAGACACAGACACAGAGGCCAAGATTGGAGTGATGCAGCCACAAGCCAAAGGACTCCTGGAGCCACAAGATAAGACACTGGAAGAGGCCTGGGAAAGCCCCTTTCCTAGAGCCCCAGAGGGAGGGCGGCCCTGCTGACACCTGGAGTTTGGACTTCGCCTCCGGAACGGCGGGAATACATCTGTGCTGTTTCAGGCCCCCCAGCTGGTGTGTTTGTGATGGCAGCCACAGGAGACCCGTGTCTTGCACCTCTAGGACTGGATGAATCCATTGTAAGCATTCGCAGCACCCCACTCCCCACGCTGTTCAGTGGTCCTGCAGAAGTTATTAAGCTCCTTCTGCAGGCTCTTGCCCGGCAGGGTCCCGGGCAGGCTGTGGCCTGCTTCCTCCACATTTCAGAGCTGAGGTGCTGGTGCGGGCAGGTCTCCTGAGCTGGGGGGTCAGCTGTGTGGCCAGTGATGGTGACGCCTCAGGCCGTGCATGGCCGGGGAGGCGGCCCTGCCTCTGCACTCTTTTGACTCCATGACTACTGGTGTCTTCGGACGCCAGAGTCGGGGGAGCAACCATGGGGCACCGCCCCTGCCTGGGGAGGCAGCACGAGGCCTGAGCCCAGCTTACAGGGGGACATCCACCCCCGCTGAGAGCCCCACCTTCACGGCGAGGATCTGTAGAAGAAGACATTTGATATTACTCGGCAAAAAAAACAAGAAACGAAAACACAAAAAGAGCTCCTCTGAAGAAGAAAAGGTATTTGCGCTGTGGTCCACCTAGAAATAATGTTGTTGGCACAACTAGAGCATTCCTCAGTCATTCAGGAGCACTCCCTGCCGGTGCGTCCACATGTCCCAACCCCGATAGATGAGGCGCTGTTCGCCCGTGGAGGGGTCAGGTTGTCGTGACCTTATCTTTACCCTTAGGCCGTCCATCCCGGGGCCTGGGGTTTCCTGCGCCAGTCACGGTGGGCTGTGTAGGTGGCCATGTGTTCGGTCTTTCCCCAGGAGGTACGTACCATGTGCTGGGAGGCCTGGAGGCTGAGCCGCCCCCCGCGCCTATGAGTTGCACCCTCACAGCGGCGGCCAAACCTCCTGCTCACTTTGCCCCATAGGAAGAGGTTAGAGTGAGGCGGAACGGGTTGGAATCCCAGCTCTGACACTCACTCACTGTGGGATGCTGCACAAATGACTTCCTCTCCCTGGGCCTCAGTATACTCATCTGTGGAATGAGATTACAGCAACATCCCACCTCCTATGGCGATGGAGTAAATTAAGGCACAATGCCTGTGTGGGTTTAGCCCAGTGCCTGTGCATGGCGACAGTGCATTTCTGATGGCCCCTCCAGCGTTCAGGGCTAACTCTTCCAGGATTAACTTTCATATCTTGGATGAGAGCTCATCTAGGAAGGTCTCCTAGCAACCCCTGGGTTCCCACTGGTCCTTCCGCCTCACGGGGCTCCTTTTTGAACCCCTCACATCATTTCCATTCAATCTCTTGCTCCTAACAGCACGGCCCCTATTCCTTCTCTTTCCCAACATCTGCTCTCAGGAGAGATTCTCATACAGTGTGCATTTGTTCTAGAGTGAGGGTCATCACTGGGCTTCTATGAGGCACCGCTGTGAACCCTCTGCACCGACCTTAGCCAGAGGAGCAGGACTCCCACCGGCATCCTTCTGCGTAAGAGGCCTTGTGGGTCTTCTGGGGCTCTGGAATCAACGCCGCTTTTCCTGGGGCCAGAGTAGGTGGAGCTGAGCTCCCCAAAGCTTCCAGTTTGCTGCCTGCTCCCACCCGCCTCGCCACTGCGCGAGCCCTTTCCATCCCCTCTGCAGAGTGAGAGAAGGGCCGTGAGTGAGGATCCTGGCCTAGGGCTGTCACCATCCCCCTCACCTGCTGGCCAGGCTAACCTACTGCAGGCTGCTTCCTTTCCTTAGGTTCACGGGTACCGCTATTTGTCCAGCGTCCATTTGCGGTGGCATTAGGATGAGGTGCTCTGTGCCCTCTTTCTCCCAGTGTGAATCTGACACACGCCCCCAGGAGAGTCCGAGGGGCATCACTTCTGGAGGACGCCCTGGGCCCTGAAAGACAGCTCATGGTCCAACTGAGGAGCCTGCACCTTGCTGGGACAGGGTGGCCCAGGAGATCTGGGGTCTGTACCTGCTCCTGGACCCTCTCCAGCTTGTTGTTCTGGGTGGGGCCAGCTCAGGAGGGGCACCTGGGCTGGGAGTCTCTGAAGCAGCTGCCCCCATTGCTCCAGGAGAGGGCTCAGCCCTTGTCCCAGCTGCGGGGCCAGTGGGAGCAGTGTGCAGCGTCCTGCCCTGGGCTCTCGCTGGCTCTGCGCCCTCGCCTGGCCAGCCCGGGAGGGTGCAGAGGCTCACTGGCAGCTCTTCCTGCTCCCACACCTGCCTCTTCCTCTGAACTGGAGGGCCGGCAAGCCTCAAGGCTTAATGCAAGACTAAATACAGCTGTCAGCGCCTTCCTCTGAGCTCGCTTGGGAGCTGTCTGGGGGGACGGAGGAGTGAAGATTAGGTGAATCACCACGCCCCAAAATAGACATCAGGTGCTTGGTGGTTTGAGCCAGCGTCTTGCCTGGTGCCTCTGCTGTCCTCCGTGGACTGCAGCCCAGCCAGCCTAGGCTCCAACCCCAACCCGGAGCACCCCCAGGAGAGTTACCTGTAGGCTGGAGGTTGAGTAGCACCCCAGGAAGAGGTGTGGGTTGGCACCAGCAGTGTTCTGATGGCAAGGCAGCCCCCAGGCCATGCTAGGGTGGTGGCATAGCTGTTGTGGCAGCTGACGAGCTTGCTGTTCTCCAGGGAAGCTGCTTCTGTGGAGACCGCAGGAAGCACAACAGAAAAAAACCCACAAAACGAGCCTCAGAGCACTCAGCAGCAGGGTTTTCTTTGCCCAGAACTGAACTGGTCCTGCATCGTGGCTTAAATTCCACCTGAATTGGAACTTCTCTGGCATGCCGGGTGTGGGTTCGTTCCCGAGCACCTCCACCCGCAGCTCTACAGAAGCACGCGCAGAAGGCACTGTCACCTCCAGCAGGGCCTGGCCCTGACGACCTCGGCTCAGCCACCCCATGGGAGCTACATTGTCCTTGTCCTCACCTTCATTCCCCTCAGGCGGGCCCCCCGGTGACATGACATCACAAGTCTTTGGGCACAGGAGGAGGGACATACCTGTGGAGACACCCGGGTGCTCTAGAATATGGCGCGGGAAGTTCATGTTGTACTCCGCTGGACCCCACCCCCGGCGTGGGAAGTTCATGTTGTACTCAGGCTGACCCCCACCCCCCCCACGAGAGAAGTCCATGTTATACTCAGGCTGACCCCCACTCCTGGCATGTAAAGCTGGTGTTATGCTCAGCTGGACCCCCACCCCCGGTGTGGAAAGCTCATGTTATACTCCACTGGCCCCCACCCCCGGCGTGGAAAGCTGGTGTTATACTCCGCTGGACCCCCACCCCCGGCGTGGAAAGCTGGTGTTATACTCCGCTGGACCCCCACCCCCCATGCGGAAAGTTCACGTTATACTCAGCTGTGTCCCCACCCCTGGCTCAGTTACTTTCCTATTTCTTGGTTGAGACACTAAGTATTGGAGAATGTTGGCACATCAAAGAGAGAGGAGAAAACATTTCAAGTTTTGGGTGTGGAAACAGAATAAAGAAGAGAGGGCTACATGCACACCCATGGGTGCTAATATTTAAGGAATGAACATTTCCTAATCTTTGCCCCCAAATAAGCCAACCAATGTGAAGGTGGGCACAGGCAGGCCGTAAGGTTGTCATGAGAGTGTTGGACGGATGCCCCAAAATGCCCCTGCTCCCGGCCGTTCACTGCAAAGACGGCTAGGAAGGACTCCTTCCAGCATGGGTCTGTCTTCTGATCACTCTTTGGCTGTTTTCTCATGGGTTTTGATTGTGTCTCCCCCTGGCAGACTGGGACGAGTGTGTGGACAGCGCGGAACACGACTGCTCACCGGCTGCCTGGTGCATCAACCTGGAGGGCTCCTACACCTGCCAGTGCCGTACCACCAGGGACGCCACCCCCTCCCGCGCAGGCCGGGCCTGTGAGGGTACGTGTCGACCCCCCTGCCGACTCTGGGAAGACCCCCTGCCCGAGAATCTGGGGGTGGGGCAAAGCCCAATTCTCCATAGGCACAGGGCTGAGGACCTATGGTAATGTTAGGGGCCTACAGAAATGTTTTCATTTCAATTTATTTTAAAATCAGAAGAAAGAAATTAATAGAAGGATAGTAAATATACATAAAACAATGAATCTAGCTTGGATTACACTCATCTCTATCTAAATGCCATTATAAAATGTAATTTTTGATAGATTGTTAAGTGGAGGGGTGCAGGGGTCCATGAAGGCCAAGTTCCTTGGGCCCACAGAAGTCAGGATGCAGCCCGGGGTCGAGGGATTCCTTCCCCAGTGGCCTGGAGCCCGAGAGGGTGTGGCCTGGAGCCCGAGACAGTGTGGAAGCCCAGAGAAGCTGCAGAGAGGCCCGATGGGGGCCGCTGAGCTCTAGTCCTGCTGTATCGGCCCCCAGTCTTTTCTGTGGACCAGTTCTGATGAGTGGGTCGGGGATACCTGGGATGCTGAATTGAGCAGCAGGAGGAGGCCACGTAGGGACCTAAAATGCAGTGACTGATTAGCAATGTCGGCCCGGACACAGGCGTGGCAGAGGCGCCCAGCCACTGGCTTGCCAGCCCCTGCTGAGGGCTTTCTAGCTGGAAGGAGCAGCCGAGACCAGTTCCCTGGGGAGAATATTCCTTAGACACTGCGTGTGCTGTCCTGCTTCCTAACATCCCACACCTTGTCTTCTGTTTTTCTCATTCGCCTAATGTCCTGCAAGTCGATGACAGCATCCAGCACCAAGTCCCACATTGAGCACAAATCTGGGGGAAATTGTCCCATTTTCCCAGAGTCCTGATGGATTAATCTGAGGCCTATGAGAACCAAGCCCTGCATTCAAGCCCGGGTTTTGTAGCCCCCCGGGTGGATCCCTCACCCTCAACTTCAGTTTCCTCATTTATCCAGTGGAGAGGCGTGATTTGCCTTCAGAGAGCCCCGGGGAGGCTGCAAACATGGGCCCAGGAAACACTCCTGAACGCTGGCGCCCGCCTGCGTCCCTGGCCAGGTCCACTCCGGGATGCAGAGCAGTCCTGCTGGACGGCCATGCTGCCCTCCTGGGAGGGCTCTTACTCGTGGGTGGGATCCAGCAGGCTCTGACAGTGGATGTGTCTTGGCAGGTGACCTGGTGAGCCCCATGGGCGGTGGACTGTCTGCGGCAACAGGGGTAACGGTCCCAGGTCTTGGCACGGGAACAGCAGCCCTCGGCCTAGAGAACTTCACCTTGTCACCCAGTCCTGGGTACCCTCAGGGCACCCCGGCAGCAGGCCAGGCCTGGACCCCAGAGCCCTCACCCAGAAGAGGGGGCAGCAATGTGGTCGGGTATGACAGGAACAACACAGGAAAAGGCGTGGAGCAGGAGGTGCCCAGCACTGCCCCGGGTCTGGGGATGGACCAGGGGAGCCCCAGCCAGGTGAACCCCAGCCAGGGGAGCCCCAGCCAGGGGAGCCTCAGACAGGAGAGTACCAGCCAGGCGAGCCCCAGCCAGAGGAGCACCAGCCAGGGGAGCCCCAGCCAGGTGAACCCCAGCCAGCGGAGCACCAGCCACGCGAACTCCAGCCAGGGGAGCCCCAGCCAGGGGAGCCCCAGCCAGGAGAGCCCCAGCCAGGGGAGCACCAGCCAGGCGAGCCCCAGCCATAGGAACACTATCGGGGTGATAGGCACCACCTCCTCCCCGAAGGCTACTGGGTCAACCCACAGCTTCCCTCCTGGGGCCACAGATGGCCCACTGGCCCTCCCTGGACAGCTACAGGGAAACTCCATCATGGAGCCACCCTCCTGGCCTTCCCCTACTGAGGACCCCACCGGCCACTTCCTGTGGCATGCCACCCGTTCCACCCGGGAAACACTTCTGAATCCCACGTGGCTGCGAAATGAGGACAGTGGACCCTCCGGTTCTGTAGACCTGCCATTGACCTCCACCCTCACAGCTCTGAAGACCCCCGCCTGTGGTGAGTTCCTCGAATGGTGCATGGGGACTAGGACTAATAGGACCCATAGCCTGTGTGAGCCTCTGGGGCAAAGCTCCTGCAGCCGTGGAGTCGCAGGCTGCTAGCAATGCTCAGGCGGCATCCTCATCTTGTGCGTGTGGAAACGGAGGCACCCAGCAGCTGGTTTCTAGTTGAGTTAGGAAGACAGCTTGGTCCCCTTGCCTGTCCCAGATCTCTCTTCCCCATCTCTTAGGGCTCCCTGTCTGCAGCAGCTGGGGCGGAGGTCTGCCTTCAGGAGCAGGCTTTGGGCCTTACTTGTCGCGTTAGGTGCTGGAGCCATCCCCTGAGGTGTTGCCCACCCCCGCTGTCCTGCCTCCTAGCAGAACTGTGTCCCGGCCCCGATCAGTGTGATGACACCCCCACAACAACTCTGCACCCTCCCAGTAATGCTGCACTCCCATAGCTGTTCTGCACCCCTCAGCTGTTCCGTCACCCTGCCAAGCATTCTGCAGCCCTGCAGCTGCTCTGCACACCAAGGTGTGCTGCACCCCAGCTTTTCTGCACCCCCGGCTCTTCTGTACTCCCAGCTGTTCTGCACCTCCCCAGCTGTTCTGTATCTCCCCAGCTGCTCTGTATCTGCCTAGCTGTTCTATATGCCCCAGAGATTCTGCATTTCCCCAGCTGTTCTGCACCCCCAGTTGTTCTGCATCTCCCCAGTTCTTCTGCACCCCCAGCTGTTCTGCATCCCCAGCTGTTCTGTATCTGCCCAGCTGCTCTGTATCTCCCCAGCTGCTCTGTATCTGTCCAGCTGTTCTATATGCCCCAGAGATTCTGTATCTCCCCAGCTGTTCTGCACCCCCAGCTGTTCTGTACCCCCAGCTGTTTTGTACCTCCCAGCTCTTCTGTATCTCCCCAGCTCTTCTGTATCTCCCCACTGTTCTGCACCTCCATAGGTGTTCTGCACCTCCCCAGCTGTTTTGTGCCCCCTCAGCTGTTCTGCACCCACAGTTCTGTAGTTCCCCAGCTGTTCTTCACCCCAGATATTGAACCTCTGCAGATGCTCTGGATTGTCAGCTGTTCCGTACCCCCAGTTGTTTTTTTACCCCCTAAGTGTTCTGTACCCCCATCTGCTCTACACATCCAGAGTTCCTGCACCCCCCAGCTGTTATGCACCTCTAGTCATACCGTAACCCCCAGCAATTCCATGTTACTTGTAGAAGATTTAGCCATCACCAAACCCCCAGGTGACATCTCAGGAGATTCACAGCAGGAATCTGTGCAGGAGTTGGATCTCAGCCGTGACAGCCCTGTGAGCTTGCAGAGCTAGCCTGCCTCTGGATTTCATCCAAATGAGCTGTCAAATGTGATCTTCCTCAATGCATTTCCTCTGCTAAGCAGCACAGGCTCTAAGACTAAACTCTTAGCCCATGTAAGTCAGTATTACCGAGGGACCTGGGGTCTTCCTGTAAGAATGGCTCTCTAGCCAGCATTGTCACCAATGTCAACTCCTAGTTGGACCCTGGGTAAATCCACCCAGGGGTCAAGAGTAGACAGTCCATCTGAGGCGCCACCAAGAACCTGCTCAAGAGGCCTTCATTTTGGGGAGTCCAGGGGCCTCAGGGATGTATATGAACCATCTGCTGAAACAAAACAAAATCAGAAGCCATTTGCTATCATCCCAAGGAGGGGCAAGGATGCAGGCCCAGGAAGCCCGGGCTTGGGAGGTTTGTACAGGATCCTACTCACCCATCACCTCGGCGGCCATCACCTGCAAATCGCTCATGTCCCCATGGTGATGAATTTGATTTTTGGCATTGGGCGAGGCTTCTTTTCTCCTAGAAATGGCTTGATTGTAATTTTGGTGTTTATATTCCACTTCCCAGTTCCTGTCTCCATTGGGAGGATCATGGTCTCCAATGTGACCAGCACCGGCTTCCACCTGGCATGGGAGGCGGATCTTGCTATGGACTCCACCTTCCAGCTCACTCTGACTTCCATGTGGAGCCCTGCTGTGGTCCTAGAGACCTGGAACACGAGTGTGACACTGTCGGGGCTGGAGCCTGGGGTCTTGCACCTGGTTGAGATCATGGCCAAAGCATGTGGGAAAGAAGGTGCCAGAGCTCATCTGAAAGTGAGGACAGGTAATGGGCTTCCATTTGTTTTTAAAGAGAGGAACAAAAAGTATGAAAAAGACTTTCTGTGGGTTAAGGCTTAAGAGAGCTGGATTTGTTTATGGGCTGCTAGGTGTCATTGTTCTTCTCAGCTTAGGGACATCCGGCTGGCTTCAGCAGGCGTGCAATGACGGCCAGACAGGAGGTGGCTTATTCAGGAAAAGGCATTAGGCAGCCCACGGGTATGGAGGCGGCAGCAGAGTGCCATAGACTGCGCCTGGAAGGCTGCGGGTGCGGCTCACCCATGTCCTCCGGGGGAGGCAGCATGGAAAATGCATGCGGTGCTCATCTGTTGAGCTGCATCCACTCCCTCTGATCTCAACAGTCCTACAGAGGACTTGGCTTTCAGGAAGGACATCAACAGACAATCGGCAGTCACATGGATGATCTGTGAGCAGCCTGCCAGAGCCTGGGGCCACAAAGTAAAGAATTGAGCAATAATGAATCAAACATAGACTCCACTGCGTTCCAGCTGGACAGTGACAATATTACACATATTTGGATGAAATTCCTCTTTTCTTTTCATTAGCATCGCTACCTGGGTATTTTCTTATGTGTACCTTACCTGGGTAGTCAAGAGCGTGTCTGATGTTGCAAGCTGGTTTTCACGCCATGGGCAGCTTCCCAAGCGTTGATAGCAGTGGTCTGCACGGTGGGGCGCACACCCCTTGAGGGAGGTGTAGGATGGTTTCACACTGTGGGCAGCATTGATAGCAGTGGTCTGCACAGTGGGGCGCACACCCCTTGAGAGAGGCATAAGATGGTCTATTGGGATGCAATAATAGAAGTTGAGAACTATGTATGTGCTTTAAAGTACTAATCAGCCATGGCCTGAGAAATTAGAGAACAGATGGAGTGCATGACGTGAATTGTGCACGTTCACGAGCAGCTGGAGAGGAGGGAGATCAGTGCTGGCTGGACAGTCAGACAGGGTGGCTCTGGGGTCTGAGAGCCAGAGTTGGGCCTCTGAAGGTCTCAGCTGCTCTGGACGGGACAGGCTGCACGGGGGACCCCAAACCTGTGGGTGCACTTATACCTGCTCTCACCTGTGCACCTGTCCTGCTACTGATGGCTTTCAGACTGGGTTGCTCATGCCAGCCATGGAGACTGAACCAGAAGCCCTCAGGGGCAGCAACAACAATGATCTCAAGGACGTAGAGTTTGGGGTTCGCCCAGGAATGCATAGCAGAATGGCTCTGTGGTTTGTCTTAAACTTAGTGAGAAGCTCTGGGGAGATGGACTCTAAGCCCCCTGAGGGGAGAGCTGTGTCTTTCTCCTTCACTGTCTAGAATGCCTCTGGCGCATGGCAGGCGCTTTGCAAATATCTGGTGAGGGACTGACTGAACACTGGGGTGGCTGCCATGCCAGGGCCAGGATGGGATGGCGACATTCCTGGACCACATTTATGTGCCACATACTCCTAGAAGCCCTCTGCGGAGGGAAAAGATTCAGATGGAACAGATGATGCCAAAACAGGGACTGCCCATAGACCAGGGGAGGTGGGGCTGCTGGGGGAGGAAGAAGGACTGGCTCCAAACAAGACCCCTGGGCACCCTGTGGCCACGTGGACTCTGAGCAGAGGCCTGGCCAGGGCCCTAAGTCCTGTTATACCTGGGACAGCCCAGTTTGCACCCGTAGCCCTGGCAAAGTTATTTAATGGTGCCTCCACATGCTTCAAGTCATGCCAGCTTGCTGGGAAATTGTCTGAACCCCAGCATGGGGGAACGGCAGCAAGGAAGGAAGGCTATGTGTGGTGGGGAGACAGTTGCAGGGGCGAGCTGGCTCTGTGGCCTCTGGAAGGTTCTCCCACTGTGTTCAGGCTGTGTTCTGTGTCCTCTGGAATCTGATGGGCTGTGTCCCTGAGCCCTGGCACTATTCCTTCTTTCTAGAACACGGGTTGGCTTTGGTGTGATGCTCTTCCTGGACATGAAAATACATTTATTAATATTGAAATGTTAGTCTGTTATCTAATACAGCACCAATTCCAAATGTGCTTATCCTCCATCCTGCAGCAGCCCGGAAGCTCATTGGAAAGGTCAGAATCAAAAATGTCAGGTACTCAGAATCCTTTCGCAACGCAAGCAGCCAGGAGTATCGAGATTTCCTAGAACTATTCTTCAGGATGGTGAGTTGGTGATATCAGCCCTTAATTCCTTTCAGGAGGGAAAGGGTGGAAGGCTGATAGAATTCTAGGTTAGGCACGGTGGCTCACCCCTGTAATCCTAGCACTTTGGGAGGCAGAGGCGGGCAGATTGCCTGAGCTCAGGAGTTCAAGACCAGCCTGGGCAACATGGCAAAACCCCATCTCCACCAAAAAAAAAAAAAAAAAAAAAAATACAAAAAATGAGCCTGTCATGGTGGCGCATGTTTGTGACCTCAGCTACTCAGCAGGCTAAGGCAGGAGAATCTCTTGAACCCAGGAGGCAGAGGTTGCAGTAAGCCGAGATCGTGCCACTGCACTCTAGCCTGGACAACAGAGTGAAACCCTGTGGGAAAAAAAAAAAAAGAATTCTAGTCTCATCCAACTAGGAATTTGACCTATAGGTCCTATGAGCTCCTCATTTCTGAAGGAAGCCAGGACGTTAAGCTCTGGCCTGACTCCCTGAGTGTCCCTGGATCTGCCCCGGCGAAGACACGGTTAGCAGACAGGAGGCACAACTCTTCCTCTGCTGCATCCTTACTTCACACTTCACTTTCTGTCCAGTGAAACCTGTTTTTCAGTTGTGGAACCTATGAAGCAGAAAGTCCCTCCACGGTTTTTTTTTTTTAAACCTGTAAAAAATGAGATTTATTTCACAGACCATAAAATCTACTTTTAAACTGTACAATTCAGTGGTTTAGACTATTTTGCAAAATTGTGCAACCATCACTACTAATTCCAGAACATTTTCATCACCCAAAAAGAAACCTTATACCCATTAGAAGTCACTCGCAGCTGGGCATGGTGGCTCATGTCTATAATCCTAGCACTTTGGGAGGCTGAGGTGGGTGGATCGCCTGAGGTCAGGAGTTCTAGACTAGCCTGGCCAACATGGCGAAACCCCATCTCTACTAAAAATACAAAAATTAGCCGGATGTGGTGGCGGGTGCCTGTAATCCGAGGTACTCAGGAGGCTGAGGCAGGAGAATCGCTTGAAACCAGGAGGCAGAGGTTGCAGTGAGCTGAGATCTTGCCACTGCACTCCAGCCTAGGTGACAGAGCAAGACCCCATCTCAAAAACAGAAAAAAAAAAGTCACTCCCTCTCGCCACTTCCTCCAGCTCCTGGTAATCACTTATCTGCTTTTTGTCTCTATAGATTTGCCCATTGTGGACATTTCACAGAAACAGAATCATACAATATGTGACTTTTTGTGTCTGGCTTCTTTCAGTTAAAATGAGGTTTTCTGGTTTCATCCACGTGGCAGCATGTGTCAGCACTGGATTCCTTGTTATGGCTGGGGCATAACCCATGCAGTCTCATCCATTCATTCACCGAGCGCACTGGGCGGCTCCCGCCTTCTGTCTGTTATAAATAGTGCTGCAATGCCCCTGCCTCAGAGAAAGTTCTTTTCCTGCTCTTTCCTGCATTCCTCCCTGCCATCCCCTCAGCATTCTCCAGGATGCTATCTGTTACCATTTAGTGACATGCCTTCTTGTGGACTTTTTGAGGTATAGGGAGTGCCCTTGTCATAATCTAGTGATTTTGTTTGCACGGAATCTCACATTGTAGATTTCCTGAGTCTGAGCTCAGCACAGAGAGGGTTTGACATTGCCACCTAGTGGCCTGTCGTGGTAATACCGTAGCAGGGCTGCAAACCCCAGCGCTTCCCCCACAGATGAGAAGATTCGACAGCCTTTGGGAACGGCCTAGCTCATTCCCTGCTCCTGGTTTGTGCATTCAACAGTTGTTGACGGTTTGATTAATAATGTGATTTCATTGATAAGGTTAAATAGTAGTTAGAATATTAAACAACAAACACTGAATCCTTCCACCTGGCTCGAGTGGTCAAAAGAGGCAGCTCCGTTTCCTTCCCGAGTTTCTTGATTAATCTTTCCTCTTTGAACCATTTCTTCCTTTGCCCATTTTTGGGGTGTTGTTTTTCTGTTTGCCTAGAATTTCAGGACAGCAAATAATTATACAACTTAATCACAGAAGTAGGATGTTAAGAGAAATTTCGGGGGTTTCACTTGCTGATAACCGCAGACGTGGATGTCAGGAGGTGTTGGCTGCATGGCTTGGTCCCTGGCTCTTCACCACTTCCTAGCAAGGGGCCTGGAAGTTTGCTTAGAGGTTGGTTTGAAATGCAGCTAAAAGTCACATTAATCCAAGACTATGCCAGATTCCTCTGAGAGAAAGAGAGAGGGAAGAACTGATTGTGAAGATGGTCACGACAACAGTCATCTACTGAGCCAACCAAGGGCAGCTGTGGTCTCCCTGGGGTCCACAGGCTCTGAGAGGGACAATGGATCTGTTCACCTTGGTGGCCCAGAAGCCGGGAAGTGAGTCCATGACCCAGGCCTTGAGCCATCGCACCTGTGAGGACAAACCCTGGAAGTACCCATAGGAGGTTTGCACTGAGGATGATTGAAGCTCATTATAAGATTGTTTGCCTTTCTGAGTGCTTTGACCATGATGGGTTAGCATGGAATCAATCATATAGCGTGTGGTGTGTGACTGTGTCCAAAGAGACAGAGTAGAAAGCAGGGCGTTCGGGGGCAGGAACCCCCTGTCCTAATGGGGAAGTTGGAAATGCTCACAGGAAGCAGTCTGGGGAGAGGTAGGGAGGAAGAATGAAAGGGGACATGTTCTGCAGTGCCAGGAGCAAAAGAGCTGTTCCAGAGAAGGCAGCGGGAAGTGGTCTCCCTCCCCACGACCCTGCACTCAGCCCCCTGCCCTCGGTGGCTGCAAACCAGGAGTATTAGGTTCTAGAAGCCCTTGTGAGCCCCCAGCAAATTTTAAGCCCCATGAGGTAGGGTCTCTGCCTGTGCCCCCAAGTCCCACCCTCGCCCCACAGGCATCTTTCTGAAGCCGTTTACTGGTTTGGGGGGGGAAACAAGGGCTCTTCTCATATCACAGACACTCCCAGGCGTTTGTGCTGGGCTTGAAAACACAGCAGACAGGAAAGGGGCCCAGAACCAACCTGTGGCTTTTACTTTGTGCCACGGGCCAGCCCTGCTGCTGGGCAGACTGGCAGGAGGAACCGCCTTGAGACGGGCATCTGTTTCCTCTCAGCGTGGGGACCTCCTCACATGGCCTCTTTCCCCGCAGGTGCGGGGCTCCCTGCCAGCCACCATGTGTCAGCACATGGACGCTGGTGGGGTCAGGATGGAAGTCGTCAGCGTCACCAACGGCAGCATCGTGGTGGAGTTTCACTTGCTGATAATCGCAGATGTGGATGTCCAGGAGGTGTCAGCTGCATTTCTCACCGCCTTCCAGACCGTGCCTCTGCTGGAGGTGATCAGAGGCGACACCTTCATACAGGGTACGAGAGGCTGGGATGGAGCCTCTCCCGTGTTCTGGAACCAGAGGCAGCCAGAGGGCAGCCACCACCCTTCGCTTTTGAAAGATGTCGTGTTGTGCCCATGTGGTCCTTCTTCCCCCAGAATTAGATGAAGATGTGAAATAGATAGGACCCTGTCTGTCCCTCTTATTGTGATTATAATTGTGTAAAGGTTGAAGTGTTGAAAACATCTTTGGGTGAACCTGCAGATCCCCAGGGGTGCTGCTTTCTTTCCGGGTCGACTGCCCCCTCGCTGCTTGTTTCCATGGGCTGAGGGCAGATGCATCCCTCTCTGCAGCCAGACTCTCCCCCAAGCATAGTTCCCAAGGAGATCCCAGTAAAGATAATTAACGAGAAAAGCAGGGAGAAAAAGACAATTCAGATTCTTTTCTCCTATCATACTTGAACATAAATGATGAATGGCTTATAGTTACATGTATCAGAAACAAAAGACTTTTTAAAAATTGGAGATTCATATTAATTTTTTGATTTTTAGAATAAGAAGGACTTCCTAAAGAAAATACGATTTTTAGAGGAAAACGATGAGATGCTGACTGCATGCAGAGATAAATCAAAATAAAGGCACCATTTTAACGCAAAGTAAACAAAAAATTTTTCAATAATTTGGTGAAGTGTTAGTATCCCAAATATATAGAGAGATCATACAAATAGATAAATATTAAGAACCTGATGGATAAATGCACGAAAGCTCTACACAGACAAGGTATAAAAGAAGAAATATGAATGACTAACAAAGATGTGGTAACCCAAGACATCCCCATTAGAATGCATTGCACTGTTTGCCCATCAAATTGCAAACAAAAGGTCTCTTTACTGCTGACATGAATACTGGTGAAAGTGTAGTGAGGCAGGTGTTTGCACAGATTGCTGGTGGCAGAAGGATTTGCTCATGCTTCCTGGAAACCAGTTTGGTGACATAAATCAAACGCTTTCAAAGTGGCCATCCACTTGGATTCTGAAATATCAGCTCTACGACTTTGTCCTAAGGAATTTGATCTGTTTGGACCGTAGTTTAAATACAAAGATGTTCATCTTCAGTGTTACTTTAAAAGCCAAAGAGTTGGAAATCACCAATCATCCAGTAACAAAGAAGGTGCTAAGTTACCAGGTGTCCCCGCCCCGGGCTGTTATGCAATGATGAGAATAGCGGTTTGTGGATTTGCATGGAGCTAGTTGGTGGCAGAGGCAAGCTATGCTCTCAGAGCATGCCTGCATTTTAAAAGGCTGGAAGGAAATACGTCCACATGCTAACTTGCCCCTGGCCACGCTTTTCTGGTTCTTATCCATGTTCTGCAGTAAACCTGTTTTGCTGTCAACAATCAACCCAGCATCATGGCGAAAGGCAAATGGCCTGAGGGCCTTCTGCCCAGGGTTGGGCTTGCAGCCTGGGTCCCTTGGGCTGGACCGAGGTGGATCTGGGGGCCTGTGCATCTCCTGGTTACTCCCGGGAACTGAAGGGATGGCCCTGCTCTGCCCAGATCCCCCTCCCAGCCCTGGGCCAGAATCCTCCTTCCAGAACAGCCCCTGCAGACATACTTAGCCATTCCCAGCCCCAGCTTCAGGAAGCCTCCTGTACTTTCCAGAACTGGTGAGCTTGACTGCAGTCTGCTGTGGCTGGAGTTTCCAGCTTTGTCTGTGAGATGCACTCTCCCCCAACCAGGCTGCTGTGAGACCACAAGCCCCCAGGGATGTTCTTCTGTTTTGTCTTCTAAATGTTGTGCAGATTACGATGAGTGTGAAAGGAAGGAGGACGACTGTGTGCCGGGGACATCCTGTCGAAACACCCTCGGGTCTTTCACTTGTAGCTGCGAGGGAGGAGCCCCCGACTTCCCTGTGGAATATTCTGAGAGACCCTGTGAAGGTAATGTCGTCAGAGTTTCTTCTTCTGGAATACTGTATCATAATCGGTTTTTTTTAAGGACATTCACGTGCAAAGGGCTTCTTGTCCCTCTGAGGTCATATTTTTATGTCCTGGGGAAGTTTCCTGTGTGTGATGTGGGTGCACGTGTGTGTGTGTGTGTGTGATGTATGTGTACATGTGTGTACGTGTGTGCATGTTCCTTCCCATTCTTTCATATGTGTCCAGGCTTCTGGGCAGTGCCTTATCTCTCCAAGTGCTAGCTCTGATATCCATGGAGAGAAAATATACACATACATGAGGTGTGAACGTGCAGATGCTGAGCGACCGTCTTGTGAAACACGCAGCCGTGGGACACGCGACACAGGGGAATGTTTCCTCTTGGCCACTCTTTCCACCCAGCTCTTTTCCTGCTAAACGGGGTCTTAGTGGATTTAACACTGACCCCACGTTGGCCACTGCTATCCAGGAATCTGCGTCAAGTGAAGGGAGGTGGGCATTTATACCAGTGAGTGTGGTATCCGGGGGGCTATAGAACGTGTCCTGCTTGAGGTAGAATCAGGAAGCACAGAGGAGGCTAAGTTGCTTCAGTCCAGTGAGTGTGGCCAGGGAGGGCTTCCTGGAAGTGGTGTCTTGAAGCTGGTCTTAATGGATAGCTAAGATGGCACCCAGCAGGGAGGGCAGGGCATGGTGGGTGGGTGCCGTGGTGAGAACAGAGCTGGTGATGGGCGTGATCTCACATGCAGGGACCTGCAGGAGATGGGTGGCAGAGAGCGAGAAGCAGGCTGCCCAGGGAGGCGGGTGAGGCAGCAGCCAACTGTGAAGTCCTCAGCAATGGTTTGGACTATGGCCCAGAGACAGGAGTGAGCTGGGTGGAGCTGCAGGGTGCTGGGGCTGGGCAAGCCCCACTCTGAGATAAAAGAAGGCACAAACCAGGCCCACAGATGATGGAGCCACTGCTGAAGGAGGGTGGAGGGCACGTGCGGAGCTGTGTCTGGGGTCTGCTTCCATATAGACCACCCCGAGAACAGGTGGGTGGATTGGAAAGCTTTCCGGGCCCCTTGTTCTCCTAGGCATTGAAACTGAACCTGCTCTGGGGGCAAGAAGGGAGCTGGAGTGGGAAGTTTGGGCACAAGGACCTCAAGAGGAGGCATCATTACCCCATCTTAGAGAATAGACTCAGGGCTCTCAGGGCAGAAGACTCACCCTGTATCCACTGGCTTGGCACATCCCCGGCATCAGGTCCCTCGGTCCTTGGCCCTCGGGGGCCCATGGTGAGCCTGGATCCCTGAGCTGGTGGAAATGTGCAACATGTGCATGTGTGCGTGTGTGTGTGTCTGCACGTGTGTGCGTGCGTGTGTGCATGTGTGTGCATGTGTGTGCATCTCTGCGTGCATGTGTGTGCATGCACGTGTGTGTACGTGTGTGTGCATATGTGTGCGTGTGTGTGTGTGTGTGTGCACGTGTGTAGTTGTGGCTGGAACATGCGGTTCCCAGGTGTGGCTGCTGCAGAGTGCAGGGCAGCTCCAGTCTGCTCCTTACCCCTGCCCCTCCATGCCAACCCCAAACACAGAGCCACTCTTTGCCTTTTCCTCCTTGTGCCTTGCAGGTGACTCTCCTGGCAATGAAACCTGGGCCACCAGCCCAGAGAGGCCTCTCACCACAGCAGGGACCAAGGCTGCCTTTGTGCAAGGCACCAGCCCCACCCCCCAAGGCCTGCCCCAGCGGCTGAACCTGACCGGAGCAGTCAGGGTGCTCTGTGAGATCGAGAAGGTGGTTGTCGCCATCCAGAAGCGCTTCCTGCAGCAGGAATCCATCCCCGAGTCCTCGTTGTACCTCAGCCACCCCTCCTGCAACGTGAGCCACAGCAATGGCACACACGTGCTCCTGGAGGCCGGCTGGAGCGAGTGTGGGACCCTCATGCAGAGCGTAAGACCAGGAGAGCCAGGCTCAGGATGTACACTAGGGCGCAAGGGGCTCTAGGTTACATGGGCCTCGATGTGGGAGGGCCAGGCAAGACTCTGCACCCCGAGGGGAACCCAGCAAGGGGGGTTCAGGACAGGGTTGAGTTCTCAACCAGGGACCAGCCTGCACCCCAGAATCGGAAGGGAGCTGTGAGTCCACCCAGGAGGGACTCTGGTGCAGAGTGCTGGGGCAGGCTTCAGAGTCACGGCTTAAAACTCCTCCCTGCACAGACAGGATGAGAGGCAGTGGGACAGGAAGAGGCAGGAAAGCCAAGGAGTCCTGTGTGATATGAGAGTGTGTGTGTGTGAGTGTACGTGTGTGCATGTGTGCATGTGTCTGAATATGTCTGTGTATGTGGGGGTGTGCATGTGTGTGAATGTGTGTAAATGTGTGAATCTGTGTGTGCGAATGTGTATGTGTATATGCATGGCTGTGCTTATATGTACGTGCGTGTGTGTGTGCATGTGTATCGCGTGCTTGTGTGCGTGTGGGTGTGCATGCATGTATGAATGTGTGAGTGTGTGAATGTGAGAATGTGTCTATGTGCATGTGTGCATGTGTGCGTGAGTTGAGCATGTGTGGATGCGTTTGTCCATGTGTGAGTGTGTATGTATGGGTGTGTGTTTGGGGGGCATTGGATGGCATTAGTCAGAACTGCTCTGTCGGAGGGACTGTGTTCCTAGCGAACATTCTCTATTTCAGGGTCCTGGATGGGCTGTGGGGCTCCCGGGACAGAGGGAGCCCAGGTGGGGAAAGTGGGTTTTCCTGGCCTGAGGCCTTCGCACCTCTGTGTGCACAGATGGGCTCTGGCACCTCCCCTTGCAGGTGACTCTGGGCCAGTGCGTCCTGGGTCTACTCTGAGCCTCTAGTGTGTGGCACCCATGAGGTAGCTGACCTGGCTCCAGGTCCTGCTTCTTCCCAGGGTGCCTCTGTGTCACAGCGAACGCTCCCATGCAGGCCCTTGTTCGTCTCCAACCCCACTTGGCCACATGGAGCACAAAGGCTTCGTGTTCAGGGCCCTGCTTGGGGGACAAGAGGAGGGGAGAGCCAGCACCTTCCACCAGCTCAGCCTGGTACTGGACACAGGGGCCTGGGCCGCATGGGCCTGGGAGTGCAGGGTGGATCAGGGAAGCTGCCTGGAGGGGCCGGCGGCTTCAGAGGGAGCCCGTGCCGGCTCTGGGTTGGGGAAGTGGCCTTCTGGGAAGGGGCTCGACCTAGAAAGGAGGCCAGCGTCGTTCCAAGGGTGAGTGAGAGAGCTGTGAATGTATCCAAGGGCCATGCCGGGGGTGGCTAGATGAGGGAGGCTGGAAACCATGGCGGAGTTAAGAGTCTGTCCGAGTGGTTCTGGTCAGGTGGGCAGGGATGGAAGGGTGGACACTCATGGGCAGGGTGGGGTATGAGGCCTGGTGGGAAAGTGGGGCTGTGGATGGGGCTGAGCAGGGAGCAGTGCCTGGCCTAGGAGCCAGGGCCAGAAGGCTCTCCTAATGGGGACATTGTCCTCATCGGGAGCTAGGCAGGAATGGTGGTTCCTGGTCGTTGGCGGGAACTCTGGGCCCTGGGCTTCTGTCCCTCAGGACCTTTGAGCAGTCCAAGGCATTGCATTCTAAAAAAAGGGATTGGTTGGGGTGGTGCCCTGAAACCACCGTGGACCTGCTTGGCTGAGAGTTCTACATGCATGATGATGTTTAGTCCCTTAGCGACCGCATGGGTCAGGCATCATCATCCACGCTCTGCGGCTGAGCCCTGGGTGCTCGGCAGGGTCCATGGGAGTTCAGGGTCAAAGTCAACCTGACACCGAGAAGCAGCCCCGTCCCTGTGGCTCTGCCTCTTGAGGAGCCTTGAGGGGGTGCTGCTTCTGGTTGGGGGTCTGGACACACTCCTTAGTGGGGACAGGGCGGCCTCTGGCACTGGATGGGTCAAAGCTGTCAGATGAAACCCAGAGTCCTGGCATGGGGTGTCAATGTCTGGGAGCCGACAAAGTGGGAACCGGGTGGACGTCCTGAGCAGGAGGCTGGGACATGGACCTTGGGGCTGAGTAAGGAGCTAGCCCTGGGGAGCAGAGGCCAGAAAGCCCCAGGGGCTGAGGGATGAGGTGGGGAGGTGGGGCATAAGGTGATTCCATGGTGTGGAGCCTGCTTGGAGCCTGGAGCTGGGACTGAGGGTGGCCAGGAAGCTGAGGGATTCACGTGGACGCGTCGGAGGCCATTGCAGAGCACAAGCTTGCCTGGGAGGCACAGCTCACTCTGCCGAGCTCATTCCGCCCCCTCGGGGGCTCTTCAGATCCTCCCTGGGCTGAAGGAGTAACCTGCACTGTTTCAACAGCTACAAAACCTTCCTCACCCTTCAGCCCCTCAAATGGCACAACTTAAGCAGAACTGCCCAGAATTAGTTTTCTCCCTCAAAGCTTCTTAGACGGCCACCTGGAGGCCGAGCGTTGGCAGCAGGGGGGTGTCTGCAAGGGGGATGGGCGGTGATCAGTGGCTCCTGTGGCTTCTCGGCAGTTTCCCTGGTGAGGGAGGTCTGGGGTGAGAGGTGCATGTGGGCCGGGCCACAGCGGCATCCTCAAGCCTATGCAGGGCTCTTGCAGGGCTGCGGGGCCAAGTGGAGGGGCTGAGGGTGCAGGACAGCCTGCCTGGTGCTCAGATCGCCACCCACACAGCGGCAGCTCCAGTGGAGAGACAGCGCCTCCCAGGACTGGGGCCCTGGGCAGAGCCTGCAGCCGGCAGCTCCCTCTGTGTTTTTCTGAACCAGACCAATGCTTGGCTTGATTATTAAATGCAGCAGGGTTTGGGGCATGTTGAAAGAAAAGGGAATTTGTCTCTGATGACTCACCCAGTCCCTGAAATCCACAAGAGCTCTTGACGGTTTTTGACACTTGTCAAAAACTAAGTTTCCCAGAAAGACTTATTTGTGCAGCTGCCACGGAATCCCCACAGGTTCAGGTGCTGCCTCCTCTGGTCAATAGGGAATGAGCAGAGGCCGAGCCCTTAGGCTCTTAGGCAGTTTATGGTTGGGAGAATCGCCAGGATCTCGATGCTGCTGGGGAGAGGCTTTAGAGAAGAACCCCCATCCCCCCAGCACCTAGAGCCGTGGCCCACAGCAGGGCGTGGGGGGCCGGCTGGGGCCTGGGAGCTCCTCATGCTCCGCTTTGTGCTCAGAACATGACGAACACCGTGGTGAGGACCACGCTGAGGAACGACCTGTCCCAGGAGGGCATCATCCACCACCTGAAGATCCTGAGCCCCATCTACTGCGCCTTCCAGAATGACCTGCTGACATCCTCCGGCTTCACCCTGGAGTGGGGGTAAGGGAGAAATGCCCCGGCTGCCCCACAGCCACGTGCCTCCAGACCACCTGCGCTTTGAGAGTTCTTTAGGGTGTCAACCACTTAAGGACCCTTCCTTGAGATGGAATATACAAATGGGTGTGGCCTGGCTGCTCCCCAAATTTTGTTCCCTCTTCCCACTCAGGGCTAGCCAGAGAAGGCCAAATATGTCCCGTGGCCAATCCCATGGGATGGCCCCACTTCCAGTGAGCCACTGGCAGGCCGCCACCCAAGCCTCCATCAGGCACCACTTTTTCTATAATGGACCCCCCACCTTCCACTGAGTCTCCACCTATACAACTGAGGGAGGCAACCCCTGGACCAGCCAGCCCTGAATAAATGGCCTCCAAGTGCTCTCGTTTGGGGTTGAGGGGGTCTTCTCGTTCATTTGCACGTTCCTCTGGAGCTGTGTTTTAGGGGAGAAGTGGGAATGGGAGGGGCCACGATAATGCGCCTCCTGAAACATGCCTCCTGCAAGCTGCTTCCTCTTGCAGGGTTTACACCATCATCGAGGACCTCCACGGCGCTGGGAATTTTGTTACCGAAATGCAGTTGTTTATCGGAGACTCTCCCATACCTCAGAATTATAGCGTGTCTGCCAGTGACGATGTCAGGATCGAAGTGGGGCTCTACAGGCAGAAAAGCAACCTCAAGGTGGTCCTGACGGAGTGCTGGGCAACCCCGTCTAGCAACGCCCGGGACCCCATCACCTTCAGCTTCATTAACAACAGGTAGGGCTCAGGAGTGCAGGCACCCCCATCCAGCAATGCCTGGGGCTTTATTAACAATAGGTAGGGCTCAAGAATGCAGACATCCCCATCCAGCAATGCCCAGGGCTTCATTAACAATAGGTAGGGCTCAGGAGTGCAGGCACCCCTGTCCAGCAATGCCCAGGGCTTCATTAAGAACAGGTAGGGCTCAAGCAGGCACTGCCATTGCCTGGCCTTGCTGTGTGGCCAGCTCTGGGCTCTGCAGGATTTCCAGGCGAGTGCTGTCATGGACCTGGGTTTTGGGGAACAAATGAGGTGCCCGGTCCTCGACTTCCACGGAGCCTGTGGAATCTGCGAGTGTCGTCAGATGTAGTCGTGAGTAAACTCATCTGAGAACAAGGACAGCGGGGCTCGCTGACAAGCAAGGAGTCCCATTTCCTCTCTTCTCAGCTGCCCTGTGCCCAACACATACACCAACGTGATTGAGAACGGCAACTCCAATAAGGCCCAGTTCAAGCTGAGGATCTTTTCCTTTATCAACGACTCCATCGTCTACCTGCACTGCAAACTCCGCGTCTGCATGGAATCCCCCGGAGCCACGTGCAAAATCGTAAGTGTTTTTTGGTTTTCTAAACGTTTGGTTGGATTCACGTTCCTTATTGTTACGGTTCGAGGCTCTGTTAATAAAAACCTAGGGCTCGAGTGGCTCGGGGCCAACCTCTGGGAGGAGTCGCTGTGCCTGTCCTGCAGACTCCGCGTCTGAAATGGTATTTCCACGGCAGGCAGCCCTTGGACGGAGGACTCATGTGGACTGGTGGGCATTTCCCATTTCTCAATGGCTGAGCTGAGTTCCTTCTTGAGGCCATAATATTCAACCGGCTGTCGCGTCAGCACTGCCTTGCCATGATACCTAGTGCTTCTAAGGTGATTTATAGGTGTAAAAATATTTTTTAAATATTATTTTTAACAACATTGATGGAACATACTAAATATCAGACACTCTGTTATTTAATAAAGTTTTTTCCCCTTTCCTTTGTTCAACAATCATGCAGGGATAATTTTACATTCCTGTTTTCCTTAGATTTTTGAATTTGAAATATGCTTTGTAATCCTGAGGTTTGAAAACTGTGCTTTATATCACAGACAAGTACATGAGGTTCCCACATGTTGGTCGCCTGTTGTCTGAGGCAGGGGACAGCTTAGGGAGCTCCGCTGCTTTTTGCTCAGTGACCGAATGCTTCTCTCTCCTCGGAGGTAGTGCTTGTTCCTGCTCTCATCTGAGCTGTTTTCCTGGGTGACCAAGCTCTGAGCGTCTGCAGGACGTGGATAGAGAAGCAACACAAGGAAGGCTGATTCTGTTCATGTCTGTTTTGCTCAAACACTAGATCTTCCTGAGCAATGGGACAGAAGGAACCTCAGGTCCTAATGACAGCAGGCTGAGGGCCACACACGAGGAGCCTGCCCCTGGTTCCACTGGAGCCTCAGAGATGACAGGAGCACGGACAGCCACCGCCAGGCTTCGTCTCTGCAGGGAGCGGCTGGCTCTCAAGTTCTCTACAAGAGAATTCTTTACAAGAGGAGCGGCACACAGTGTGTTTTTCAAGCTCCTTTAGGATGGATAGATAGTGTATGAGCTTTCCGGGCTGCTGTAGGAACGTACCACAAACTGAGCGGCTTAAACAGTGGAAACTTATTGTCTCTGTTCTGGAGGCAGGAAGTCCAAGATGGAGGTGTCAGCCGGCTGGTTCCCTCTGAGAGTTCTAAAGGAAGGATCTGTCCCAGGCCTCTCTCCCAGCTTCTGGTGGCCTCGGGCGTTCCTTGGCTGGTAGACGGCATTTGCCCTGTCTCTCGGTGTTGCCTTCCCTCAGTACACATCTATGTTTGTGTCCAAATTTCCCCTTTACAGAGGGACACCAGCCATAGTGGATTAGGGCCCACCCTGATGACCTCAGCTTGATGATCTGTTTCCAAGTAAGGTCACATGCACAGGTGCTGGGATTTAGGACTTCAATCCCTTTTTGGAGGACATGTTGCAGCCCATCTCAGGCATCTAGTGAGCAGATCCCACCATGTCACTGAGCCAGGCAGTCTTTTTTGTAAGGCAAAGGTGTAAAGGGGAACAAATGGCTGCAGCAACCTTTGGAGAACACAGAGGGACTCTGAGGGCTGTGACCAAGACACAGTCCTCAAGGGACCCAAGGAAGCAGCTCTAGCAACCAAAAGCAGCTCAAGGGGTCTTCTCCAGCCTGCTGCTCTTGCAGACCTCACTTCCTTCCCCGCTGACGCCTGGGCCTGCCTCTTGTTGCACCAGGACCCACCACCCTGGTCTCACCAGGTCTCCCACTCCTCTGTCTAAACTCAGCCCCCTTGCCTTGCAACTTCTAGCAGGATAAAATCGCATACATCACATTAGCATCCTTGATAGTAGCTCCTTTCTCATAAATGTTGTTCAATTAATTTGACGTTTCTCTTCTTGGAAAAAAAAAAACAGAATTGCAATAACTTTCGGTTGCTGCAAAATAGTGAAACCTCTGCCACACACCAGATGTCCTGGGGACCCCTCATCCGGTCTGAAGGTGAGTTGATGACTTGGTTTAGACAATGAAAGAAAAGATGCAACCGATTCCTTTTCACCAGCATGTAAATAAAAAAGTAACTGTTGTGAAATGCAGAACTCTTGAGAGACTTCTAAGAGGCTTATCATAACAGAAATACTCATAGTTAGTATTCACTGAGAGCTGCTACGTGTCAGCCTGGCACTAAGTTCTTTACATGCAGAATGTAATATGCTCCTCTCAGCAACCCTATGGAGCATGAGCTATTACCATACCCATGCTACAGATGAAAAGACTGAGGCTTCAAGAGGCCAGGCACAAAGTTACATAATGAAATGTTTTGAGCTGCATAATATCAAGCTGGTGAAGTTTTCTGACACTGGGTAAATACATCCAGTGGGCTGTTAAGAGATAAGAACTCAAGCTATAATCAGGCCATGTCAACGTGTGTGTGTGTGTGTGTGTGTGTGCGTGCACACGAATGTGCATGCACAAGGAAAAGCTATTTTATTCAAAAGATGCAAAAAATGGCATATCTGTTCCCCCTCAGTTTAAAACTTCCATTAGCCAATTACATTGCATGTATTTTCAAAACCCCACATCAACTTTCCAGAAAAACATTTTATTTTCTATATGGTCCATCATCTTATTTTGAAAAAAAAATACATTGGTTTGGGGAAAATTGTGTGCTTTGGGTATTAAGAGAGAAACCGCTAGTTGTCCCGTAGTATCTGTTCTCCTCCCCTTTCATAGAAATAGCGTCCCCAGGTTTTGCTGGTACATGGCTGCCAGGAATAAAAACTGTAATTCCAACCTCCTGGCAGCTAAGTGTGGCCATGTAAGTTCTGACCAATGACACGTAAGTGGAAAAGTCATGTGACAACTTTTAGAGGTGCACCCTCCTTAAAAGACGTCTGTGCCTACCCTCTGCCTCTTTCTTCTTTAGGGCTGTGGGGCCCAGTCCTTGGAGGGATCTGGCTTCCCAGGACACCATGGGCAAGTGGCCAAGGCAGGCCTGGGTTCTGACCTCCACTTTTTTTTTTTTTTTTTTGAGACGGAGTTTTTCTCTGTCGCCCAGGCTGGAGTGCAGTGGTGCGATCTCAGCTCACTGCAAGCTCTGCCTCCTGGGTTCACACCATTCTCCTGCTTCCTACTCAGTCCCGAGTAACAGGGACTATGGGCACCCACCGCCACGCCCGGCTAATTTTTTGTATCTTTAGTAGAGACGGAGTTTCACTGTGTTAGCCAGGATGGTCTCGATCTCCTGACCTCATGATTTGCCCACCTCGGCCTCCCAAAGTGCTAGGATTACAGGCATGAGCCACTGCTCCCGGACTGACTCCCACTTTTATGACAGAAGGAAAGAAACTTCCATGTCCTTTAAGCCACTGCTATTTTGATTTTTTTCTCTTGCTTGCTGCTGAGCCTAATCCTAGTTGGTTTTCCTTTTTTTGTTGTTTTTTTCCCTAATCTTGATGACCCTCTCCCTTCTCTGTCTTTCCCTGTATGAGAACTTCTGGGGTTTGGATGCAGGGTGTGAGCCAGAATCTGAATGCTGCTCAGGTCTTGGCCATGAAGCTGGGGAACAGGAGGAGGGAGGTCTCGGCCATGAAGCTGGGGAACAGGAGGAGGGAGGTCTCGGCCATGAAGCTGGGGAACAGGAGGAGGGAGGTCTCAGCCATGAAGCTGGGGAACAGGAGGAGGGAGGTCTCAGCCATGAAGCTGGGGAACAGGAGGAGGGAGGTCTCGGCCATGAAGCTGGGGAACAGGAGGAGGGAGGTCTCGGCCATGAAGCTGGGGAGCAGGAGGAGGGAGGTCTCGGCCATGAAGCTGGGGAACAGGAGGAGGGAGGTCTTGGCCATGAAGCTGGGGAACAGGAGGGAGGTCTTGGCCAGTGACTCAACTGCTGGTTCTCATTTAAAGCATTTGGGAAACTAAAAAAGTAGACACAGGTCCCAGGCCACACCCCAGGCCTACACACAGAATCTCTAGAGTTGGGTCCCAGGCCCCTGAGCTGGTCATCAGGTGACTGTTGGTCAAGGTGCTGGGACAACCTGCTTCTCCTCACTCTTCATTTTCTTAATTTCCTGGGAAGAACGGGTCAGCCTATTTCTTTCACCCTATAAGAAATAGCATATGTGTGAAATATGTTCTCATTAATAGATAATGTGTTCTTTCATGAATAGAAATTAAACTTCCTCCTTCATTCATTGATATCATAGGGAATGTCATGACTAGGGGGTGAAAAGCACTAGACTTGGACTTGGGACACCTGAATTTGATTATAGGCTCTGACACTTATGAGCTGTATGGTTCATCCATCATCCACCCATACATCTATCTCATCTTTCCATCTATCATTTTTCCGTCCATCCATCCATCTACCCATTCATTCATCTATCCATCTATCATCCATCCATCCATTCATCCCTCCACTCATCTATCATCCATCCATCCATCTATCCATTGGTCATCCATCTATCCACCCATTCATTCATCTATTCATCTATCATCCATCCATCCATGCACTCATCTATCATCCATCCATCCATGTATCCATTGTTCATCCATCCATCCACCCATTCCTTCATCCATCTATCAACCATCCATCATCCATCCATCCACTCATCCAACCATACATTCATCTGTCATCCATCCATCCATTCAACTATCATCCATCTATCCACCATCATCCATCTATCATCATCCATTCGTCCATCTATCATTCATCCTTCTGTCATCCCTTCATTCATCCATCCATCCATCTATTCATCCATCCATCCTCCATCATCCATCCATCTGTTCATTAATCCATCCACCCACCCATCCATCCATCTATCCATCCACCCATTTATTCATTAATTCATTCATCTACTATGTTTCAGATACTCTGATTTTTCTTTGCAACATGCCCTCCCTACCTCATAAGGTTGTTGTGAGTGTCTAATGGTAACTAAGAATTCTTTGTGAGGCTAAGATTTGTGAGGTTGAAACTAGGCTCCCTGGATTCACAACTTGGCTCTGGCACTTAATAATTTTGTGGCTTTGTGCATGCTGCATATGAATTGTGCCTTATTTTCCTCATCTTTGAAAAGGGAATAATAATAATTCCTACTTCATAAAGAGCCTGGCCCATAGAAGTTATTGAATAAGTGCTACTTTTCACTTGTAACCAGTAGAGCACTACACTGGCATAACCAAAGCAGGAAGCACGGAATGTAATAAGGGTGTAATTTCTCACGTTCAAGAACAAGGACTGTAAATATTCATGTTGTTCAACATTCTTTCTCATTGTGTTAGTAGCTTTTGTTTGATCTATGACTATCATACAAATACACAGCAAAATCATTTAGACACATGGAATCTCCCAGTTGGTGGGGACTTGGCTGCATTTTAATAGTGTATATTAACAGAAACACTGTTGGAGACTGCAGAGATGAGAGGAGGCTGGCAGACAGGTTCCTCAGGACCTCACCGCTATCCGCGGCCTCTGAGATCCCACGCTCTGTCCCTGCCATCACCATCACCTCCGTTTCAGGGAAGAAATGAGAACAACTCAGAGATTTTAGGGAATGTGCCTAAGCTCACACAGCTGGTACCTGCACGAGCTGGGCCTGCGAGTGCAGATCCAGGCTGCTCATAACCCACTCTCCTCTCTCTGTCTCCTGGGGACTGAGCTGGCTTCATTTTGAGGCTTCCCTCCACCCCAGCCCTCACATCACACTCACGATGTCTTGGCACCACCACAACAAAGTCCCACAGCCTGGGTGGCTTGAACAACAGAAATCTGTTCTCTCTCAGTTCTGGAGGCCAGAAGTCCAAAATCAAGGTGCTGGCAAAGCCACAGTCTCTCGCAACATTGTAGGGCCAAGTCCTCCCTTGCCGCTTCCTCGTTTCTGCTGGATGTGCCCAATCTTTGGTGGACCTTGGCTTGCAGCTGCCTCCCTCCAGTCTCTGCCCCCGTCTGCACATGGCCTTCTTTTTATAAGGACACCAGTCATGTTGGACTAGGGGCCTATCTACCTGCTTAACTAGTTGCACCTGCAACAGTTCCATTTCCAAATAAGGCCATGCCCCACAGTACTAAGGGTTAGGATTTCAATATATCTGTTTTTTGTTTTGTTTTGTTTTGTTTTGTTTTGTTTCGTTTTGTTTTGTTTGAGACAGAGTCTCACTCTATTGCCAGGCTGGAGTGCAGTGGCATGATCTCGGCTCACTGCAACATCTGCCTCCTAGGTTCAAGCGATTCTCCTGTCTCGGCCTCTAGAGTAGCTGGGGCTGCAGGTGTTGTGGGCCACCACGCCAAGCTAATTTTTGTATTTTCAGTAGAGATGGAGTTTCACCATGTTGGCCAGGATGGTCTCGATCTCCTGACCTCATGATCTACCCACCTCAGCCTCCCAAAGTGTCAACATATCTGTTTTTGCAGGGGGTGAGGGGTTCACAGTTCAACACATAGGTAACCCTGTATATTGACAATTTAAGAAAGAATCCATTCGGGCATCTTCCCTGAATGTCTGCCACCAACAAATAGTACATCAGCATGATAATTTTTGCATATTCAGTTTTCGGAACTCCTCCATGGCCTTTCTTTTCCTAGCTGGCCCACTTATTTCACATTCATGAGCATGTCCCTGTGCTAAAAGGCCAAGAAATTTCGAGGATAGTGTCCAGGGAGTGCTCAATGTCCCAGCAGGAAGGGCCTGGAGCAATTACTGTAGCTGCTCAGCAGTGAGGAGACTGAGGCGGTGGCTGAGCTGGAACTCAAACCCCTGGAAGGGCCCTGTTTCCTCTGAACGCGGGTTCTTTTTTAATTTTTTAATTTTTAAAATTAGTTAATTAATTTATTTATTTTTGAGACAGAGTCTCGCTCTGTTGCCCAGGCTGGAGTGCAGTGGTGCGATCTCGGCTCACTGCAGCTTCTGCCTCCTGGGTTCAAGTGATTCTCCTGCCTCAGCCTCCTGAGTAGCTGGGACTACAGGCGCGCACTACCAAGTCTGGCTATTTTTTTTTTTTTTATATTTTTTTAGTAGAGACGGGGGTTTTACCATGTTGGCCAGGATGGTCTTGATCTCCTGACCTTGTGATCCGCCCGCCTCAGCCTCCCAAGGTTCTGGGATTATAGGCGTGAGCCACCTTGCCTGGCAATTTTTTATTTTACTTTAAGTTCTGGGATACATGTGCAGAACGTGCAGGTTGTTACATAGGTGTACATGTGCCACGGTGGTTTGCTGCACCCATCAACCCATCATCTAGGTTTTAAGCCTCACATGCCTTCTTCCCTTTCCCTCACTGGGTTATATCCCCCTTTACAAAAGCAGCCATTGCTGAATTTCAGCCGTCATTTAAATTTCCCCCGCATCGTGGACTGACATGTGGTCCAACGGTCACGATGCATACACAGCTCATGCCACACGCATGGAGCCTCCCTGAACAGGGAGATAGATGCCCTGTTTGGCAGGATGCCTCACCAGTGGCTGTGGGAAATTACCATCCACAGTTTTCAGGGCTTGCTCTCCACTTCTAGCTAATCTGGCCATGGGGAGTAACCATTCCTGGACTTTGGTGTCAGTCAGTGGGCAGCACTGGCCTGTGGACCCCCTGTGGCCAGCCCTGAGCTAGTGGTTCAGTTCGGAGCACACAGCTGCAGGTCACAGAAACCTAGCTGGAGAGGTGGCAACTGAACAGGGATGGGTCTTTCCCAGGGCTGAGAGTCCAGGGCCATTCCGGGCTGCAAAGGGCCAGCAGGAGCGGGTCTCCTTGGTCTTTCTACTCTGCATCCTCAGGGCGGCACCCCCCCTTGTGCTGGCAAGGTGGCCCGTCACTCGAGGCCCAGGAGGAAGGTCCACTACAGAGCCCCTGGGGGCTGGATTTAGTGTCCATCGTGATTTAGGAGTTGTCTGGGGAAGTGGCCGGCCGGGATCTGGGGGCCTCGGTTTCTTGGGGAGGGTGGAGTCACTTTGGCTGGAGGGTGGGAGGTGTTCCCTGTCCCTCTCTCTGGAGGAGGGATGGTGTGGTTCTAGCTGGCTTATGTTCAGCACCCCAGGGATCCGACAGTGCCATTGTTGGATGGCTTTGCTGATGGTGACGCTCCATGCTGTTCCCTGGGGGACACACAGCAGCGTCCACTCTGGGCAGACTGCCCGGAAATCAATACAGGGAATGAAAATGGGATCTCAGATGCTCCTGGTTGCACAGAAAGGCTGTTTCCAATGCAGACCTTCCTGATATGTGGGGATGAACACCCTGAGATGGAGGGGACTGGGTGGTGCAGGATGTGGCTGTGACCTGGCTATAGACGCCCTTGACAACGAATTATACCCACACACGGTGGGCAGAGGGTCACATCTCCCCCTGGGCTCATAGGGGCCAGCCAGAGAGCCAGCAGGCAGCTGGCATCTTTCTCAGGCAGCACAGTTTTTAAAAAATTAAACTGAGATGAAATTCACGTAACCTCAAGCTAACTGTGTTAGAGTAAACGACTCAGTGGTGTTTAGTACATTGAGAGTGTTTTATAGCCACCAACTCCATGTAGTTTCAAAACATTTTCCTCACCCTAAATGCAACTTCATACGCATGAGTCCCTCCCCATCCACCTTCCCCCTGTCTCTGAAAGTCACTCGTTTGCTTTCTGTTCAGTTCCGGGTAGTTCCTATGAACAGGGTCATGTTATTGGTGCCTCTTGGGCCTGGCTTCCTTCACTCAGTGCTTTCACTCAGCGTGACATCTTCAAGGTTCATTTACGTTGCAGTGGGTCAGCGCTTTACTCCTTTCACGGTTGGGTCATGTTCCATTGCACGGTGGGGCCACAATGTATGGATTCATTCACCTGTTGGTGGACACTTCAGTTGTTGCCACCCTTTGGCTGGTGCTGTGAACAGGGGTGTACAAATAGCTGTTTGAATCAGTTTTCACATCTTTTAGGGTCCGCACTCTGTTTTTCTTTTTTTTTGTTTCTTGTTTTTTTGTTTTGTTTTGTTTTGTTTTTTCTTTCTTTTTTGAGACCGAGTCTTGCTCTGTAACCAGTCTGGAGTACAGTGGCACGATCTCAGCTCACTGTAACCTCCGCCTCCTGTGTTCAAGTGATTCTCCTGCCTCAGCCTCCCGAGTAGCTGGGACTACAGACATGCGCCACCATGCCCGGCTAATTTTTGTATTTTTAGTAGAGACGGGGTTTCACCATGTGGGCCAGGATGGTCTCAATCTCTTGACCTTGTGACCCGCCCGCCTCAGCCCCGCAAAGTGCTGAGATTACAGTCGTCAGCCACTGCGCCCAGCCTGCACTCTCTATTTTTTAATTGCTCCTCTGGGTCTGGGGATGGCTCATTCCTCTGTGTTGTGGAGCCTGTGTAGGCCCAACCCGTGTGTCCATGCAGGGAATCTGACTGGGCTCTCCCCCTCCCACCAGGAGGACCTGCTGGTCCCGCGCAGCCCCACCCTCAAGGCCCAGGCCTCCCCAGGCTGCGCTGTCCTTACTGCAATGCTGTCCTGGGCTTGGACACCTTCCTCAGCTTTGGTAACCCACAGGCACACGGGTGCACACGTGGGCCTTGCATTCCCCGTGCTTCAGATCCATCAGCCCCGGATCCGGGTGGAGGGCTTGCTCTATCGCATTCCTCCCGTTTGTGCAGATCTCTCACCTGTGCCTGTCTCCTCCCCGAGGTGAGCCTCCTCATGCAGAAGCAGGCCTGGGTGCCGGTTATGTGGTCCTTATTGTGGTGGCCATCTTCGTGCTGGTGGCGGGAACAGCCACCCTTCTGATCGTGCGCTACCAGAGAATGAATGGGAGATACAACTTTAAAATCCAGTCCAACAACTTCAGCTACCAGGTGTTCTACGAATAGGAGGCGCAGGCTGACAGGAAGGTGGGTGCGGAGTGGGGTGGGAGGTGCAGGCTGACAGGAAGGTGGGTGTGGAGTGGGGTGGGAGGTGCAGGCTGACAGGAGGGTGGGTGCGGAGTGGGGTGGGAGGTGTAGGCTGACAGGAAGGTGGGTGTGGAGTGGGGTAGGAGGTGCAGGCTGATAAGAAGGTGGGTGCGGAGTGGGGGCATCTGATGTGCATGTCCTGCCTTGCCATCCATGGTGATGGGGACGGCCAGCAGGATTCAGCCAAGGGTAGATATGTGTGTGTCTGTGTTTTGTGGCCCTTTACGGAGCGTGCAGCCTCCCTTCTGAAAAAGCAACCAGGAGCAGGCAGAGAGGGGAAACTACAGGTAGGTTGGTGAAGGTTCGATCGCTTCACACACCCACTGGACTGGCTCCACGATACCAGCGGCAGTGCTATATGGGTGACCACAGGACCCAGGGGCCCACCACAAATCCCATCTCTGCCACCCACTCTCTTGACCACCCGGGCAAGGTCCTGAGCCTCTTGGTGCCTCGGTTTCATCATTTGTAAAAGAAACCATGGTAACATTTCCGGCCACGTGGAGGGTGTGAGATTTAAATGGGAAGATGCCCAAGAGGCCCCGCTATGGGGTCTGACGCCCTCAATTGCTGGTGGATCCTAACGATGGTCCTCGGCCGAGTGTCCCTGAAACCTGGTGCTCGTAGGGATTGTCACGTGTGGTGTGGATGCCACAGTGGACCCCCCACACCTTGCTGCTCATGCCCGCAGCCCCGACTTATGTATGACCTTTTGAGGCTGAAGATGCTTCTCTGATCTGCCCTGTGGACTTTTGTTTTTCCTGGGCCTGCACATAGTTCACCACAAATGAATGACAAGCATTATGGAGGGCAGTATGGTTAGTATAAACCTTCAGTGGGAAACACCAAGACTGGGACTTTTGTAAAGATTTTCAGATTTTTTTTTTTTTTGAGATGGAGTTTTGCTCTTGTTGCCCAGGTTGGAGTGCAGTGGTGCGATCTTGGCTCACCACAACCTCCACCTCCCAGGTTAAAGCGATTCTCCTGTCTCAGCCTCCTGAGTAGCTGGGATTACAGGCATGCGCCACCACACCCAGCTAGTTTTGTATTTTTAGTAGATACAGGGTTTCTCCATGTTGGTCAGGCTGGTCTCCAACTCCTGACCTCAGGTGATCCACCCGTCTCGGCCTCTCAAAGTGCTGGGATTACAGGCGTGAGCCACCGTGCCCGGCCAAATTTTGAGATTTTTCTAAAAAAAGAACATGCCTGTAATCCTAGCACTTTTGGAGGCCAAGGCAGGAGGATCGCTTAAGCTTAGGAGTTCCAGACCAGCCTGGGCAAGATAGAAAGACTCCATCTCTACAAAAAATACAAAAATAAGCCGGGTGTGGTGGCACACACCTGTGGTCCCAGCTACTTGGGAGGCTGAGGTGGAAGGATCCCTTGAGCTCGAGAGGTGGAGGTTGCAGTGAGCCGAGACTGCCCCACTACACTCCAGAGGGGAACCCTGCCTCAAAAATAAATAAATACTAATAAAAGAAGAAGAGAAGCAATCATGAGGCTTATCTGGCAGCGTGTGAGACTGCTGACTCCAAATGCTGTAAGGGAAGCATGCGGCTTCGGCTTCTGGGGAGGCCTCAGGAAACTTACAATCATGGCAGAAGACCAAGGGGAAGCAGGCACGTCTTCCATGGCTGGAGCAGGAGGAAGGGGTTGGGGCAGGTGCTACAGATGTTTAATCAACCAGATCTTATGAGAGCTCTATCGTGAGACAGCACCAAGAGGATGGTGCTAAATCATTTATGAAGGATCCGCCCCATGATCCAACCACCTCCCACCAGGCCCCACCTTTAATATGGGGATCACATTGAACATGAAATTTGGGTGGGGACACAGACCCACACCATATCAACTGCCCACCCTCTCAGCCAACAGGAGAACAAGGAAAGACGAGAGGCCAATTTTCCCTCGATGTTTTAATTTCAAGGAGGGGGACATCCAGCATGACCCAGCACCGACCCACCAGATGTCCTTAGAAAGCTAGTGGGATAGTGTTGGCCTCATCGCTGGGATTCGCATCTTAAATATTAAGTAAAAGGCACTGACATTTCCTCGTAACTCTATCTAGGGAGGTGACTGGTCTCTAGCACTGGTCCCGTCTATGCTGTAAGGGTCCTGAGACCCCAGAATACTGCGCATGTTAGTTACCAGGAGTCCTGGCAGGAGAGACGGGAAAGACAAAGCTAACACAAGCGTCCCCCTCACATGGGCAGAATCACTTCCACAAGCGGGTGGCGTTTTCTTTGAAGTTGCCCAGCAAGGGCAGCATGGAGGTTGCCTTTTGGAAACGTGTGCTGTAGTCTGGGCTTTGCTGGTGACCTGGGAGGATTGGCTTGAGTTCTCTGGGCCCCATTTCCTCATTTTAAGATTGGAGCCAGTGTCTACTACACTTTGCTGAGTTGTTTCAAAAATCTGTTATCTCAAGAAAATAAGGACCTGAGCACAGGAAAGATGGGCTGGGCTGGAGAAGCTGCCTGCCCGACGAAGAGGGGGTGGGCTGATGTTGACAATGTCTGTTGTTTCCCAACATCCCCGTGAGGTTGTGCTGTTATTAGCATCCTGTGTTATAGATGGGAATCCAGGGCAGAAAGGGATAGACGTCCCAGGTCACGTGGCTAGGAGGTCCAGGGCAAGAAGGGATAGGTGTCCCAGGTCACGTGGCTAGGAGGTCCAGGGCAGGAAGGGATGTGTCCCAGGTCACGTGGTTGGGAGGTCCAGGGCAGGAAGGGATAGGCCTCCCAGGTCACATGGCTGGGAGGTGGCCGAGCTGGGGCTGCATGGGATTTCCGTTTGGCTCTGGGGTCAGCTCTCTTAGCTACCAAGCTTAGAGCCTTTCTTACACTAGTGTTCACATGACTGATGGACCCTTAGAACAATGCCCCTTGCCTTTCCCCTTCATCAGAGACCCGGAGAATTTGTATTTTAGCAGCTGTGCAAGGGGATCCACAATTCTTAATTCTTGCAGTGGGGACACCAGGTGTCCCAGTTGAGAGGCAGCAACTGTTGTGGTTACAGGGAAGGAGCCTTCCCAGGACCCCTGAGCCTCCCCGGGAGGCAGGTGCTGCTGCTCAATTGTGGTCTGGGTCCTCAGCCACCTCCGGGGATCCCAAAGGGGCAGGGAACAACAGCGAAGTTTCAGTTCAACTTTACACTCTAATAGTGAAAAATAAGGAAGCTTCCTCAGTTTGGTAGCTTTTGGCCTCTGGTTTGGGGCCCATGGGGTTTGGGCCATGAAGACCCCCTCCTCACCAACCCCATTGCCTCCCATCCTGGGCAGGAGACATTGTCAATACCAGCCCGCCCCCTCTTCGTCAGGCAGGCAGCTTCCCCAGCCAAGCCCGTCTTCCCTGTGCTCAGGTCCTTATTTTCTTGAGATAACAGATTTTTGAAACAACTCAGCAAAGTATAGTAGACACTGGCTCCAATCTTAAAATGAGGAAATGGGGCCCAGAGAACTCAAGCCAATCCTCCCAGGTCACCAGCAAAGCCCAGACTACAGCACACGTTTCCAAAAGGCAACCTCCATGCTGCCCTTGCTGGGCAACTTCAGAGAAAACACCACCCGCCTGTGGATGTGATTCTGCCCATGTGAGGGGGATGCTTGTGTTAGCTTTGTCTTTCCCGTCTCTCCTGCCAGGACTCCTGGTAACTAACATACGCAGTATTCTGGGGTCTCAGGACCCTTACAGCATAGACAGGGCCAGTGCTAGAGGCCAGTCACCTCCCTAGATAGAGTTACGAGGAAATGTCAGTGCCTTTTACTTAATATTTAAGATGCGAATCCCAGCGATGAGGCCAACACTATCCCGCTAGCTTTCTAAGGAAATCTGGTGTATTGGTGCTGGGTCATGCTGGATGTCCCCTTCCTCGAAATTAAAACATCCGAGGGAAAACTGGCCTCTTGTCTTTCTTTGTTCTCCCGGGGCTCCTGTCTTTCGAAGTGAGAACTGTCTCACCAGTTCTAAAGTTCCTGCAGACATCTGCTCTTTGAAAACCATCAGCCAACCCACCCACCCCCACCAGGTCGACCCTTGGGCAGCCCCACTCAGAGATGTTCCCAGAGTCCTGGTGGGTTCTCCACGGATGGTGCAAAGGTGCAGGGGCCCCAGCTGTGCTCGTCTGGCTCAGGTATCTTCACCAGCCACCCCCACCAGTTGGCGTGTCAGGAGCATCGCTCACCTGAGGGCAGGCACAGCCCCATGGTCCCCGTTCCACTGGGCACTCTGGGAGTGGCTGCCTTTTCATTAGGGGCTTGATCTGTCCCTCTCCAGTAAACATAGACGCCATGTCCTCGGGTTGGTGTTTCCTCCACTACCCCTCCTCCTGGGGTTTTCTGTATTAACTTTACCTTTCCTGCGTGCAAGCTGACCCAGGTGACCTCTTCCTCCACACAGGTCGCCGTGAGTCAAGCTGCCTCCAGAACCTCAGAGCTTCCCTGGTGGGCTCCCCCGGGATCCCCAGTGTCTCTCTGCACCTCCACCCATCCCTCGGTTCTTAACTCTTCAAGCCTTAACGGAGGTCTGCTCTGACGGGTGGGCTCTGCCAGAGCCCGGGTGAGCCCAGAAAGGAAGACAGCAGCCACCGTCTGTCCCGAAGAGGCAGGCCGTCCTGTAGGTCCTAGAGGAGCCACAGCCCAGGGGCAGATGAAGGGGCTGCGGAAGACGGGGGCAGTCCTGGGGGTGCTGCGGCTACACCACCACCCGCGCGGCCCCCGCAGCCTAGACCTCCCAGGCCTGTGACCCTCCACACCAGCCCTCAGAACCCTCCTGGGCTTGCCCTCCCTTGGCGTCCGTCACCCTTTGGCAAATATAGAATATTTCACATTCTCAGAGAGACCCGACCGCGCTCTTGATGCTCTTTCGAAAATAGGTCAGTCTTAGAAATACACTGCTAATGTTATTTTTAGTGGATGTTTATGCTGTTTGACTTTTCTCCTGTGTACCAAGGTATTGCTTTTATTTACACGACAGCGACTCAAAAGGCACTCGATTAATGTGACAACCTTTTCAATAAGCAGAAATAACGTAGGTACACATCACTCTTTACATTTTTCTAAGCATTTTCACAGCCGTTTCTTCATATAATCCGACCACAGTGGGAGGTGTGATTTACCCATTACACAATGAGAAACCAGAGGAGCCGATGAGTTACTTAATTGAGGTCACAGAATGAATTAGCAAGAAAATGGTTCTAAAATCTAAGTATTTTAGTCTAGAATTTTCTCCATTACATCATCCTAAGAGATAATGCTCTGTACTTCATTTGAAATAAACTGGAATTGTATTAGATAGCTCACACCTGAAAGTAGAGTGTTTTTCCTCAGTGAACTTAGAATTATAACATGGCCTTAGTTTTCAACCCATGATACTAATTTTGTTGAATATAATTAATTGTCATTCATACAGAACATTTGGGGAAAGGAGTATTTTGATTTACTGGATATTCTCAGAGTCAGTAAAGAATGACAGTGGGTAATATGTGTGGATCACAGATTCTGATCAAGTAGAATCAATCGCATAAGACACTGAAATGTGGCTGGTTGTGCTGGATGCTCCATTTGGGATGGTCCATCACAGGCTCGCTGAGCATCCAACGAGGGCCGGTGCTGTGTTGGGCACGCTGGGGAGGCCAGAAACGCATCTCTGGTTCTTCCCAAGTCATGTCCCGCTGTTCTGATGTCAGCTGAGGAGCTTTCACTTGCCTTTCTTGGAAGAGCATGACACATATTCAGTAAAACCAGCTGTTGAGCCCCATGACTGTGTGGCTCTTTGGATTTCAGATAAAGTCATTGACATATATTTAAAAACCCTGTCTTTCAAACTTCATCTACAGTTTTCAAGTAATTTTTTTTTTTTTGAGACAAAGTCTCGCTCTTGTTGTCCAGGCGGGAGTGCAATGGCGTGACCTCGGCTCACTGCAACCTCCACCTCCCGTGTTCAAGCAATTCTCCTGCCTCAGCCTCCTGAGCAGTTGGGATTACAGGCTCCTGCCAACACGCCTGGCTAATTTTTGTATTTTTAGTAGAGATGGGGTTTCACCATGTTGGCCAGGCTGGTCTCGAACTTCTGACCTCAGGTGATTCACCTGCCTCAGCCTCTCAAAGTGCTGGGATTACAGGCATGAGCCGCTGCGCCTGGCCTCATGTAATCTTAATACATGTGCCACGTCTGTTCATTTGTGTTTTCTGTAATAATGAAAACTTGGTTTCCTGTCATCCTACCTCCCCCATCCAAGTCTATTCTTCGACAAACACTTCCTGAGCACTCACAGTGCTCCAGGCCCTGAGCTTAGCGCTCTGGGCGAAGTGATGAGAGGGACAGACCAAGCCCTGCCCTCACAGAGCACACGGTCTTGTGGGGGAGGGAGACGCTGAAGTCAGATGATGACAGCCATGGTAAGTACTGAGAGTGATGATTGCATGTGTGCTGTGAGATGCCCCTGACCTGGTCCCTTCATCCACCCATCTAACCATCTAACCATCTACCCATCCATTCACCCACCGACCCAACCACCCATTTGTCCACCTGTTCACACATCCGCTCGTCTGTCCATCCATCCACCCACCCACCCATCCACCCATTCACCCATCCATCTGTCTGTTCATCCATCCAACCATCCATTCATCTATTCAACCATCCATCCATTCATCCACTCAACCATTTATCGATCCATTCATCCAACCACTCACCCATGCATTCACCCACTCATCCACCCCTCCATCCATCCATCCACCTCCATCCACCCATCCACCCAACCATCTGACTGACCATCCACTCAACCATCCATCCATCCATCCATCCATCCACCCACCCATCCATCCACCCATCCATCCATCCATCCATCCATCCAACCAAGGAATGTGTATTGAGTCCCAGTTTATATACTGACATGAGGAAGACAAGAAAAATGAGGCAGAGTTTTTGCCCTCAAGTATTCACAATCCATCTGAAGAAAAACCCCTGTGGATACTATAATACGTGCAGTAAATACAGGGAGGCCTCTGGTGGAAGGAAGAGAGAGAAACAGAAAAATGCACGTCTATGCATATGGACTTGTGCACCTGTTCCCATTACTTCATTGGAAGGGCTTTGGGATGCTGCTGTGTCATGACTGCTGTTTAAGAATATTATCAGCATGCATATTGCTTGCAGCTTAAACCCTCCGATCCTAGACTGTTTCCACTGGCATGGCTTAAGGGATTAAATCCAAAGTGTATGGAAACAGAAGGAGGAAGGGAGGGCCCCTGGGTGACCCTTGGATGTCTGTAGAAGTTGTTCACTGCTCTCCAGTGCAGATGTCACCCCAGGGTTGTGCAGTGCACAACCTGTAAGGCCAGACTTCAGGGCCTTGGAGACTTCCCAGAAGATCTCTTAACAGACTGAGTGGGCAACTCAAATCCTCCTGTCTGTGGAAGCGGGGAAACTGACATAGACATATTCTATACAAGCCTCATTATAAGCCCTCCACAAATGATTGTTCTCACTGCGCAGTTGAGGAAATGGAGACAGCAACTTTTCTGAAGCCAAACAGCTGGCCAGTGAAGGAACTGCAATTCAAACCAAGCTCATTGGGTGTAAAGTTCATGCCACCCTCTGCTTTCTGTGGGGGATGGGAAGGAGGGTCTTTGCAGGCTTTAGAACTCAGAGTACCTCTGAGATGTGGGAAGAGGGCTTAGGGGTTCCCCAAGGCCAGTGGGCCTTGGGCTCCTGGGGTTCTGGGTCCCTGGAGGTTCTCATGTTCAGACACTATTGGGATCTCAATCTTCCTGGCCCAGGATCCCAAGCTGTGAATCACTGGAAAGTGGAAGATCTGATGGAGGTGGAGGGTCTGATGGAAGAGAATCTGATGGAGGAGGGTCTGATGGAGGTGAAGGCTCTGATGGAGGAGGGTCTGATGGCGGGGGAGGGTCTGATGGAACTGGAGAATTACTGGGGCTTTCCATGGGCCCTCTGGCCCAGGTTGCATCTCTCCATGCTGGCCACTAGATGGCGACATTAGCTGGAGTCCACGCTGGAAACCGAATGTCCCCTGAGTTTCCGCAGCAACCACATCCCTGGGTTCTCTTGTTTGTTCTCTTTCACTGGATTTGAGCCTCTTGCGTGTCTGAAATTGTTCTGCAGACCTGCAGGCTCCGGGGCACATGTGTGCAAAGGTGGTGCCCTGGAGGCCCTGTAAATAGCTCAGAAAGTGAGGCTGGTCTTCTTCAGAGACTGAGTGATTGCGAAGTGCAGGACAAATGAGTCTATGTGGGGGCCACAGCACGGATGTCCACCCTCCCATCTGGATTTCCCAAGAATGGGAGACATCTTTTCCCTCCCTTCCCGTTTCTGGGAGGACAGGGGCAGATGGACAGGCGAGTAAGACAGGTGGCAGGGAGCCAGCAGCCCTAGGAGCTGGTGCTGGGGAGGCCCAGGTGAGATCCCTGTGGCTCAGAAGAGGACCTCTGCATGTGGAAGGGACGCCCGCAATGCCCAGTGACACCTCTCTCTATTGTGGAGGGTGACGGAGTCTGCTGAGGTAGCCACATAAGCACCTAAACCAGAAGTGAGTATCTAAAACGGCCTTGCATGCCATAAGTCATCAGATAAGAGGGGCTGGACAGGGGCTCCCCAAGCCTGTCCTCAGCTGTGACCAGGTGGCTAGCAACCCTCTTTAGTTTGAGCACCTGCTTTGTCCCAGAGAGGGAGTATTAAATGTCCGCTGTTCACCCCCCACGCCCCATCTCTGTCCCTCCTGGGGAGGAAGGCTGTGGTGGGAGTCAACCCTCGCATCCCATCTCTGTCCCTCTTGGGGAGGAGGGCTGTGGTGGGAGTCAACCCTCGCATCCCATCTCTGTCCCTCTTGGGGAGGAGGGCTGTGGTGGGAGTCACCCCCCGCACTGTGTCTCTGTCCCTCCTGGGGAGGAGGGCTGAGGTTGGAGTCACCCCCTGCACCCTGTGTCTGTCCCTCCTGGGGAGGAGGGCTGCAGTGGGAGTCAATCCCCGCACCCCGTCTCTGTCCCTCCTGGGGAGGAGGGCTGTGGTGGGAGTCACCCCCCGCACCCTGTCTCTGTCCCTCCTGGGGAGGAGGGGTGCAGTGGGAGTCAATCCCCGCATCCCGTCTCTGTCCCTCCTGGGGAGGAGGGGTGCAGTGGGAGTCCCAAGATGCAGGCTCCTCCCAGTTCTCTGCTCACCTGTGCTGAGGCTCTGCGATCTGTGGAATGGGGCCGTGTTGCAGGCTCTTGTAAGGATCAGTGTTGCCCACCGAGGGCCCAGCACACAGGCTCCTAAGGTGACGAAGCACACATCCTGCTGCCAAAGTCACAGCAGCAGCGGCGCCCTCAGACGGGCCCGTGGGCCTCCTCCGCACAGTGTCGGGTGCTGAGTGCCTCTTGTGGGCTCTGGGCTTCGCGTCCAGCACTGCCAAAGTTGCCCAGGTTTCACGGGAAGCTCGCGGCAGGCCGGGCCCAGCAGCCTTCCGGGAGAAGGACACTACGCATCTGCGGCCCTGCATGCCCCCAGGAGCCCATGGGCTCCAGCACGGGGGTGGGCAAGGGGCGAGAGTCTGGCCCCTCATCTCCTGGCAGATTTCAAAGTGTGGTCAGAAACATAGCTGGACTGGGCAACTGGCTGAAGTGGAAGTCATCATTCAGCTAATGAGGCTTGATCTTTTCTCCATCCCCTGCTACTGCTGGTGTCTGTGCTGGCCTGGAGCTCACCCCACCTCACCCGGGCAGAGCAAAGGCCCTTGGCTGGCAGATGCTGGAGGGTCTGTAAACTTGCTGGTGAATGCCCGGCTGTGGACACACAGCAGATGCCTGTCAAGGGAGAAGGAGCCAAGGAGAGCCCTGGGGATTCCCAAGAGCTTTAGGGTGTAGGGAAAATCGCCCAGGCAGGCTGATTCTGCGAGGCTTGTCCCTATAGCAGGAGATGGCCTGTGCGAAGTGGGACTCCTGGGAAGGAGCGATGAGGACTAGAGGGAAGGGGCAGCATGACTCCACAGGCTCTCACAAGGGACACAGCATGGACATGCTTCTGCCTGGATGCCCCTCTGAGTCGACAGAGATCCATGTGCCCTGGCATCAAGGTCAGGCAGGGGAGACGTGCAGGGAGTGGAGTGGACACCAGAGGGGCAAGCACCACGGTGTGGACACCGAGGGGAGCCATGGGTCCTGGGGGTGGCCTGGGACTGGACTGTTGAGTCTTGGGTGGGCAGAAATCGTTCCCCTCATCAAGGACTGTAGATCCTCACTTGCGACACCCAGGACACCAAAGCGCTTCTGTTACTGGATAAAAGGTCTTGACTGTGTGTCATCCAGGCTCTTTGTGTTGAACAAAAAATTGAACAGAATGCATAAACAAAGCAAAAAAGAAGGAAGCGACGAAAGACAAAGCAACAAAATAACAGTAAATAAAGTGCAGGTATATTGAAGCTAAAGTACACTTCACAGAGTGGGAGCAGGCTTGAGCAGGTGGCTCAAGAGCCCCCATTACAATGCTCTTTAGGGTTTTTATAAAGCTCAAATAATCTGGTGACACCCCTAGGCACCCTTTAGAAGCCTCCAATTAGTCAGACCCTATGAAGGATTGGCCTGTGACCAATCAGAAGCTGAAGTGGAAACTTCTGTCTTGTTATCGCTGGAGTGAGGATGTGGCCCGTGTGCTGCCTAATCTTGCCTAGAACTGGCTGCACCTGCTGTTCTTTTGCTTATCCCTTAACCCTTGGTCACCCTAATCCCTATTCTCCTGTCTCAGTTCTGATGGAAAGAAAGTGACAGATGACCTGGAGGTTCCTAACCCAGGGAATAGCTAGAGTTCGCATCCCACAAACTAGTGTTAGACTGTGGGAGGCTAAGGGTATGGGCTTTGCGGTTGTGAGAGTTTGGAGGTTGAATCTCAGCCCTCCTATGTGGGGCATGTCACCCAATCTCTCTGAGCCCCTGTTTCCTCATATTTACCCCACCTGTGAATTGAAGCTGTTGCTAGCATTGGTTAGGGAACTTTGGGCAACAAGCAATGGAAATGTCAACTCCAACAGTCTTTAAGGATAAAGTCAATTTATGACCCCTTGCAAGTGAGAAGTCCAGGCCAGGGTGGAGCTCAGGTGTGGCTTGCTCCTGCAGCTCTCAATGGCCCAGATTTTGTCTGCCTTTTGCTCTGCGTTCCATGGTATTAGTTTAACCCAAAGCTCCCTCTTAGCTCCCAAATGGCTGCGAGCAGTAATCAGGACTAATTGCTCATTTGTGCATGTCCAGCTGAAGACAGAACAGGTCTTCCCCCAACTACGGATTAAAAGGCTGGGTTAGGCGGGGCGCGGTGGCTCACGCCTATAATCCCAGCACTTTGGGAGGCTGAGGCGGGCGGATCACGAGGTCAGGAGTTCCAGACCAGTCTGGCCAATTGGTGAAACCCCATCTCTACTAATGATACAAAAATTAGCTGGGCGTGGTGGCACGTGCGTATAATCCCAGCTACTCTGGAGGCTGAGGCAGGAGAATCGCTTGAACCTGGGAGGCGGAGGTTGCAGTGAGCCGAGGTCATGCCATTGCACTCCAGCCTGGGCCACAGAGTGAGACGAGACTCGTCTCAAAATAAATAAGTAAATAAATAAATAAATAAATAAATAAATAAATAAATAAAATTAAAAAAGGTTAGCATTATCTCTTGATTGAAATGTCCTACGTGATTCCCCGACTCCGAGCCTGTCGCTCTGGCCAGGAGGATGTTGGGTGCTCCTGATAGGCTGAGGCCTGGGCTATTTGCAGTGTCAAAGGGAAAGGCCTCATGCTGTTGGTTCATTAGTGAGAAGCCACAGGAAGGTGACATGCCAGGGAAAGAGACTAGGCTCTGTGTTTTGGGTTCACAGCATGCAAGCATGCACCCAAACATGGAGGAGGGGACTTGAGTGTCTTTTGAATGGGTCTACACTGATATTTGCTTCTCTGACCTCCGAAGGCTCCATCTCCTAGGACGTTTTCCGGGAGCCAGGGAAAGCAGGATAGCAGAGCCTGGTCACGTAGTGCTTTGAGAATGCGCTGGGTGGGCGAGCGGTGCCTTCTTATTGGGTTGTTCTTGTGAGGAGCATTCTGATTCCTACTTAGAAGCCCTGAATGAAGGTGGGAGCCCCTGACGATGGCAGAGGCAGGTATGTCTAGGGTCTGGGGGCACCTGGTGTCATCTACTTGAGTCCTCTTTGAACTCTGCATTTGGCAGCTGAGCGATACCGAGGAAGTCACTTCCCCTCAGCGTCAAGCACCTGTGCTCATCCTCAAAGGGGTCAATGACGCTTAGGTCACACTCTCCAGGGCCCAGAGCTGCTGAGCTGCACACATGTACGTTTCTCCATGAGACCATCTTGGGGGACAAGTGCTGGCACCCCCACATGGTAGGACAAAGACAGAGGCCTTGAGACATTAGTAACCTGCCTCAGATCACACAGCTGGGGCCAGACCAGAGCCCAGGCTGCCCGCGGTCATGTCCTAGGCACCATTTCTCATAGGCATCGTTGAGTGGGAGTCTGGGCTAAACAAGACCACACTGGTTTTGATGACGGCATTTTCTGCCCCTGTACCGCATGGTAGGCCAGGGCCTCCCTCCCACCTGGCTACGCTGCGCCTCCACCTTCACTCTCAGTCTCTGTAAAGACATGTTTTGAGTGCTTGGGGCAGTCGCTGAGAATATTAAAGACATAATACAGGGGCGTGCACGATGTGGGGCCTTGGTACAGGTTGGTACAGGTTGGATCCATGCCTGCCCTGGCTCTGGGACCCTCCTCCCCAGGATAGAGCCAGGACAGGTGGGGAGGGGGTCACTACCTGGCATGATCCGCCAGGAGCTGGGGCAGAGGGACGGAGCCTGCCTGGCAACAGCCATGATCCACCAGGGGCTGGGCAGAGGGATGGAGCCTGCCTGGCAACAGTTCCAGGGGGGGTCCTTACTGGGACTTCCCCTTCCCAGGACCGCCAGTCCCCCAAACACAGCGGGAGCCCTGGTCAGGGAGGCTGGTAACCTAGGGGGAAGCCAGCGCTGGAGCTCTGGCTGAGGATGGAGCAGGCACTCTCTGTTCAACCCTCCAGGAAGCCAGCATCACCAGGTGGCTGGGGTGGCTTCTGGCCTCCACTGTCTGCACGCTGTACCCTGGAGCTGCCTTGGGAAGGTTTCGGCTCCTGCAGCTCCCCCACGCCAATGCAGACATTGGCCTCATTCAGAGCAGGTCCGCTCTTCCCCAGGGGCAGGCCCCTCTCATGCGGCCCGCTTTCACTTTATCGGAGTCACAATGATCTGACCTCCTCCTATTGATCACGCACAGCATTTCCTGGGACTGAGTTTAATTTCTAATATCTGCCCCATCAGGCCCCTCCTGGGCAATCCTCTTCCTTCCTGGAAGGTACATTAAACTCTGAGGTTTCACAAGGGCTGGCTGCATCCCTGTGCAGGCAGACAGGACCCCACACACCCAGGCGAGCCCTCCTTGGCGGCCTGTTCATCTGCAGGGATTCTTCCGGTTCCCCCTCTGGACAGCCCCACGGCCCAGATGCCTTGGCTTCCCAGCCACAGATCCCTCATTGACCTCCCCTCCTTGCTGGGGAGAGGCAGGCGCTGGGTCATCCATGGGGCATGAAAGTGACAGCTACACCCTCCAAGCCCGCTGGGTCCCTCTGCCGGGTGCCTCCCATACCTGCCCCTCTGCAGTTGAGCAGGTGAGATCTGCTGGGGGAGGAGGTGGCCCCAGGATCCCTGTCGCCGTCCCGGCCTCCCCGCTGCCCTGCACTGGCTCCTGGGCTTCTCCTTGGCCCTCAGTTCCACGGCTTCCTGGCTCCAGCCTCCTGCCTGGGGCTACCCAGGGCCGTCAGGGGCTTAGTTGTTCCAGGAGGCTGTTGTACACAGAAAACACCTTCATGGCTGCTTGAACATTTAATATATAATTTATTGAGGTTAATTTAAAAAAACAATTAGTTTTCCTTAAGTAAACTCAATTCATGAATCTTATTTATTTGTTTTATATTCATCTGGGAGCTTTTGGCAATCTCTTTCAGAGGGACTTTTGATTAATGTTTGACCAACTCAGTTGAAAAAAACCCTCATGAACAGTCAATTCTGTTAATTAAATTCCCTCAGACATTTACACTGAACTTAGAAATTTATTTGATTTTCTTTTTAAGACACTTCAGCTGCCTGACCCAAGTACTTCAGAGGACTCTGAGAAAACCACTGACACCTTTGTAAACAGGCAGCTCCCAGAGTCCAGGAAACATTCCAATTCTACTTATATATCTAGTTTGTTTTGCTCACACCTTTCAATTTAGAATCACTAGTCTGTAGAGAATGGCACATTTTAAACTAGAATCAGCTGTTCTGGGGAATAAACTAGGAAAGTGTGTGCTGTGGGAGCCTCTAGTATGCCTCATTCTCTTACACACTGTAAACACTTTCAAACACATACACAGACTGTTTCAGAACACAGCAGGAAAGTATTAATATGATAGGTTTGATTTACTTCATCATCTGCAAACAATGGTAAACCTTCCTGGAGTTGAAGTGCTTTCTCCACTGTGGAAGCAATTTCCTGTAGCAAGAATGGGGTTACTTTCTCTAAGTGTGCGTGATTTCGGTCTGGGCTTGAGACCTGGGATCATAGGCCTTCTGGATGATTCTGTGATGCCACTGATGAGAACTTTGGAAGCTGCCCTGACACAGACCTCCACATCCTCCAGAGGGGCCAGTCTCCCAGGCATGACCTGGTTCAGATAAATCATTCCCGGATCCTTCCATCAGATTAGTCTGTGCCCATTGCCCGGTGACTTCACCACTGATTAGATTCAATGTTTCTGCTTCTTCTCGAGTTATTTTCAAGCTCTTCTGAACTGGAGAAGTACAACTGATTAGATTCAACTTCTCTGCTTCTCTTTCAAGTTATTTTCAAGCTCTTCTGAACTGCAGGGGTACAACTCTCACAGGCAGAGTCTCCATGTCTTTTGTGCTCTGCCCAGCTAGGTGGTTCCTGGGCTGTGATGCTGCCTGGTGCTCTGGGCTGCCCCTTGATCTGTTTCTGATTTAGCATCTGGCTCTAGCTCCTCCACTGTGGTCCTGGCCCTACCTGTGCTCTTGCAAGGAGCGTTTGGCCTATTCAAAACCAAACCCTACCACCCAGTCTGTCCACGTGTACTTAGAGAGTGTGGCACAATTGGTTGGCTGTGTAGGACTGTGAGCTTTAGAGACCTTCATACACATTTGATCATTGATCCTCACAAAGGCTGTGCAATTAGCAGGCATCCTCCCAGGTTCATAGGTGGGGAATTGATGCCAAGGCACGTGAAGGGGCCTCATCAAACTGCATAACCAGTACCCTTCGAACCTCGATAGCAAGAGCGGATATTGATCGGTTCTGTTCTTAGAGCTGGATGCTGTACTAAGAAGTTTACATACATGATCTCAATGATGCCCCCCAAGAATAGCACGGTTTGGGAACTGTTACCACCCCCGTCTCACAAATGGGCACTCAGGACCTCACAGAGGATGAGCAGCTCGGTGAGGCTGAGATTCCAGCTGAGGCACCCTGACCCCAGAGCTTGAGCTTAGCCTCTGCAGCGCTGCGTTTCCCCTGACATCAGCCCCGGCATCGCCGCCTGCAGTGACTTTGGACACAGTTATAGGTGCCCTGCTTAACTGCACCTGGAGGAGGCAGGGTGGGTGAGCTCTATCAGGACAAATCCTGGGGGTGGCCCCAGCTGCAGGCAGGACTCGTTCCTCAGCAGAGTGGCCACTGTACAGAAGGCCACGTCAAGTCAGAGGGCGCAGGGTGGCACTGCAAGGAAGGAGTGTGTCCAACACTCAGCACCCAGGCTGCAGTGGAGGGGGCAGCAGCACAGCTTTCCGGGCAGGCAGGCAGCTGGGGACACCTGTCCAGGGGCAGCACTGTCCACTGCCAGGCTGGCTGATTGGGATGCAGGAGTGAGACTCTATTCCCTGGTTTGGGCAGAGGCAAGGTTTCGAACATGAATGTTTGTTGAACTTTTATTATGTGCTGGGTGGTGAACCATGCACTTCACAGAGATGAGGCCCTTGAATGTGCTCTTGGCGGCAGGAAGCGTTTTCCTTATTCTTCAGCCAGAGAAACTGAGCGCAGAGCGAAGGGAGCTTGGCCAAGGTCGTCCGTGAGCGGTGTCGGGCCTGACCTAGCACGCCACACCTGGGCAGGTCACCAAGGCTCTGTGCTTCAGGAACCAGGCTGGGGAGCCCCGGCCCAGCAGCAGGAGCAGCATCAGGCTGTGTGGGACTAAGCCCTGGAACATGGGACAGGAGAGCTGATGCCCTGATTCTCTGGAGCCTGAGCCCTGGGACCCGAGCTGGGCTGAGTGTGTGTGGCCCTCTCTCAGGTCTCAGTGGCAGGGGAAGGAGGTCGTGGGGACTGGGGACCAGTGCGTCCTTTTATTCATCACCTCATAGCTACCTCCCACCAAACCCCATTAGGATACAGTGTGTCAAATCTCAGACAGCAAATCCTTCTCTCATAAAGGGGCAGGATCATCTCCATCCTGTTTGTTCCAACAGAGGCTGTAGTCAGGGGCAGTTTATGGGGTAAGAAGGATGTGCTGGGGGCCCCCAGGACCACGCTTAGGCTTGATGCTTCTCTGGAAAGACTCACAGACCACAGAAGTCACAGTTTCTTACAGCAAAAGGAGGCAGATTAAAATCAGCAAATGAGAAAGTCACACAGGGTGGGGAGGGACCGGGTGCGAGCTTTCAGCTCCCCTCGCAGTGGGGTCACCAGTCAGCACCCGTTCCCTCAGCGTTGATGTGTGACAACACTCACGGTGCCTTGCCACCACCCTGGGAGCCCTGAGCCTTGGTGTCCACATTTTTATTAGGGGTCAGCCATGAAGGCGTGGAGCACCCACATGGTTGCCCACGGCTTCTCAGCCCCCAGCCCCCAAGAGGTCAAAACTGTGACCCAGGACCCCAGAAGACCAAGCCAAACCTTTACCCTAAATCCCCTGGTTAGGGTAAACCGTCCAACAGGGCCCCAGGTCCCAGGTCTACAAAGACATGCTTGTCGGGCGGGATATTCCAAGGGCTTAGAGGTCATCACCAGGCCAAGCAGGAGCCAGTCCTGTGGAATGTGCAGGGTCTGGACACCCAGCCCCACTGAGTGAGCCCTTCCCCGCACAGGGGACAGGTGGTCTGGAAGGGAGGGGCATGAGTGTCTGAGGGTGCCTGTGTCCATGGAGCCGCCCTCTGAGCACTGACGTCTCATAAAGACGTGTCCCGGCTGTTGGGGGTCAGCCCCTCCTGTGTCTGGCTCTGATTTCCCTGCAGGGTGGGGAAATTGTCCCACCCCAGGCACTCAGGTGCAGCTGGACTAAAGGTCAAGGGGGCATTAGCTCAAGCTCAGAGCTCCTTGACTTCAGCTGTGCAGAAACGATGAGCGCCTGCTGGAGGGACAACTGGTGCATGCAGCTGACGGCACGCAGCTGAGAGGAGACGCCCCTCATTGGTTTTGGATGCATCATATTTTACGCATCTCCAAAGGTGTTTATAATTTTTTTTTTCAAGTAGCAGAAATCGCCATCAACCCAGCAAAAATAAACATATCAGTAACCATGGTGACTTCAGCCTTCCAGCCCTGGGCAGAAATGATCTCAGGCGGACACAGAGGGGCGCAGGCGTGGTTCTAAACGCTGGGTTCTATTGAAGGTGGACTAGATCTGATTGAAACTCTTCACAGCTGCTGGTGGTTGGAATTCCAGGCTCCCTGCAGGTGTCTGCCCTTCCCCTGGAAGCCTCAACAGTGACAGGGGCTGTAGCTGCTGGTGCCCGGGCTGGTCTCCTGAGGCCACCACTAGCTTCCTAGGGAGGGGCTTTACCCAACTAGGACACAGGGCCGCAGACCTGGGCACCGCTCAGCCAGGCTTCCTTCCTCGGGCCTGGACCCACTATCTGCCTGGGCTTCTGTTGCACAGCGATGATGCCAGGAAGCACACATATTCCAGCGTTCACCAGTGCACACCACCACACATCGACGCTGAGGGAACGGGTGCTGACTGGTGACCCCACTGCGAGAGGAGCTGAAAGCTTGCGCCCGGTCCCTCCCCACCCTGTGTGACTTTCTCATTTGCTGATTTTAATCTGCCTCCTTTTGCTGTAAGAAACTGTGACTTCTGTGGTCTGTGAGTCTTTCCAGAGAAGCATCAAATATTCCAACATTCACCAGTGCACACCAAAATTCTCTCTGTGGATTTTGGGAGAGCGAGAGCGAGAGAGAAACAACAGCAACAAAACTCTAAGGAACTAACGGTGTAAAGAAATAAATTAACATGCAGAAAATTTCACATAAGGTCCATCCGCATGGCCTCCCCAGGCAAAGCTTTCACCTTCTTCCTAAGGCCCAGCCTTCCCCTGGAGAAAAGGCCATTCACCCACCTGCTGGCGAGGGAGAGGTGGCCCCCAGATTCTCACACACAGGGTCACGGAGCTTGTCCTCCCTCCCAAACCACCTTCACTTCGGATCTGCCTGGATGCTGATTAGACTGGAGAGAGGAACAGATCAGAGACACTAGACCAGGGTGGGCGGAGGAGGGGCCAGGAGGCAGATGCAAAAAGGGGAGCCTGCCAGGCGCAGTGGTTCATGCCTGTAATCCCAGCACTTTGGGACGCCGAGGTGGGCAGATCACTTGAGGTCAGGAGTTCGAGACCAGCCTGGCCAACATGGCAAAACCCTGTCTCTACTAAAAATACAAAAATTAGCTGGGCGTGGTGGCAGTCTCCTGTAACCCCAGCTACTCAGGAGGCTGAGGCAGGAGAATTGCTTGAACCCGGGAGATGGAGGTTGCAGTGAGCTGAGATTGCGCCATTGCACTCCAGGCTGGGGGACAGAGCGAGACTCCATCTCAAAAGGCAAACAAACTAAAAGGGGAACCTGAGACCCCCAGCTCTGGCTGCCCTCGGTCTACACTGCTGGCAACAAGTCCAGTCCATAGTTTTTTCAGACTTTGAGGCCCAAATCTTTGATCTGGAAGGACCTGGGATTGCCAACTTGGCAGGGACTAGAGGGTAAAGGGTGGAGTCTGTCCAGGCGAGGTGTGGGGTGCCCTGGACACAGAAGACTGGATTTTGGGTCTTTATCCCTTATTGTCTCCCCAGATGCTTTTGTGAAGACAGGTCTGCTCTTCAGGTGCTCCCCTCTGCCCCTGGGTCCTGAGGGCACCAGCCCTGCCTCCCCAACCTTCTTCCAGGTGAGAATGCAGGTCAGGCTGGAGGCAGACACCTGCAGATCCTCCTAGAATGCGGGCAGCTGGGGACTCCAGATGTGGGAGTCCTGATACCCACAGTCCAGCTGTGGCCGAGAAAAGGGGCATTTTCTACTTTGCTGATCTATTTGAAGGGAATAACACCCAAAGATGGCTTTCTCCCAAGTCATGGACAGACAAAGGCAAACACGAAAACACCATCAGCCTGGCTGGCTCCGGGCCATGAAGCCTGCGGGGCTGAGCAGACTTCTGCTGCATCTGTTGGGAAACAATGCACAGTGGCCCTTGTCCCGAGGACGCAGGCTGCCTTTCAATCACTGCTGTTTCTGGAAAAAGAGAGCCCAGTCTTCCCAGAGAAGCGGGCTTAATAAGGACACAACCCTTCTGTACTCATGATAATCACAGCTCACGGCCGTGGAGAGCTTCATAGCGCTCCATCCTGTACTGAGCCCTACACATTTATAATCTCATTTAATCCTCGTAACAATCGGGCAAGGTCAGTATCGCCGTCACTGCTCCCCTTCAGGAAGCTGAGGAACTGCCCAGGGCCCTAGGATAGATCGGCATGGGGCAGGGTCAGCCCGAGACTCCCAGCCCTTAGCCCACAGAGCCTGGGGTCACAGCGGTGAAAGAACGGGACATACAAATGCAGAGGGCTCCTGCTCTAGGGTCCTCTAGGTGCTGTCACAGAGGACCACACAATTGGTAATTTAAAACAATGCACATTTATTCTCTTAAAGGTCTAGAGATTGAAGTCCAACACAGGTCTCCTTGAGCTAAAATCAAGGTACTGCAGGGCTGGTTCCTCCCAGAGGCTGGGTTTAGGGAGAGTCCACTTCTTGCCTTTCCCGGCTTCTAGAGCTGCCCTGAGGCCTTGACCCTCGGCCCCTCCTCCCTCTTCAAAGGCAGCACTGGCGTGGAGGCCTTCTCACATCTCATCCCCTGAGCTCCTCTTCCGCCTCCTCTTTCACATTTAAGGATCTTGGTGATCACTTTGGGCCTACCAGGATAATCCAAAATAAACTCCTGATGTTAAGGTCAGTAGATTAGCAATTTTCATTCCACCTGATGCCTTAATTCACTTTGCCAGGTAAGGCAACCGAGTCACAGGTTCCAGGATTAGGAGGCAGAAAGGGCTTCAGCCGGGGTTGACGCATTCAGATGTGTGCTCTCTATGGCCTTTCTGTGTCTTGGCCTGGCAGTCCTCCTGGAGTCGTCCCTGCTGGCAGGGACAGGTGCTGGAGTCAGCTCACGCCGGCTTCTGAGAGCCCAGTGGGGAACGGCTGAAATGTACAATTAATAAATTGCACTAAAACAAAGGTAACTTGAGTTTTGAGCATTTGTTACCTTTGTTTTAATACAATTTATTAATTGTACATTTTATGGTATTATTATGATATAATTTTACGATCATCATGCTGTGGCAGTTATTACCTCTGTTGCATCTGTATGGCAGAAATCCTGTGTAACAGGAGGTTTGCTAGGGCACACCGGTCTCTGCATTGAGCTTCGTCGTGTCCACAGCTTGAACCAACCATCGCAAGAGCATTTACGTCACGGAAATCAGCATGTGCTACAAATCGAGGCTTGATTTTATCGTCTTATTGATTATCTAGACTCAAGGAAATGATGAAAATCTTCGATGAACGCAGATTAATCTACAAGTGTGCTATGGTCATAACTGTTACACTGTAAATAGCATAAAACGTTGTCAAATCGTAGTTGAATTGCAGCTATAGGCTGGCTACAAATATGAGAGTTTGGCCAAAATCAACAAAAGCATCTGTGTGGACCAGTTGGCTCTATGGAATTTATGATAAAAAGTCCTGTATATTTATTATTTGTAAATTGCGTGCTTCCTTTGCATGAATAAAACTTAGAGTGGACTGACGTACAGATGTTTACACACACGTCTTTTCTGCAGAGAGCCTGTTGTTAAACATTTGCCAGCACACCACTGCCTACCCCCTGCAACCCCCACCCCGCCAGCCTCACCTTCCCGGCCCCACACTTTGTGCTCTCGTCCTCTGAGCCACGAGCACTTTCCAGAGCTCTCCTGCTGCACCGATGCCCTCTGCCCAGCATGGGATGACCCATCCCAACCATCCTCTCCCCTTGCCTGGCCCATCCTACTGGTCCCCCAGGCACGGCCCAGCAGTTATTCTCTCCAGGAAGCTGTTCTCTCCAGGAGGCTGTCCTGGCTTCTGGGTTGGGTCAGTGCCCTTCTGTGTTCTGGGGGTCCTGGGTTTTCCCCCATTGCACCCTGTGGGAATCGTGCTTGCTTCTCTGTGTTTAGGACTGGCCCCTGGCTGCCTCGTTGGTGGGGCCATAAAACTCTCCGTTTGTGCCCCAGAATCTAGCACATTTCCTACGTAGTAGATGCTCAATAAACATTCACTCAATAGAACAAACAGAATATTCACTTAAGGAGCTGGGATTGTTCTTGACTGAATACAGAGCTAGGTCTCTTCCCAGACACAGAAGGAAACAGACAAAGGAAGGGAAAGCTCTGATGGATACATGGTTCTGAAGGGGCCCTGGGTCCTGGCACATGAAGACGCTTGGGCACATGGGTGGGGAACATTGGGGAATGCCACGTCTCAGCTCCTATGACTGGAGGGCCCTTTGGACCGTTTTGGCTTCAATACAGCAGGCACCTGACATCCTTGACAGAGGAGTTTCTTTCTGCAGATGCACGAGGGATGTGGAACCCAGGACTCAGAGGGGGCAGATTAGTGTTCCCCCCAGGGGGCCCTGGGAGCCACGATCCTGCAGCCGGGGGTGCTCAGAGGATAAACAGGTGAGGCAGTTAATCGGGAGGCAGTCCTCTGGGAGCCCCAGTGCAGTCAGCAAGGCATGGAAGCCGTCTGTGTGGGCTTCCATCATGGTGGGGCACTGGGGGCCATGTGGGGTTCCTTCACTTCACGTAGGTGCAGCTCATCATGGGATGACAGTGGGGGGTTGGAGGGGACACCCTACGGGTCCCAGAGATGCCAAGTGAGGTCATCGTGATGATGGAGGTGCTGGCTGGTGGCCTCCAAAGGCAGGCAGGGGCAGGCCCTTTCCCTGTGTCCAAGTCCACATGGGCACTCTCAGGGCTATGCCCATTTGACACGAGTCTCCACGCCTGGTGAATGTTGGCACCAGCACAGCCATTCCATCGTGGCCCTGAAACCACCACAGAATACTCCATATCATGATCGTAAAACACTCAGTGCCAGCCGCAAGCTCCTCTGACGGAGGCTGTGGTTCCCACGGAGCCCGGGCGCCTGTGGCACCCTCTGCCCTCCTGCTCCATCCGGAGCCCTGGTGGCTGTGAGGCGGGGGCTCCTCTCCTGTCCCTGCCACCCCCACCAGGTGGTGGCACCCCATCCTGGGAGGCCCCCGCCTCCTCTGCCTCTTCTTCTACTTGGAGTGTGAAATCAGTGGACACGCGCTGGGGCAGAGTGCAGCACTGACCCCCGTGCTTGCTCACTCTGCAGGCGCCGTGGCAGGGGCTGGGTAGGGGGCTGCTGAGCCAGCGTGAGGGCCCTCCCCACATCCTCACCTCGGAAGGAAATGCCCTCCCTGGAGCCGCGGGGCAGTAACTGAGGTAGCACAGCTGTTGAGTGCGTGTCCGGTGCCAGGCCAGGGGGGCAACCCGTGTTGGGGACATGTTGGATGCCTCTCTGAGTCCTGGAGCCTGAGTGGCTCTAGCCCCCAGACGTTCTCCAGGAAGCTTTACTGGCCTGAGGGTCGCTCGGGAGCAGAGATGGAGGGGAGAGATGGGCCCTTCCCACTCGGCCTCCAGCAGCTCAGCCCGGCCTCTGCCCCCTGCCAACCCCCCTCCTGCCAACCCCCCTCCTGCCAACCCCCGTTTTCAGGTCTCCTTTTGGAGACAACAAGGTCACTGTGGCACAAGGACCCACAGTTCCTTATAGTCCAGAGAAATTTAGGGCGGTGGGCGGTAAGCTGGGGCAAGAACTGTTCTCAGGCAGCCCCGGCTGGAAACATCACAGATTTGTCAATGAGTTTGCAAACATGATTGAGACATCTCCGCTCAGGAGCCTTGGGCTTCAGGTGACAATGACTCACTGGCATGGGCTACCAAGTGTGTGTGTATTTGACCTCAGCGGGTTACACATGCACAACACACAGACACACAAAGACACGGACAGACACAGATACACACACAGACACACACACACACACACACACACACAGAAATATACACAGGCCGGGCACGGTGGTTCAGGCCTGTAATCTCAGCACTTTGGGAGGCTGAGGCAGGCAGATCACTTGAGGTCAGGAGTTCGAGACTAGCCTGGCCAACATGGTAAAACCCCATCTCCACTAAAAATACAAAATTAGCTGAGTGTGGTGGTGCATGCCTGTAATCCCAGCTACTCAGGAGGCTGAGGCAGGAGAGTTGCTTGAACCTGGGAGAAAGAGGTTGCAGTGAGCCAAGATCATACCACTGCACTCCAGCCCAGGCAACAGAGCAAGACTCCATCTCAAAAAAAAAAAAAAACAAACGAAACACAGAGAGAGACATACCCAAACATATACACAGACACACACACACGAATACACACAGACACACACAGAGAGACACAGAGAGACACACGCAAACACATACACACACTGACACACAGACACACATATACAGAGACACACATATACAGAGACACACATAGGTACACACAGACACAGAGAAACACACACACACACAAACACACACATACAGACATATGCACAGAGAAACACACACACAGAAGACATACAGACACACACACAGAGACACACACAGCCACATACAGACACACAGAGCCTCACACACAGGCACACATGCCGCCCTGAGGCCACACAGGCCACACTTTGTACGCAGCCCCCACCTTCCACAGGCCTCTCTGTTTGTACAAACACCGCCAAACACATCCCCCTCATCAGCCCCTTTGAGTTTTCAAAATAGTTACGATATCCTCACTCCAACAATATCTGGAGGAAGGCTGCCTTTCCCCAATTTTATTTTTCTTAGACAAAGAAACAAAGAGTCCAGGAGACGCCTGAGAGAAGACAGAGGAAGTGGCAGAGCGGGGGAGGGGAGCAGAGCATCCAGCAGCCCAGAGAAGGGGAGCAGGGAGGGGGGGACCCAGTGGAAGGCTCAGAGCCACCGGTGAGGTGGAGGACCATCACAGCCACGGATTCTGTAGGCGGACTTGTCAGGACAGAGTGGAGTGAGGGTGAGTGAGGGGCAGATTCAGATGGCTGTTCAGGGGCGAGTGTGGGGAGACTCGTGGCTGTGCGGGGGTGAGTCGGGGGAGACTTGTGTGGCTGTGCAGGGGTGAATGGGGGGAGACACATGGCTGGGCAGCAGTGAGTGGGGGGAGGCTTGCATGGCTGTGCAGGGGTAAGTTGGGGAAGACTCCCATGGCTGTGCAGGGGTGAGTTGGGGGAGACTTGCACGGCTGGGCAGTGGTGAGTAGGGGGAGACTCGCATGGCTGTGCAGGGGTGAGCTGGGGAGAGACTCACTTTGCTGTGCAGGGATAAGTGAGGAGGAGACTCAAATGTCTGGGCAGGAGTGAGTGAGCGGTGACTCACATGGCTGGGCAGGGGTGTGTGAGAGAGGGAGACTCACGTGGCTGGGCAGGGGTGAGTGAGGAGGAGACTCACAAGGCTGGGCAGGGGTTAGTAGGGGGTGACTCCTATGGCTGGGCAGAGGTGAGTGGGGAGAGGCTCCCATCGCCGGGCAGGGATGAGTGAGGGGAGACTCATGGCTGTGCAGGGGTGAGTGAGAAAGGGAGACTCCCATGGCTGGGCAGGGGTGAGTTGGGGGAGACTCATGTGGCTGGGTAGGGGTGAGTGGGGGGAGACTCCTATGGCTGGGCAAGGGTGAGTGAGAGGAGACTCATAGGGCTGTGCAGGGATAAGTTGGGGGGAGACTTACGTGGCTGTGCAGGGGTGAGTCGGGGAGACTCGCATAGCTGTGCAGGGGTGAGTGGGAGGAGACTCACGTGGCTGTGCAGGGGTGAGTGGGGGAAGACTCGCATGGCTGTGCAGGGATAAGTGAGCAGGAGACTCACATGTCTGGGCAGGAGTAAGTGGGGTGACTCACATGGCTGGGCAGGGGTGTGTGAGAGAGGGAGACTCACATGGCTGGGTAGGGGTGAGTGAGGAGGAGACTCACATGTCTGTGCAGGGGTTAGTCGGGGGTGACTCCTACGGCTGGGCAGAGGTGAGTCGGGAGAGACTCCCATGGCTGGGCAGGGGTAAGTGAGAGGAGACTGACAGGGCTGTGCAGGGGTGAGTGAGAGAGGGAGACTCACATGGCTGGACAGGGGTGAGTTGGGGGAGACTCACACGGCTGGGTAGGGGTGAGTGGGGGGAGACTCCTATGGCTGGGCAGGGGTGAGTGAGAGGAGACTCACAGGGCTGTGCAGGGGTGTGTGAGAGAGGGAGACTCACATGGCTGGGCAGGAGCTAGTGAGGGTGAGACTGCATGGCTGGGCAGGGGTGGGTGAGGGATGAGGAATGGAGGCAAAGAGCAGATTGCTCCTTAGGGACCTGGGTTGCTAATGGTAAGAGGCTGCTGAGGAGGCTCCTGGTTGCAGAGAAGGGTTTGTTTTCGCCTTCTGCAAGATGGGCAGGTTTGTGGGCTGGAGGGCAGGAGGCGAAGACACAGCCTGGATGAGGGGGAGGAGGAGGGGCTTGGGAAGCAATGGGGAATGGGTCGCTGTGAGCAGAGGGCCCTGCCAGCTTCGGATGGAGGGGCAGTGGTGAAGGAGGGAACGTGAGTGGACAGATGTTAGGGCTCAGTGGGGGGTGCGGGGTGCAGGGTTGGGCCCGCTGGTGGAGTGGAAGTCGGTCATGAGGGATGTGCCAGGTGCCCAGTCCTCAGTGCGGTCAGAGGTGAGCCCCAGGTCAGAGTGCACGGCCTGGGGAGTGTGGTGAGTAGTTAATGGGTGCGAGCCTGTTGACTTCTGCCATTAAAATCTCTTTATTTTGAGATAATTATTATAAGAAGAGTCGATAAGATACACTGCACTCCAGCCTGGGCGACAGAGCAAGACTCCGTCTCAAAAAACAAAAAACAAACAAAAAAAAGAAGGGTAGATAAGATAGTAGTTATCAGAAATAATACAGAGAGCTCATGCGCCCACCTCCCATTGCCCGTGGTAGCATCCTGCCTGACTCGGGACTCTCTGCCCTGTGTTCTGGTCCCTGGGCTCTCCTCATGGTGGCCATGCCCCTGGCATTCCTGTCCTGGATTTCTAAGCCATCTTTGACCTAATTAGAAAGCCTGGCCTACCAACCTGCAGACCAGCTGGGAGAACCCTTAGCCCTGACCCAGTGTCTGGCATGGGCCTCTGGGTTTTAGAATGGGGCTAGTGATCAGAGGAGCTAGTCAAGGTCTTTGGTTGCAGGCCACAGAATATGGGCTGAGAATCCAAGAGGCCAGGGTATGTGGGAACTTGGAGCCGGGGGAATAGCTAAAGAACCAACCAAGAAAGAGCAGTTTCCAGGTAGCTCTGGGGATCCACGTAGTTGAGTCTGCAGGTCACTGCCCTGGGAGGAATTGCTTTTGACAGTTTCACCTCCATCCCTCCATCACCCTGATCTGGGTTTCAAACTAGAGTCTCCTTGGCCTGGCTTGTATCCCAGCCCCACACTTGGCCAGGAGGTGGAGCTCCTTGATTGACAACCTCTAAGCCTGCACACAGGGTCAAAGGCAGCCGTCCAAAGTCAGGCAACTGTGGCCAGAGGAAGGAGAAAGAAACAGACTAATTTGACCCCCAGATCTTGGTTCGATGTTGGGTCAAATTATGGCTGGCACCAGAGCCCAGAAGTTGCAAGGACACTCAAGTGAGAACGTTTGGGTGTAGAGGTGCAAGACAAGTGCATCTGAGAGTTCGAGTCCCAGTGTGGACGTGTCTGGCATTGTGTAGATAGGCAGACTGTGCTGAAACACGTGTAGATCAGTGGCAGAGAACAAAAAGACCTTTAGTTTTCTGGGAAACTGTACTTAAAACTAGTTATGCATCTTGCCGTCATGAAACAGAGTCACTTATTGCCAGTAATCTCCCTATGAGAGTCTACTCAAACTCAGATGGTTTATTTTTTATAACTTTAACCTGGGGACTATGATGTTTGTTTTACTTACTTGTGTGGAGAAATTATATTTACTCATGCTTTGTTCATTTATAGGAAATTGGACTTACTTCCCAACCATATTACATTAACCTATGGACTAACTTGTTTTAATAACCCAGCAGCAATATAAAAGAATGGCCATAGATTCTCTTTGAATAAGGAAAACATCTGTTTTTCTTCTTAAATAGAAAAAAACTCAGTAAGTCTATTAATGATGATTAAAGCTGATTTAAAATACACAGCAAGACTTTCAGTTTAAAAACAGTGTTCTAGGCTGGACGCAGTGGCTCACGCCTGTAATCCCAGCACTGTGTGAGGCCGATGGGGGCGGATCACCTGAGGTCAGGAGTTTGAGACCAGCCTGGCCAACATGGAGAAACCCCATCTCTACTAAAAATACAAAAATTAGCTGGGTGTGGTGGCACATGCCTGTAATCCCACCTACTCGGGAGGCTGAGGTAGGAGAATCACTTGAACCTGGGAGGCAGAGGTTGCAGTGAGCCTAGATCCCGTCACTGCACTCCAGCCTGGGAAACAGAGCAAGACTCCATCTCAAAAAAACAAACAAAAACAGTGGTCTAAGGGCAGAATTTCCCCCTTAACATCTAGGAAGACCCGCACACAACAAGAGGAATAAGAAACATGAGCTCTATCTGTAATGAAATCTGGGTGTACGTGAGACCTCAAGCCATGGAGGTGGAAGAGATATCAAAAGCAGCAGCTGGCCGGGCCCAGTGGCTAAAGCCTCTAATCCCAGCACTTTGGGAGGCCGAGGTGGGCGGATCACCTGAGGTCAGGAGTTCAAGACCAGCCTCCCCAACATGGTGAAACCCCATCTCTACTAAAAATACAAAAATTAGCCGGGCGTGGTGGCGGGCCCCTGTAATCCCCACTACTCGAGAGGCTGAGGCATGAGAATCGCTTGAACCCGGGAGTCAGAGGTTGCAGTGCGCCGAGATCACGCCACTGCACTCCAGCCTGGGCGAAGCAAGGGTGCAGGAAGAAATGGAGACAGAATCTTGCAGCCGCACATTTCAGAAAAGGCCATGGAGGATCGCATCACGAAGGCAAAAGCTGGTATGCAGCAGGGAGATGAGGTCCGTGCGCAGGCAGAGGGGCACCTGCACCTGTGTTGGTTCTGAGAAGTGGAGGATGTGTGGCTGAATGAAGAATTACCCAGCAAACCATACGACGAGGAAGCCGTGTGTTGATGTTGTACCTTTTCATTAGAAAAAGAGAAAGCGTCCCATGTACACGTACGAGAGAACCAAGATCAAACGCGTCAGGTCATTTAATATAAACGAGATAAACAGAAGAATCAAAAACTCAATCCCGTGCCTGTCCAGGAGAGAGTCCTAAAGCTCTGTGACTGAGAGAGCTTGTAAAATGAAACGATGGGCGAAGAACGGATGGACAGCCTCAAACAGAAACGAAGCTGGGTTTATATCCTTAATGTCAGGTAAGGCTGAGTTCAGGGAGAAACACACCAAGGAAGACCAGAATAGGTTCTTTAGAATAATAAAGAATGCAACTGACAACAGATATGTCCCAACTACAAATATTTATGTACCAAAAAGGTGCTTCACCATGCATAGGGTGAAAATTGTGGGAGATACAGTGAGGTACGTGTAGGGCCACGATACTAATAGGAGACTTTAAAGAAAATAACTGTTGTAATGTATTCAATTTCTTTTTGTATTTTCCCCAATATTTTACTATGAAAATGTTTTAAATACACAGAAAAGTTGAAAGAATTGTACAAGAAATGCCCACATGCCCTCCTCCTATGTCAGGGGTCAGCAAATTATAGCCCGTGGGCTAAAGCTCACCCACTACCCGTTATTATATGGGCTGCAAGCTAACAATGGTTTTTCTGTTCTTAAATGGTTAAAAAGTCAAAAGAAAAAATATGTTGGGACACATAAAAATTATATGAAATTCAACTTTCAACATCTACAAATGAAGTTGCATTTGTTTTACAACAGAACCCAGGCACACTCATCATTTGCATAGTGACTATGGCTGGCTTCTAACAACAATGGAAGAAGAGTCGAGCCATCGTGACTGAGATTGTCTGGTCCATAAAATCTGCAATATGCATTCGGCCCTTTATAGGAAAGTGTACCAAACTCTTCCTAGATTCTAAAATGAACATTTTTCTATTATTGCTTTATCACATATTTGCCAATTCCTCTGTCGACAAATCCACTGGTTTTTCGGATGCATTTTAAAGTAAGTTGTAGACACCAATGCACTTCACTTTGCAAGCGCTTCAGCATGCAGATCATTAATTGGAGTTCATTATGAGTTTATAATTCTTTTTTTAAATAAAATTTACAAACAGCAATGTGCATAACTTTTAAGTCTCATCCAAACCTCTCTCACAATGCAGAACGTTAGCCGAGAATCCCCTGTGACCTTTCCCAGGCACTATGGAACCACTAAGGCAACCACAGTGTTGAATTTTCTTCCCTGGGGATGAGCTTTGCTGGCTCTAGACCTTCATATAAATGGAGTTGCACAGTCTGTACTCCTTTGTGTAAGATTTCTCTCACATGGCATGGTGTTCTGAGGATCACACTGTTGCATGCAATGGTAGGCCAAGCCTTTGATGGATGAGTATTGTTCCACTGTACAAATGCACCATGGCTTGTCAGTTTGCTCTCCTGGTGACAGACACACAAGCTGAGTCCAGGATTTGCTTTGACTTGTCTTGGGTAAATATCTAAGAGTGGGAGGTTAACTCATGGGGCTGTTGCATATTTAATTTTATAAGATCCTGCTGGACATTTTTCCAAAGTGGCTGTGCCATTTTGCCTTCCAACGTGTGAGAGTTCTCATCATACTACATCTTTCCCAACAATTGGTGTTGCCATTCTTTCTAATTTTAGCCGTTCTGTTGTGATCTCTTTGTGGCTTATGGGTATTTTCCTGATGTTGATGATTTTTGCATGTGCTTTTTGGACATCATGTATCTTCCTTCGTAAAGTAAAAAGTTAGATGGGCTCATGCCTGTAATCCCTGCACTTTAGGAGGCTGAGGTGGGTGGATCACCTGAGGTCAGGAGTTCGAGACCAGACTGGCCAACATGGTGAAACCCCATCTCTACTAAAAATGCAAAAATTAGCTGGGCGTGGTGGCACACGCCTGTGATCCCAGCTACTCGGGAGGCTGAGGCAGGAGAATCTCTTGAACCTGGGAGGTGGAGGTTGCAGTGACCTGAGATCGCGCTACTGCCTGAGCGACAGAGCAAGACTCCATCTCAAAAAAAAAAAAAAAAAAAAAGATTAGATGGATTCTTGTCATCTAAATGTTCTTGTGAACATTTGTGTATCAATATTTGTGGATTTGCTCACTGTGAACCTTTGTGTATTTGCTCACAGATGAGTAAGACTAAGAATAATAGTCTTGAAACATTCATCTGTGAGCAAATACACAAAAAACAATACTGGAATAATCAGTGAATTGGTTAAAAATAAACAGCTCTTTTTAAAAAATTAACTTTATTGAGATGTAATTTGCACATTCAACAATGCACCCGTTGTAAGTATACAGTTCAATGCATATGTCCTGAGGGAAGGTTTGAGGTTCCTTTTTCTTGTTCTCATATGGACCCCCTGTTGTTCCAGTACCATTTGTTGGAAAGACTATCCCTCCTTCCCCCATTCAATTACCTTAGCATTTTTTGTCAACAATTAATTGAGAGTATATTTCTGGACTCTCTGTCCTGTCCCATGAGTCTTTATGTCTATGTTTATATCCATACTACAATGTCCTGATATAAGCCTTAAAAGTATGTAGTGGAAGTCTTCTAATTTTATTCATTTTCCAAAAAACTTTTGGCTGTTCTAGATCCTCTGCATTTCCATATTAAATTTTTGAGTCAGCTTATCAATTTCTACAAAAAAAGAATGCTAAGCTTTTTAAAGAGTTTTGCAGAATTAATGTTATTTCTGCCTAAAATGTTTAGTAGAATTCACCAATGAAGCCATCTGGGGCTACAGTTTTCTTTGAGGAAAGCTTTTAACTACAAATTCAATTTCTTTAATAGATACAGGAATATTCAGGTTATTGATTTTTTTCTTGAGTGAGCTATGGTAGTTTGTGTTTTTCAAGAAATGTTTTTCAATTAACTTGTCAAATTTATTGGCATAAAGTTATTCATAATATTCCTTTATTAATCATTCTTTTAAAGTTTGTAGTATTTATAGTAATGTCCTCTTTATAATTTCTGATATTGGTGACTTCTGTCTTTTCTCTTTTTTAAAAATTTTTTTATTTTCCTGTCTAGAGATGTATTAATTGTGTTGATCTTGTCAAGTAACTTGGTTTTATTTTCATTGATTTTTCTATTCCTTTTTTCTCTTCTGTTTCGTTGATTTCCACCCTCAGGTTTATCATTTTCTTCCTTTCATAATTTGAATTTAATTTGCTTTTTTCTTCCTTCTTGTGTTGCATATATGGATAATTGATTTGAGGCCTTTGTTCTTTTTTTTACATAAACATTTAATGCTAACAACTTCCCATTAAGTGCTACTTTAGCTGCATTTCACAAATTTTGATATGGTGTGATTTTATTTTCATTCAATTCAAAATATTTTCTAATTGCCTTTGTAATTTGTTCTTTAGCCTATGGGCTATTTAAATGTGTGTTATAATTTCCAAATACTTGAAAGATTTTTCACATATTTTTCTCTTATTGATTCCTAGTTTAATTATCTTATGGTTAAAAAACAAATACTACATAATTCAAACCACTTTACCTTTATTATGATTTGTTTAATGGCCTGGGATATGGTCTATCTTGGTAAGCATGCTACATGTACTTGGAAAGAATGTGTATTTATTTGTCAGTAGTTGGGTGGAGTGTCAGTAATTGTGAACTGGGCAAGCAGGTTGATAGTGGCTAGTACTTTGTTCCTGAGTAAGGAACATATTCTTACTAACTTCCTGTCTACTTGTTCTATCAATTACTGAGAAGAATGTTTAATTGCCAACTCTAATTGCTGATTTGTCTGTTCCTTCTTTGAGATCTGTCAGCTTTTCCTTTATGTATTTTTGGAGTTCTATAATTAGGTACATTCACATTTAGAATTGTTATATCCTCATAATACTTTTCTTCCTTTATCATTCTGAAATGTCCCTCCCTATCCCTGGTAATATTCCTTGTTCTAAAGTCTACTTTGCCTGATGTTAACATAGCTATGCCAGCTAATTTCATGCCTAGTATATGCATGGCATATTTTTTCTCATGTTTTTAATCTTTAATCTATCTGTGTCATTATGTGGATTTAAAGTCAGTTTCTTGTAGACAGCATAAATCTGGGCCCTGCTTTCTTGTCCAGTTTGACAGTCTTTGTCTTTTAATTGCAGTGCTTAGCCCGTTTATATGTGAGATAATTTGGGTGTGGTTGAGTTTAAGTCTACTATCTTGTAATTTGCTTCATTTGTCCCATCATTTACTTGTTTCTTTTTCCTTTTTTCCTCTCCTATTTTGATCAATTGAATATTCAGTATTTTTTTTAAATCATGGTAAAATACCCATAACCTAAAATTTAAATTGAGTGTTTTTTAGTGTTTCATTTTATCGCCAAAACTGGCTCGTTGGTTGTACTTTTTTTGTTATTTAGTGGTCGCTCTGTTGCTTTTTAGTATCAGGCTCTAGGGCATCTTCATTTGTCACAGGCCATCTCCAAATCACAGGACACCTCTTCCCCATGTAGCATAAGAACCTTACAACTATAACTGTGTACTTTCATTTCCCCACCCTCCCTTTGTATTATTGTTTTCATACATTTTACTTTTACACATGTAGGATACACATGAGCCCTACAATACATTCCACATCATTTTTAAGCACTTCTTTTACGATCACAACTTAACAGAAAAGTAATTTTTAAATACAAATATCATTAACATAAGATGTCAAAATGACACAGCAACTACATGGCTTCTTCCTCTTGCTTCTAGAATGTACTGTTTGTACTTCAGTTGCAGCATTTTTATGCTGTTATTATTTATTTGTCTTTCTCTTGCATTAGACAATAAGGCCCTTGAGAGTAGAAACAATATCTATTCATCTCGTAACTTTAGCACAATGCTTGGCACTTGGCGGGAGGTCAACAAATGTTGTACCATCACGGATTTCCTGACTGTCCAAGTGACTGACTGACTGAATGAAGGAATGATGAGCCTGCGGAAACACACATACCACACGCAGGTTGGGGCAGGCTCTAGCACACGCAACCAGATAAGCACCCGCCCCCTTGATAACTTTTATGTGCGCCTCCTCCCCTCTGTCCTCACCTCTCAATGTTCAGCTTCTCATTTAAAATTTGGCAAGAGGAAAGAGGAAATCATGGACCATCAAAGAGTGCCTTAAAGAGAATAGACTTTTAAAAGTCACAAATAGGACTCAGGTGGACCCTAAGTTTGGCTGCCTGCCAGGAGCTGCTGAACGTGGCCCTGTTGGGTGCGTCATTGTGTCTGGAGGCCTTGGGTGTGTCTGTATTGTGAACAAATGTGACTGTGGGTGAGGTCTGGAAACAGAGAGTGGGTCACTCTGGATCCGTGTTCTAGCTGGGCCTGGAAACTGTCCCAGAGCCCATGCTTGCTCCTGATCTCATTGGGCAAACTGAGACATCTTAGCAGCAGCACCAACTGCAAATCATTCTCTGCAACTAAAGCGGAGCATTGAGTGCTTAATAATGTGGGTGTTAATTGTTTGGGATATAAAAATTTCATGCCTAGAGCTTTAAAGTTGTACCCCAAATGCTTTCTAAAGCGGTTGTGTGCCTCAGGAATAGTTAAAGCTGCCTCACAGTGTACAACAGTGTTCTCAGTTCTAAAAATGAGGATGTGGAAGTATTTCTCTTCTAGCATTTTGAGTTCAGAACAATGATAGCATTATGTTATACTTCACTCTGCTTTACTGACCTTTCTCTAATTTTTTAATCCTTGAATTGTTGGAATGATTAGAAAAATGTTCACAACGTGCTTTAATAAAAGTTTCTACATAAATAAACAAAAAACCAAAAATAATAAAATAATACTCTCCCCCTCCCCAGCTAGTTTTTTTTTTTTTTTTTTTTTTTTCCAAGACAGAGTATCACTCTGTTGCCCAGGCTGGAGTGCAGTGGCGTGATCTCGGGTCACTGCAACCTCCCCCTCCCGGGTTCAAGAGATTCTCCTGCCTCATCCTCCCGTGTAGCTAGGACTACAGGCGCCCGCCACCAGGTCTGGCTAATTTTTGCATTTTTAATAGAGACGGGGTTTCACCGAGTTAGCCAGGATGACCTCGATTTCCTGACCTCAGGTGATCCGCCTGCCTCGGCCTCCCAAAGTGCTGGGATTACAGGTGTAAGCCACTGTGCCCAGCCCCCAGCTAGTTTTAACTTTCTATTGAAGACGACTTATTTCATAGAGGGATCTTTAAGGTATATATAACATTATTTAAAAAGCTAAAGAATTTTCTTTCAAATGTAAAATTAAAATTAAGTTCAACAGCCTTCCTGTTTCATTTATTGAGCACGGATTTCTTTTGCATTTTTGATGGGGAGAGGTGGGTTTTGTCATCCGTGACTCTGATAGAAGACCGATGGGGTGACTTGCTTGAAGGGAGGCAGGAAAGTCTCCGCCAAGTGATCAGCATTTGCTCTCAACGTGCTTCTGTGTTTCCCACACGTGTATGGATCGGACTCATGTAGAAATGCCTCCTGCCACTGCATCACGGAACCAGCAAGGCCTTGAAGGCCACGCGCCACGGCGCTTCAGGCGTTCTTTTGTAGCCCAGCGGCCTGCTGTGCAGTGATCCAAGTGGAGTCGCAGGTAGTAGCAGTGGGGCAGGGCTCATGGCTCTGCCTCTTACCACCTCCCCGTTGTTCTCCCGAGACTTGGGCAGTGGGCGGTGGAGAACCACTGACCTCGGCTACTGCCTTCATTTAAACAAGGGGAAACTGTGGCTCTGTGAGCTTCCGTGGCCTGCCAAGGTCCCATGCACCCCTCCCTCGACCCTTGCCGAGACAGAGCTGGCCTCGATGGGGGTCTTCTGACTCCTGGGCCAGCGTGGTCTCCCTTGCACCCGCATTCTCGGAGAGGGCAGCAGTGGCGGTGTGGAGGAGAGGGCATGCCTTGAGAAGCGCCGGCACCTCTGAGCACGTGGGTGAGACCCCGGCCAGCTGAGCAGAGGTGACCCGCTGAATTAGTGGCCAGGGCTGCCAGCATCCAGGGGGTGTTGGGACCCGGAACCTCTCTGAGCTTGAAGGCTAAGGCTAGGATCCCGCGAGTAAGCCTGTTCTCGGTCCATTTGGGCCCTGGCCGGTGTGGAGACGTGCCAGGTGTGATGGCACGGGAGAGGGGACCTCTCGTTTAGAGGTTGCCCAGGGAATGGCAGTGAGCCCAGGAGATCCTCCAAGGGGAATCGGGACAGGACTTTTTCCGCAGAAAACACCCCATGTGGCTCATCAAAGAGGAGAGGCAACCCATCTGTTCCAGAACATTCCAGATCATCATTTAAGACCCCCAATGACTCTATCACAGAAGATAGGGTCAGTATCTCCTTTGCCTTTAAAGAGGTCATCACCCCTAGAGCTTAGAGTTTTCTAGAAGTGTTCAGCCTGATTCAACCAATTCAAAAACTACTCTAAGAAAGCAAACCAGGTATTGTTTTAGAAGTTCCATGAACTCTTCCAAAATGATCAGGTACCATTTAGTTAATGACTACTCTGGAGTATTTAATGACATTCCAGCACCTGAGAACGTTGGTTTCATCTCATAACACTCGCTAAAATGTGTGTTGGTGGGAGAGAGAAGGAGAGAGACACAGAGAGCTAGTTTGGAGAAATAATGTATAAATGCAAAGGTTTCTCTACACCTCTAAAATGCTGCTCATTCCTCTCTCGGTGGCCTGAATTAACAGCCAGTTCTGTTTCTATTTTGGGGAATTATTAGCTGTAGTTTCTTTAAAATGCCGTTTATCACTCCATTATGGTTAAAGGTTGTATTAGTCTGAGAAGCAGCCGCCTCAAACCGGCCTAAGCAAAACAGGGAGTCCCTTGGCTGACACAAATGGAAAGCCCAGAGTGCACCCAAGCGGCCCTTGGCCAGGCTTTAATGATGTCATTAGTCTCCCCCAGCCCCTTCCGATCCTCTTACCTTTCAAAGGTGCTTTCTGGGCCAGGCTGGAGAGGAGGCAGGTGGACCCTTGGGTTTCACATTCTCCTTGGTGCAACACATCAATGAAGGGAGAGAGCTTTTCCCATTGGCTCAGTGCTGGTCAGGAGAGAGTCTGATTGGTCCAGCCTGAGTCACGTGAGTGGGCTTAAACCAATACCATAGCCAGGAGGTGGGGTGCTCTGATTGGTCAGGTCTGGACCATATGGTTGGCAAGATGTCAGCCCCATCTGGGCCAGGTGGAAACGATCCCTCTTGGGAAAAGGGGTTGGTTGACATCAGAAAGGCACGAAAGGGTACTGTACACACAAAACTCACCAGCCCCTGTTTTTCTGGCCCTTAGTTCATGTCTTAAATGACCTTAATCTTGACAGCCCTAGGAATAGCGCCAATGATACCCTCCTAATCCTCCCTGGAACAAGGCTGGGTCTCAATACATAAATGTATAACTATATACTGTTTTATTTTAAAACCTCGTTGCCTGCTGTCTCTGTAGTTACTGCCTTGATTGTGTTTAGCTTTTAGTCTGGCTTTATTTCTTCATATATAGGCCATTTGTTCTAGCAATATACATTTCAAACTCGATTTCAAGAATTCTGAGAGACCAGACACAGTGGCTTACGTCTGTAATCCCAGCACTTTGGGAGGCTGAGGTGGGTGGATCACCCAAGGTCAGGAGTTCAAGACCAGCCTCGCCGACATAGTGAAATCCCATCTCTACTAAAAATACAAAAATTAGCTGGATGTGGTGGCAAGTGCTTGTAATCGCAGCTACTTGGGAGTCTGAGGCAAGAGAATTGCTTGAACCCAGGAGGTGGAAATTGCAGTGAGCCGAGATCGCGCCATTGCACTCCAGCCTGGGCGACAGAGCAAGACTCTGTCAAAAAAAAAAAAAAAAGAAAAGAAAAGAAAGAAAAAAGAAAGAAAGAAGGAAGGAAGGAAGGAAGGAAAGAAAGTTCCGAGAGATTTAGTGAAGTCATCCCTCAATGCCTCTAAGTAGTGAGTTTTTTAACACTGGAAGGTCTTGGCAATTTCTACTGTTCCACGTACTGTCCTTGGCTATTTGAATTGCTTAACAGACTGACCTTCAACCTGCCAGGAATGCCTCCTGCAGAGGAGTCCCATGGATGTCCTTACTCTTCCTGGCAATGGCCTTAGAAATGTCAAACCATTTTCCCAGTGGCCCTCAAGCACTTCTCTGCACCCCTTCACCCAAGCCACTTGCCTGCAAAGAAGCCTCCCGATCACTCCAACTTCCCTTCGAAGCTTCTCAGCTTCTTGGCTCCACGTGCTTTCTCTTGGCTACCATGTGGATTTTTAAAATCTGATTATTTTAGTAAGAAATGACCTCAGACCACAGTTATGAAGTTGGCTTTATGAAGCACTAACAAACCACTTTAGATCTTTAGGGTCAGGGAACCTAACCTTGCTCCTTTGCTCACTTGGCCATCGGCTGAGTGGCTTCTTCCCTACATACATCTGCAAGCGGATGGCCAAGTGAGCAAAGGAGCAAGGTTAGGTTCCCTGACTCTAAAGATTTAACCCCAATATAGACATGACACACTCCTCTCTTCCATCCAGAAGGTGTCCTGCTCCATCTGACAGCAAGTTCTGTCTCCTGTGGGCTTCTGCAAAACATGGACATTTGATCAAACGCTGCTTAAATGTCGGCCATGTTTTGGATGCTCGAGTGGCCATGCGTGTTCGTGTGTCTGAGCGTGTGTGTGCAAGTGCACAGAACTTAGCTCCATTAATTAGCCTGTCAACCCGAGGTTGGAGACCAAGTTTTCCGGAGCTTTGGATTCTGCACGGTGCCTTCCTAGCCAGCACTCAATAAACACTTTTAAATGAACTCAAGACCTGCTTCAAGATTTACAAAGGTGTTTTCCTTCTGTTCCACTCCCGGGTCTGCACCTTGCCCTCACAGATCTGAAGCTCACAGGACCTCCAGCACCAGCCTGCTCTTACACCCGCTCAGCTGCCAGAGCCTTCTGGGGGTTTTTGATGGCCACACAGTCACAGCGGGAGACAGGGCAGCTGCTTTGGTGTTTCTTTCTGGAACCTCAAAATGGTGCATGCTTTAAGATTGAAGATCTGAACATGCAAAACCCAACACTGAGGTATCAGTGCATGCCCTGGAAGAGCTGAGGCTCACCAGAGCCTTCCTGCCGGGCTGCCAATGCGCTTCCCAGAGCTGAAAAGGATCACAAGGTGACTGGGGAGACATGATCGCCAAAGCCTAACCTCAAACTCACAGTGAAATAGGGGAAAAGCCAGAGGATTTTCCTCACCTGGAGAAAGCGGCTGAACATGAGGATTCCCATGTTCCTTCTTTTTTTTTTTTTTTTGAGACGGAGTCTCTCTCTTGTCACCCGGGCTGGAGTGCAATGGCGCAATCTCAGCTCACTGCAACCTCCACCTCTCGGGTTCAAGCAATTCTCCTGCTTCAGCCTCCCGAGTATCTGGGATTACAGGCACCTGCCATCACGCCCAGATAATTTTTGTACTTTTAGTAGAGACAGGGTTTCGCCATGTTGGCCAGGCTGGTCTCGAACTCCTGACCTCAGGTGATCCACCCGCCTCAGCCTCCCAAAGTGTTGGGATTACAGGCGTGAGCCACTGCACCCAGCCTCCACATTCCTTCAGCTAAAAATCTTAGGGACACAAAACACGTGGGCAGGATTGGTGAGAAATCATTTAAAAGCAGCCCTTTACATGATTCAGCCCTTATAGGATGGAACAATCCAATTTGACTTCGTAGAAGCATGGATTTCCTCCAGCAAAACACATTTGGTTTCTTTTTGGAAAACAGGCCATTTTTAAGTGGTTGAAATGTTCTTGGAAACATTCTCACATGATTGCACTGAATACTTTGTGTTAGCATTAAAGCTAAAAATACACCCAGTGGTTTTTTTTTTTTTTTTTTTTGTTCTTCTCCGCTTGTAATATTGACATCCCTTGTATCCACACACTCAAGGAGCTAACATTTGATGATTAGATTTTCCATTTGGATTAAACACTTTGGAAGTTTCTTTTTTATAAGTTATGAGAAAACAAACCATGAGATCATGAGAGTGAACAAAACGTGGACTTGTTAAAATGTCCAAATGCCATTAGAGATTGATCTTCTCACATGATTAATCTCCTTGTTTTGAGAGGCAGGGGTGCCTAATGGGCAGAACAGAGCCCTGGATGGAGCTGGGCACTGCCATGCACTGATTTTGTAATCTTGACCACCTGCGTCCTTTCCTTTACCCTTAAAAGGACCAGCTTACAGAGGATATGCATCCTCAAATTCACCCAATGTCATGAACCTGCCCTCCAAAGTGGTTGTACCATGTTATTCTCCACCGAGAATGTGCTAGAAATCCTGTTATCTGCATGCTTGGGTACACTTGTTGTCGACAGGCTCAAAACGTCTAAACATGTGAATGAGTGTGACATGGTCTGTCATTGTTTTAAGTTACAGCTCCATGTTTACTGACAAATTTGAACATCTTTTTATGTGTTTGGTGGATATCTGAGTTTCTTCTGTGAATTTTCTATTCATATCCATTGCATGTTTCAAATATCAGTTTTTTGTTTTGTTTGGTTTTGTTTTGTTTTGAGACAGGGTCTCTGTTGCCTATGCTACAGTGCAGTGGTGCAAACTTGGCTCACTACAGCCTCAACCTCCTGGGCTCAAGTGATCCTCCCACCCCAGCCTCTAGGGTAGCAGGGACTACAGGTGCAAGCCACCTCACCCAGGTGATTTTTGTATTTTTTGTACAGACTTGGTCTCACTTTATTGCCCAGGATGCTCTTGAACTCCTAGGCTCAAGCAATCCTCCAGCCTTGGCCTTCCAAAGTGCTGGGATTACAGGCGTAAACCACCATGCCTGGCCTGAATTTCTTATATAGTCTAGATATTAAATCTTTTTGGTTGAATTGTACATGTATATTCCCTTAAACTTATGCTAGCATCTTAAAAGCGTTGCTATGAAGAATAGTGTTCTACCAATACTCTTCGAAATTGATTTCAGGGATTCTGAGAGATTTAACATTTTTATAAATGCTAATGTATGTATGTATGTATAGCATAATTTGTGTATGATGAAGATAATCTATTTCTTGAGGATTTGATAAAAACTCATCTGAAATTCTATCTAGGATCTCTAGGGAGGTGGGAGAGTTTTGATTACCAAATCAATGTATATTAATGGTTATAGGTTTTTCCAGGTGTTCGATTTCTTCTCGATTCGGTTTTGGTGATGTTTACTTCTCTGAAGATGATCCCTTCCATTGCTGCTTTCAGGTTCATTGGACAAGGTTATTCATAGTATCTCATAGATGTGTTTTAAATTTCACTGCCATTAAATCCCCTTTTCATTCTCATTAGTCATAATTTATTCTCTTTACTCCCTCTTCCTCTCCCTCTGTCTTTTCTGTCCCCTGCCTCCCTTTCTGTGTCATTCTGGCTGATGCTTGTCTATTTTATTAGTTTTTACAGAAAACCCACTTTTGAGTTTGTTGATTTTAATTGCTTCTAGGGGTAATATTCATCTATGACAATATGACGTGTTCTTGCCATCCATCCATTCAGGTGGAGCTGGCATCCCCTAACTCAAATGATTCTTGGGTTAGAAATTGCCATTTCCTAACCCCAGAGTCATTTAAGAGGACATTTTAATTTCTTTCTTTCTTTTTTTTTAATCCAGACGGAGTCAGGCTGCAGTGCAATGGCGTGATCTTGGCTCACCACATCCTCCGTCTCCCGGATTCAAGTGATTCTCCTGCCTCAGCCTCCCGAGCAGCTGGGATTACAGGCATGCGCCACCACGCCCGGCTAATTTTATATTTTTAGTAGAGATGGGGTTTCTCCATGTTGGTCAGGCTGGTCTCAAACTCCTGACCTCAGGTGATCCGCCCACCTCCGCCTACCAAAGTGCTAGGATTACAGGCGTGAGCCACCGCACCCGGCCCTTAATTTCTAACATACTTTTGAAGTGCTTGTATTGTTGATTTCTAACTTAATTGCATTGAGGTCTGAGAAAGTGCTCTGAATGGTGGTAATTCTAAAAACTTGCTGAAACTTTTTCTAAAACTTTATTTACAGTTATTTAACCTGGTCCCATGTGCTTGAAAGAATTATTTTGTTTCTTGGATGCTAAAATGTTTGCCACTGCTCTGAGCAATTGTTGATTTTTTTTTCTTGACCCTGCTGGGACCTACTGAGGAGGGCATGGAATTCCCTCAGACTTCTTTGTCCAAGTAACAAGAGAGGGCCGTCAGCTGGCAGAGGATGGAGCCCCCATGCAGCTGTTGGCTGAGGCCACAGCTGGAACAAGACAAAAACTGCATAGATCTGAGCTGGGCACAGGGGCCTGGTGCAGTCGGCTTTCTAATTTATCATTGTCAATTTGGTATTTATTATTTTCTTCCTTCTGATATTTTTGTGCTTATTTGCTTGTTCTTTTTCTAATTTCTTACGCTGGAAGCTTAATTCATTTTTTTTTTTTAGCCTATCCTGTTTTCTAATGTAAGCTTTTAGGGTTTCAAATATCACTTTAAGAAACATTTAATCTGTACTCTTTAAGATTTAAGATAGTTTATTAGGGCTAAACTATTATTTTCTAATTTTCTTTTTTAAAAATTTTACTTTAAGTTCTGGGATACATGTGCAGAACATGCAGGTTTGTTACATAGGTATACACGTGACATGGTGGTTTGCTGCATCTATCAACCAGTCATTTAGGTTTTAAGCCCCGCATGCATTAGATATTTGTCCTAATGTTCTCCCTCCCCTTGCCCCCCACGCCCCGACAGGCCTCGGTGTGTGATGTTCCCCTCCCTGTATCCATGTGTTCTCATTGTTCAACTCCCACTTATGAGTGAGAACATGCAGTGTTTGGTTTTCTGTTCCTGTGTTAGTTTGCTGAGAATGATGGTTTCCAGCTTCATCTATGTCCCTGCAAAGGACATGAACTCATTCTTTTTTATGGCTGCATAGTATTCCATGGTGTATATGTGCCACATTTTCTTTATCCAGTCTATCATTGATGGGCATTTGGGTTGGTTCCAAGTCTTTGCTATTGTAAATAGTGCTGCAGTAAACATATGTGTGCATGTGTCTTCATAGTAAAATGATTTATAATCCTTTGGGTATATACCCAGTAATGGGATTGCTGGGTCAAATGGTATTTCTGGTTCTAGATCCTTGAGGAATAGCCGCACTGTCTTCCACAGTGGTCGAACTAATTTACACTCCCACCAACAGTATAAAAGCATTCCTATTTCTCCACAGCCTCACCAGCATCTATCGTTTCCTGACTTTTTAATAATTGACATTCTGACTGGCGTGAGATGGTATCTCATTGTGGTTTTGATTTGCATTTCTCCAATGACCAGTGATGATGAGCTTTTTTTCATATGTTTGTTGGCTGCACAAATGTCTTCTTTTGAGAAGTGTCTGTTCATATCCTTTGCCCACTTTTTGATGGGGTTTTTTTTCCTTGTAAATTTGTTTAAGTTCCTTGTAGATTCTGGATATTAGACCTTTGTCAGATGGATAGATTGCAAAAATTTTCTCCCATTCTGTAGGTTGCCTGTTCACTCTGATGGTAGTTTCTTTTGCTGTGCAGAAACTCTTTAGTTTAATTAGGTCCCATTTGTCAATTTTGGCTTTTGTTGCCATTGCTTTTGGTGTTTTAGACATGAAGTCCTTGCCCATGCCTATGTCCTGAATAGTAATGCCTAGGTTTTCTTCTAGGGTTTTTATGGTTTTAGGTTTTACATTTAAGTCTTTAATCCATCTTGAGTTAATTTTTGTATTATTTTCTAACTTCAACATAGTTTCTTTTTTGACCCATGAGTGAGTTAGTGTATTTATTAATTCCTAAACATGTGCTCCCTCTCCCCAGTTATCTTTTGTGTTTAATTATTAATTGTGGATAAATAATAAAATGTTCATGAAACCAAATTTTTAACATTTTTTGGGTTTTGCTCTGTGTCCTGGAATTAGGTAAATTTTTGTAAATGTTCTGCTTGTGCCTGAAACATGCCTGTGTTCTCTCATGTCACAGATGCGGCTGGTGTCACCTATGTCTCTGGGGCTCTGTCATTTTGGGATGTTCTGTATAACTCGCAACTAGCAGTGACTGCATCTCTGTGTTAGAAGGCATTTCTGGAAATACGGAAGGCAGGGCAGGCCAGAAGTACTTGGGAATTGACATTCCTAGGAAAAGCCATGAGACAGTGAGGATGAGAGCTGGGGAAAGGCCCTCTCCTGTCTACAGACATGTTTGTTTTACTGTCCTGGTGAACTGAAGCTTTGTCATTGAGTACTGACACTCTATTTATTGCTCATGGTTTTGCCTTACATTTATTTTTCTGATATTTACATGTATTCTTTGGTTAATGTTTTCTTGCTATTTCTCTTCTCTCTTTTTAGTTTTTTATATGGAAATGTCTAAACATAAAATAGAGAGCTTCGTGTAACAAACTACAATGATGCAGCTTCAAGAATCAGCAGAAAACCAACTTTTGTATTTTAAACCTGTTTTTAAAGAACTAAGTTGGCTTTTGAATTTTCTCTCTTGGAGATGTTTTTCAAAGAACCAGACCATTCATCCATTCTACCTATGTCTGATTTCTAACTCAGGGACTTCTACTTTTACCTATATTAATTCCTTCTTTTTACTTTTTTTTGCCAGGTATAAGGTTTGTTTTAAACTTCAATTATTCTACCCTTCATTTTCAAAATTTTTAATGTGATTCTCTTTTTATATCTTTTTTCTTTGTTTAATAATTTCTTCTGCTTCTTTTACATTTGAATAATTTCTTCAGTATTTCCGCCAGAATGTCCTATAAAATTAATTCTATTTGATGTGAATGCATGCTTCTAATGTTTCCAATGCTAGTTTTGGGGATCGGTCATTTGGGCTGGAATCCAGGTCTGCTGGCCCTGGTTTTCAGATAGCTCTTCACTCAGTTATGTGACTCCATGGCATTAAAAAAGGCTTTGAAAGGCCAGGTGCAGTGGCTCACGCCTGTAATCCCAGCACTTTGGGAGGCTGAGGTGGGCAGATCACTTGAGGCCAGGAGTTCGAGACCAGCCTGGCCAACATGGTGAAATCCTGTCTCTACTAAAAATACAAAAAATTAGCTGGGCGTGGTGACACGCACATGTAGTCCCAGCTACTCAGGAGGCTGAGGCAGGAGAATTGCTTGAACCCAGGAAGTGGAGGTTGCAGTGAGCTGAGATCACTCCACTGCACTCCAAGCTGGGTGATAGAATGAGACTCCATCTCAAAAAAAAGTGGGGGGAGCTTTGAAAGCCTCACAAATTAGGCAGACAACTGTAAAAACTTAAACAAACTATTATGAAGGCTTAGTAAGGTATTCAAAGCCAGTGGATTGTTAGACGTCTCCATGTGTTTTAGAATTGTGGTTTGCAAGCTCATGTTGCATGAGAACTTGAGTTTCTGTTTTTTTGTCCCCCAACCAAGGAGCAGCTCTGGGCCCCCTCTCTGCCAGCTCCCTCCCATCCCAAGGCTCACCTGGGCCAGCCTCCTTCTCCCTAGGGGCTGGGGCTTGTCTAGCAGAGTCTCAGCACTGCCATCTGTGAAACCCATCCCCTCCCTTGCCCACAGTGTCCTTGGCCAAGGAGCCCTAGCCCAGCCCAGCCCAGCCAGCGGCAGCAGCAGCTTTTTCTCAGTCACTTTCACCAGCAGGGCTGGCCTGACCCCTGCCCTGCTTTAAGCAGGGAGCTGTCTCCATCCCCACCTCACTCCTGACCCTCCAGCACCTGCCTCCAGCCCCAGAGCCCAGCCAGCCATCCTCAGCCATGGGCATCCCAAACCTGGCTTTGGGTATGGATTTGTTCTTCTAGGTTTTATGTTTGAGGCAGCACCATGTCCCCACACCACCCTGCCTATTCGTGAAGAGGTCTGGAGAGGTGGTGTGACTGCACAGCATCAGGGACTGGTCAGCTGAGGGATGAGGGCTGGAATCCAGGCCTGCCGGCCCGACTCTCAGGGCACACATCACTCTGGCAGGGGACTTCATGACATTAAACAAATTAGGCAGACAAGTGTAAAAACATACAAACTATTCTGAGACTGCTTAGTAGATAAGCTATTCAAAGCCAATGGTTTATTAGAAGAGGGAAAAATATATGTGTGTGTGTGGTGTAAGTGTGTCTGTGCGGTGTGTGTAGTGTGTGTATGTGGTGGGGTGTGTGTGTGGTGTGTTTGTGTGGTATATGTCTGGTGTGTGGTGTGGTGTATGTATGGGAGATGTGTGGTGTGTGATGTGTGGTGTGCATGTAGTGTGTATGTAGTGTCTGTATGGTGTGTGGTCCGGTGTGTGGATGTGGTGTGTGGTGTGTGTGATGTATGGTGTGTGGTACACTGTGTGCATGTGTGTGTGTGTGGTATGGTGTGTGTGATGTATGGTGTTGTGTGTGTGTGTGTGGTATGTGGTATATGTATATGTGATATGTGTGTGGTATGTGTATGAGGTGTGTGGTTGTGTGTGTGAGGTGTGTGGTGTAGTGTGATGTGGTGTGTGTCTGAGATGTGTGGTGTGGTGTGTGTAGTGTGTGTGTTGTGTGGCATGTGTGGTGGTGTGTGTGTGAGGTGTGTGGTGTGGTGTGTGTTTATGGTGTGTGTGTGTGAGGTAGGTGTTTTGTGTTGTATGTGTTGTGTGTGGTATATGATGTGGTGTGGCACGGTATGTGTGTGAGGTGTGTGGTGTATGTGGTTTGTGTGTGTGGTGTGTGGTTTGTGTGATGTGTGTGAGGTGTGTGGTGTGGTGTGTGTCGTTTGTATGTGTGATGTGTGTGGCGTGTGTGCACACATCTGTGTGGTGTGCGTGTAGTGAATGTGTGTTTGGGTATGTGTGTGTTGTGTGTGTATGGTGTGAGTGGTGTGTGGTGTGTATGTGTGGTGTGTGTGTGGTGTGTGGTGTATATGTGTGGTGTGTGTATGTGCCTGTGTGTGTGGTGTGCATGGGGTGAATGTGTGTTTGGGTATGTGTGGTGTGTGTGTGGTTTGTGTGTGTGGTGTATATGTGTGGGGTGTGTGTGTGGTGTATATATGGGGCATGTGTGTGGTGTGTGTAGTCTGTGTGCATGGCATGGGGTGTGGGTGTCTGTATAGAAAAATGAAGAGGAGCTCCCTGAGT